>NC_000014.9:101126714-101429714 GCF_000001405.40 Homo sapiens
CCTCCTCATTTCTCGGACCAGGAAACAGAAGCCCCAAAGAAAGGGGCTTGTAGGACAGTATGCATGGAGCCCCTGGCCTGGGCTCATAGCCCCCATAGCCCCTCCTTCAAGGCCAGGGCACTGAGACATCACAACCTGGCTGCAGGTTCTGGGATGGGGAGCTCACCCTTTGGCAAGGCTGCCTGCCCTGTCCACTTCTGGGAGAAGAACCCCAGGTGACAGGAAGTCCTTCATTACACCAGCCAAGGCCCCCTTGCCCCGGGGCCCCTACCTCTGCTCAGTTCTGTACTTTTCAGCTCTCCGCCACTCTGCCACGACCCCCAAACGAGACCCTGGAGACAGTGATCTCAGCCCCTGCAGCCCTGCTCAGCCAACAGCCACACACCCCCAGCCCTCAGGCCTGGGCCCCAGTCCTTGGACACGCTGGGTCACCTCCTATGACTGCTGGGTGTGGACCCTCAGCAAACCCCACAGTGGGGGAAAAACTCATCCTAACCATGGCCCTAGACAGCGAGGAGTTTCTCGTAAGCTGAGGTCATTCTCCAATCAAATGAGAGAAGAGCTGGGGAAACACTTCCCAAGCTCTAAAGAGGTTACGGATGTTTATTAGATTATATATGTCCTGCCAGATGTCCACAGGAACATTCACCGTCGGATCTTATGTAACTAATCGTGTCAGTAACCATGTCCAGACTCACGCCCTCCCTAACCAGTCCCACATGTCAGATGTACACACACTGGTAACGAGAGCTGACACATAGGGAGCCCTTCCACAGGCCGTCAGCCCGCTGTCAGTGTTAACTCATTTAATGCCCACAACAACCCCAGGCAGGTATTGCTGGGGTTCGTGTTCCCTAAGGCAAATACTGAGGCATGGAGATGCTGCCGTTTTCTGTGCATGCACACACACACTGTACAACCATGTTAGACAAACTGCTGATGAAAGATCAAAAGGCACAGAGTTGTTGCATGTAGATAAGCATACATTTGTATATAAATTTGTTCATTCTTATACTTATTTCAGAGAAGGATTTCAGGAAAGGTGTGCTCAAGGCGACCTAAGATGCACAAGTGGTGGCAAAGCCTGCAAGGTCCCTGCTGATGATGTCTCTGTCCTCATCTCCTTCCTGCCTCCTCTTGCTGGCTCCAGCCATACAAACCTCCTTGTTATTTCCAGAACATTCATGGCCCTTTCCAGGCATGAGGCTCTGCCACCTCAACCACCACATCTAGCTCCTTCACAGTAATCAATTCTCAGCTAAAATGTCGTCTCCTCAGAGCGCTCTTCTTCACTGTCCACAGATCACCACTATTATAGAGCAGTCCTTGCCCAAGCCAGTTACTTATCCCATGTTCCTGTTTAAGTCTCATCCCAGCACTTTGGATCTTGTACTTTGACTTGCTGCTTTTCAATGATGCTAGATTATCATCTCCCTGAGCGCCTTTGCACTTGGGTGTTGCTGTGATCCTAGCCCCTTGCCCAGTGTCTGGTAAGACAGGGTGCTCGGTAAGGGAATGAATGAATGAGTTACAGGAGAATAAAATGAGTAGATGAGGAAGGAAGGCATGGACAACAGCAGCAAGTGGAGTCAGATCTGAAGCTCACAAAGTTCCTGCCTTGAAATCCTATTTACTGAGCTTCCTAGTAGCCATGGTGAAAAAAGAAGCATGATCAGTCTACAGGAGTGAAAGGACAACTAGATACGCCACACTAGTGGGTCAGGAGGCATGTGGCTCTTTTTGATACGGAAGCCAGATGGCTGTTTTCCCCTGAGAGACCTCCCAAAGAAGTGGCAGCCATGATCTCACAGCTATGTGCCCCCCAACCTCTTCGTGGTGCAGATAGGCACACTTGGGGATATGGCTGACTTTCAACACAGCCTCCTGGTGGCTGTTCTCACAGAAGAGTGGAAACAAGGAAGCTGCTTTCATGCCTGGCCCCACTGAGGGTGACCGTGCCCACATCTAGATGGGAGAGGCAGCTGCAGGGCCCTGAGAGGAGCGGTGGATGGTGGGTGTTCTGGCCATCACGGGGCTTCAGCCTCTGCCTGGCGTGCCGTCGCTCAGGAACAGACATGGAAGAGGCAGAGCACCTCCCATCCCACCTGCGGTAGAAATCATGATCTTAGGAAAGACAGTTCCCACGCACCCGGAGATTCCCGGCAGGTAGGATCCGGGGCAGGGTGCAGGGGCGTCAAGCTCCATGTGCGGTTCACTCGGCTCAGATGGTAACTAATCCCTCTCCAGAGAGGCAAAGGCGGAGGCGGTCGATACCCGCTCAATGGCTGAACACAGTCTGGAATGTTTTTGACAGGTTTCTCCTCAAGGTGGTAAAAAGTCTAACGGTCTGCAGAGTCTTGGCCGTGTCAAAACCCATCTGCAAAAAGCAAGGGGCTCCTGCGGGGCTCGTGTTTGCCGAGTGGAGACATAGCTCCTGGGCTCTGCTCGGCCCATCGAGGTTGGCTGGCCCCCTTGGGCTCCTGTTGCTCTCTGCCTCCCCCCAGCCTGTGTGCGTGGCAGGAAGCAGCAGCTAGAGAGGGCATTCAAGCAGGCAGAGGACGTCGGCAGAGCCGGGCACAGGAAAAACCCCACTGAACCCAAAAAGAGTTCCACTGCAGGTACTGTCCGTGTCTACAGGAGGCCGCAGGGTCACGGGGATCGCGTATGCGCAAAGTCCCCTAACATTAAAATGACATTTGAAGCAGGATACACGTGTTAATTTACACTTTAAACTCACAGAATTGAGGGAAGTGAATAAAAAGGAGAGTAATTAATTAGAAGGGAATATAGCAAAGTCCAGAAGACATTCTTGCTTCAGTGAATGGGGCCAGGGGGGAAAACTGGCGTCTAAGAGATAATGAAATCTCATCTTGTGTCTAATCCATGTTCTCGGCCTCTGAGCAGATGAAATGGTATAAAAAATAGAAATTGACAATGGGTCTAAAATTGCTTATTGATGAAACCGTGGAATTACGTGATAGAAGAAATCAATTAAGTACTAAGAGGTGAGGCCCCTGTGGAAAGAAGAGGCTTGGAAATTAACAAAGGAAATTGAGTTGGGTGGTGAGAAAAGGGCTAGAAATTATCTTGCCAAAGGAAAAGTAAAAATAGAAGGCCACTTTGAAAGACTATATCATTAAAAAAAAGTATGATGGAAGAGAGACTTGAAAATTGCATTCACCAGGGAAAGAAGCCTTCTCAAAATAGAAAGAAAACAGGGAACAATTTGCTGACTGAGCTCAAAAGCATCAAAAGCAATAAAACCCACAGAAAACAACAGCTCAAAGGAGAACATCAGGTCCACTTTGACGTTTTCCAGATGGGCAAACTGAGGCCCCAGGAGGGGCAGATTCTGCAGAGGAGATGCTTGTCTGCCATCCGTCCATCCCTCCTTCCTTCCACTCAGGAGGAGAAAGAGACAAGGGAGGAGGTGGCAGGGAGAGAATGAGAGAGAGAATGACAGAGAGAGAGAGAGAGAATGACAGAGAGAGAATGACAGAGAGAGAGAGAATGACAGAGAGAATGAGAGAGAGAATGAGAGAGAGAGAATGAGAGAGAGAGAATGACAGAGAGAGAGAATGACAGAGAGAGAATGACAGAGAGAGAGAATGAGAGAGAGAGAATGAGAGAGAGAGAATGACAGAGAGAGAGAATGACAGAGAGAGAATGACAGAGAGAGAATGACAGAGAGAGAGAATGGGAGAGAGAATGACAGAGAGAATGAGAGAATGACAGAGAGAGAGAATGACAGAGAGAATGAGAGAGAGAATGGCAGAGAGAGAGAATGAGAGAGAGAGAATGAGAGAATGAGAGAGAGAGAATGAGAGAATGACAGAGAGAGAGAATGAGAGAATGACAGAGAGAGAGAATGAGAGAGAGAGAATGAGAGAGAGAGAATGAGAAAGAAAGAATGAGAGAGAATGAGAGAGAGAGAATGAGAGAGAATGACAGAGAGAATGAGAGAGAGTGAGAATGAGAGAGAGAGAATGAGAGAGAATGACAGAGAGAGAATGAGAGAGAGTGAGAATGAGAGAGAGAGACAGAGACAGGGAAAGAGACCCCACATGGCCCCCGAGAGCTGGGTGGAAGACAGCCCGGTTGGTGCTGAGTATCCAACGCAGGGGCTGCAATTTGCTGGATTCCAGTCCCCACGTCCAGCCCACACACTGGAGGGGAGGAGGACCAAACCTCCAAATTCCCAAACCATCATGTTCCAGACTTGAGAGGACAAAAACAGAGACCCCCTCCACGTGCCTGCTGCTCCCCAGCTTTCTGGCTGTGGCCGCCAGCAGTTCCATCCACCCCCATGCTCAGACCAGAGCCCAGGAGCCTCCTGGCCAGCTCCGTCCCTACCGCCAGTAGGTCCTGTGGGTCCTGCCAGCCCTGACTCCAAAGCATGGCCCCTGGCTGGGGCAGCCATGTTGGGCTCTACCCAGCTGTCTCCTCCTCAGCGAGCCCCTCCTCCTGACCCCCTATCTAGAGGAGCCCTGTCCCCACCAGCCATAGCCACACCCACTCACCCAGTCCCTGTTTTGTCTTTGTTACAGCATGATTGTGGCCTGGTGTTACCTGACATGTTCATTTGCTTGCTCCTCTCTTGCCTCCCACCCACTAGAATGTCAGCTCCTGGAAGCTAAGGACCTTGTCCATTGTTGCTGCTTGCCTAGAAATCTTGGTGCGTAGAAGACATTCAATAAATGTTTGTTGAATGAATAAGTGACAGCCTCTGGCCTGAGCCAGATGCCCCTTGTCAGAGCTCCCACTGCAGCCTGCATTCTGTCCCTGTCCCCTGCCCTGTGAATCCCTTATCTGTCAGAGCTATCACTCCTGTGAGACTCAACCCCTCCAGGTTGGCCTCGGATCAGAGCCCCAGCACCTGGGACAGAGCAGGTGCCCCAGGCGTTTTGCCGAGTGGCTGATATACTCAGTTCAGAGCTGGCTGGGGGTGCTTCAAGCCAGATTTCAGAACTCAGAGGTTCATGCAGCTCCTGCATTTTCAGACAAGGAAACCGAGATCCACAGAGCTCATGGTGTGTGCCCCCAGGAACCTCAGGGCCAGCTGTGTCGGCCAGCATCTGTCTGCTCAGTCGGGCTGGGAGATGGGTAGCCGATACCTTCTGGGCATAGCAGAGATAAGAGGGCAGTGCTGGGCCCCTCAGGAAGTAGCATCTCCTCCTCCCTCCTCCTACTTCTGCTTAGGTGAAAATTGGATCTTCCCACCAGGAGGCTCAACCAATTTCTAGCCCCTGCAGGGGCTGTTCTGTTAATAATGTGTGGCAAGGATGGCCAGTCACAGGCCCGGCCGCTGTCCCCGGGAGCTCCTGTGTCCAAAGCTCCAGGTACGTAGGCAGCACGATCTTTCTGAGCCACAAGGAGACAGGCTTCCTGGGGCAGGGCAGGTGCTGCAGGGTCAGGACACCCCACGACTCCCCATGCCCCACTCTCCCCAAGATGCGCTGGTCCACACCAAGCCCAGCGTTTACTGCCTGCTGCATGCCCGAGAGGGCAGCAAGTCAGGGAGTCACCTTGTTCACGGAACCTCTGTTCTGGACCAGACCCTGCACCAGGGCCCAAGGCTGCGTAACTGTGATTCAGCCCTCCCGTGGCTGCTTGCCAGGCTCAGGGGGGGGTCCCTGCATCCTGGCTGGCATCTTCTGTTGAACGTAAGACAGGCATTTGAGGCCCACATGGGACCTCTGTAGATGGAGTCAAGGCCTGGGGTGGGAAACCCCAATCCTCACTGCAGGTCTGTGCAGGGTCTGGGAGGGGTCCCAGAACCTCAGACTTCCTGTCTGAAGGATGGGTGATGGCTTCCAGCTGGAGGTCTCCTAGCTGTGCCTGTGATGGCTCTGCCTGCTTTGTAGCGTGAGCCCAGAAACCACCATCTGGGCGAAACTAGGATCCCCTGGGCAGAGTCTCCCTAGCTCCCAGCATAGTGGGTCTGGTGGAGATGGCACAGGCGGGCAGGGATTGACCCATGACCGCTAGGCACCTCTGCCCTCTCACCTCCCTGGAGACAGACTTGGCCTGTGTCTCTCCACAGGGCAGCCCCCCACCCACCTGCTCAGCCAGATGTTCTCTCCAGGCACCGTGCCTCGAAAGCCCACCCAAGGGGCCGAGGGGCCCCCACACCCTGTCCTCGGAATTCTGGGGCTGTCACCCATGAAAGGGAGAAGGTGTGGACCCAATGGGATGGAATAGATACATAGATCAAACAGAAGGAAAGGGGATGTGTGCACCAGAATGGAAACTACACAGCAATGTGGAATGAATGGATCAAATCGTTATTTTATACCATAAGAATGATCGTATTTTCTGTGCTCCATAAGAAGGATGTGCAATCAGATCACCCTCTGACATTTACAAAACAAGCTCATCATTCTTTCTCATTCAGTGAAAACCATCCAGGGTAGGTGCTTTCCCCTCGCTGTATAGGAAAGGACGCCAAAGCTCCAAGGAGGGAAGAGACACAGTCTTCGAGTCTCCAGCCCACTGGTGTCATCTTTGAGGGCTTCGGTCCAGGCCTGCCTGGTCCGGCCTCAGCCACAGCCCCAGGGGGCCCCATCTCAAAGTCTCTGGAACCTGTATCTGACCAGCTGGTTTCAGACGGGCTTGGGAGGTGAACTTGGGGCAGAGGAAAGGAGCTTTCATTTCTGATAAAACCGAGTCACCGCACCTGGACAGTCCCTTGATACCTGTAGGTATCTGACATTTGCAACCTGGTCCAACAGCCCAGTTTCTCCAGGGCACAAAGTCAGCCACAATTCCAGAGAGTTTTTTCTTGTTTGTTTTTAATGTTGGGAAATTGCATGACCAAATTCATTTTACAAAGATCACTCTTGCTCACGTAAAGAAGACTAATTCGAAGGACAAATTGAAGGGCAATTTGTACACCTAAGATATTTTAAAATATGGATATTCCTTTACCAAACAATAGTATTTCTAAGAATCCACTCAATAAGAATAATCACACAAATGTGTATGCAAAGACCCATGAACAAGAATGTTTGCTGCAACTTTATTTGTAAAAGCAAAAATAAAAATTCTTCAGCAGAGAAATCACGAAACAAAACAATACTTCATACAACGAAATATTATGCAGCCAGTAAAAATGTGATACATCTATATGTGCCAACATGACAATATGTCCAGGAGTGAAACCAAATCATGGCAGAACAATACTAAACAACTTTTTTTTGGCAAAATATCCACCTATACATGTCAATGCAAAGACAAAGGTCTAGAATACAGACCATTACCATTGATTTCCAAGAGAAACATTTTCGTTTTGCAACAACAAAGGAAAAAGAAAGCACCAAACACTAGGTTTCACTTAATGCCTGATGGGCGCCCTCATCTCTGTGACAGAGCCTGGCGCTGAGGGCGCTGGGCCAGGGAAGTGGAAGTTGAGATATTGTGCGTTTTTGCATGCATACGTGTGTGTCTTCCTAGTTTTATGACAATTCTGGAAGCGTGGAAGGCACAAGGCAGTTAAGAGAGAAGCTCAGGCTGCCACCCCAACAAGAACGTTCTTCTTGAGGAAGCATCAAGATGGGATGAAGCCCCAAGGTCCCTCCCAACCCCGTCTGCAGTGCAGCCCCAAGGCAGCGGGTGCCCAGACAGCTGGCAGCGGGTGCGGAGGCAAACATGGAGGTGAATGTTTGCAGCTGAAATTTTGCAGACACCTCTGATGATGGGAGGCTGATCAGAAACGGATCTGGGAGCTATCAGATGAAAGACAGGCCTTGCTTTCCCTTCAAATTTGTTGACTTTTTTTTTTTTAAAGCCCCAACCACAAAGCATGAGCTCATGTGGGCATTTGCCGGAAAGGCGGCAGGCGGCCCCTGGGAGGCAGGCTTGCAGACATGGATGTTTCCACCGTGCCCTTCTAAATAAACACTGGGGCCCTTCAGCGGGGCTGCGTGCAGGAGCACAGTGAGGTGGGGTGGACCCAAAAGGATGGAATGGATAAAATAAATAAAATAGAAAGGAATGGAACATATACACTAGAATGGAAACTATAAAACAGGATGGAATAAATGCACAAAATAAGCCAAAGTTGATAAAACAGAGCGGGCTAGACTAGGAGGTAGAAAGGAATGGATAGAACCAACTAGAATAAACAAACAACATAAATTAGGTTGGAACTGAATAGCCAGAGGGAAATGGAGCAGAATGGGGAAAGGAAGGGGCTGGATTCTTACAGTGGGAGGGGACTTTGGTCACTTTGCAGAAGAGGTCAGTTCGCACGGACACCTGGAGACAGGGCCGGCCTCCCTTGATCAGCGCTGCCAGGAACAATTGGCGGGGCCCGTGGCTGAGGTTTGCAGGGTTTCCCTCGGAGGTAAGGCGGTCTAGGTGCAGACCCCAGAGAGAGCCCTGGGTAAGCCCAGGACCCTGCACCCTGCTCCAGCCCTGTCACTGACTTGGAGTAAAGCCCCACCCCTCAGCCGTTGTTTCCCTCACGTTCAACAAGGAGGTTTGCTAAGATAACTTTGAAAAGAGTCCTTCAATCTAAGGTCCTTTATTTCACAGTTACTGAACAGTTTCCTGAAGCCAAAGGAAACCGCAGAAATATGAATCGTCTTTCCTGCCTTGAGTCACAATTTTGATCTTTTGTTTATCGTGGATATCTTTGAGTTAATTTTGATTTTTACATAGATTGTGCTAAAATATTATTTATCTCAATTACTGAGTTTCTCTATTTACAATTTTGATCTTTCATTTATCGGGGATATCTTTGCATTAATTTTGATATTTAAATAGATTGTGCTAAAATATTATTTATCTCAATTACTGAGTTTTTCTGCGCATGCCCCCTCCCACCAAACTAAAGGTTGGGCCTCCAATAAGTGCTTCACTTGCCTTACCCCAGTCCCGTATTTTTGGTAGACGCCATGATGACTTCCTTCCACAGAAGACAAAACAGAGGTTCAGAGAGGTTCTCTGATGACAAGATGCTGCAAACACTTACAGGAGGGCCGCTCACTCTGTGAGAAGAAAAGTGATGATGACTGTGCTCGATGAACTCACACATGTGGCTCTTTCTGGGGCTGGGGATTTCGGGAGGCCTCGTACCAGGGGCTAAGAGGGGACAGACAGCCCCATTAGAAGAAGGACCTGCACATGCAAAGGGGTGGCGAGTTCAGCTGGAGCATAAGTCAGTGTGACTGAATTGGGGGCTGATGGGAGATCCAGGTGGGGACTTTGGGGGCCAGGTCTGGTCCATGCCCAGGCAATCTGTGTCTCCTGCATGTATGCCCTGGCTAGTGCCACCAGGCATGTCTGGATGACAGAGTGACAGGCAACTGTCGGGCAGCTTCTGGCAGGGGTTGAGGCAAAAGGCCCAAGTGGTGATGAGCAGGCCAAGAGAAGCCACTTTCTGTGCACTCATGGTCCCGGCCCCTCAGGGAAAAAGACCCTTCCCAGCCTCAGCCTGCAGGCGGGTTTATTTGGAAGGTATAGGATTTACATAAATCCTTGCCAAGTGCTAAGCACTGGAACCTAAACAGGAGATTTGAGCCACATGTTCCTGATTTCAGATTTGGGAAGAGATTGTGGAGTGATATTGGAACCTCTGCTTCTGCTCACTTTCTGGCCACTCACCAGCCTTCCAGGACAGCCCCCTCCCAGCCCCCACCTGCACAGCCAGCCCCTTCTTTGCCGCAAACCTTCGAGAATCAGGCAAAGCCACTGCTGTAGGCAGCTGGTGCCAAGATTTGCTTCGTGCTGGGGACACAGGACTGGGCTTGTGTCCCTGGGGAGCTCACTGTGCCAAAGGCCTGGCCCCTGTCCTGAGAGAGTTACGAGTCCAAAAGGAGCTCACAGCCCCGATCCTGTCCGGAGTTTGCCCAGAGCTTGAAGCCAGGGCCCTGTCTGTGGGAGCTCATGGCCCCAAGGCCCCAGTCTATTTGGCCTTGTTCTGGGGCAGCTCCCAACTTCACAGTTGTGATAGCCCTCTCCTGAGAGCAACTACAGTGTGAAAACCATCACCCTGTCCTGAGGGAGCCCATGGCCTTAAGCCATGCACTTGCCCTAAAACATGGCCTCATCCTGAAGGAGCTCAGTGTCCTAAAGACTTTATCCTGTCCTGCTGGAGATCATAGACCTGACAACATGGCCATGAGAGATTTAATATATAAACCGAAGATGGCTGGGCCATAGATGAAAACAGAACTCTGACCTACAACCTGCCCAGGAAACTAACACAAATCTACAACAACAACTCAGGAAGCAAACCTACGGTGAGTTAGACTTGCAGGAGGCCACGTGGCCATCTTTAGCGATGATCTAAACCCTGGCTTCTGTAACAGTTGGCCCCAAATGACCTGGACTTGATTGATAACTGATTGATAACTGACAGCTTCCCTAATTTGGCATGCGCGTTAATGACTGCCCATGTCCCCAGACCCTTCAGTCTTAAGAAGTAAAAGCTTTACGCTGCTGGTGGAGGGGTAGTGAAATCTGCAACCCCAGGGCACAGGCAAAAGCCCATTGTTTCTGGAGAGAAGGGCACAAGAAAAAACACTTTGCCTTGGGAGTAAAGTGGAAATGCACCTTGGGCCCTGCTGGATCTGGCCCTGATGCTAAACAGAAGCTGCAACTGCTAGGGAGGTGCAGGGAACTCCCCGACAAGACCAACCACAGACACAAGGCCAAGTTATCAGGGTAGGAAGGCAGGCAACGACCCGCCCCTGAAACCTGGTGCGGAGAACCTGCCCCAGACTGAGACTAGATCAGGACAACAGAGAAGACCTCAGACTTTCAGAACGAGCCTGGCATCAAGCTGCTAACAGGAGCAGTGTATGTGTGTGGTGTGAGGTAAGGGCCCAAGAACATCTCTTTGCACGGATATCCGGTTATCTCAGCACCATTTGTTGGAAAGGTTTTGGCAATGAATTGCCTTAGCATTTTTGTTAAAAATCAATTGACCATAAATATAAGGATTTATATCTGGACTCTCAAATTCTGTTCTGTTGATCTATATGTCTATCTTTGTGACAGTGTCTTATTGCCTTGATAAGTGCAGCTTAATAGTAAGTTGTGAAGTTGGGATGTGAACACCCTCTATAATAGAATGGTGGCCTCCAAGAAGATATGTCTACATCCTAATCCCTGGAAACTGTGAATTCAATCTTATTTGGAGAAAGGGTCTTTGCAGATGCAATTAAGTGAAGTATTTTAAGATGAGATGGTGCTGGATTGTCAGAGTGGGCTCTAAATCGAATAACAAATGTTCCTATGAGAGATGTACAGAGGAGAGAATAGAGGAGAAGAGCACGCCAGGCTGCAGGCAGAGAGTAGGGCGATGTGGCCACAGCCAAGGAATGCCAAGAGCCACCAGAAGCCCAGAAGCTGGAATGGAACAGAGACAAAATCTCAACTGAACTCCTCATAGGAGTGCAGCCCTGCTGACACCTAATTCCAGACTTCTGGTCTCCAAAACTGTGGGAGAACAGAGTTCTGTTGTTTTAAGTGACCTAGTCAGTGATATTTTGTTTGGGCAGCCCTAGCTGACTAATACAGTATCCTCTAACTCTGTTCTTACTTAAGATTGCTGTGGGCCGCCAGGCACAGTGGCTCATGCCTGTAATCCCAGCACTTTGGGAGGCCGAGGTGGGTGGATCACTTGAGGTCAGGAGTTCAAAACCAGCCTGGCCAACATGGCAAAACTCCATCTCTACTAAAAATACAAAAATTAGCTGGGCATGGTGGCATATGCCTGTAATCCCAGCTACTTGGGAGGCCAAGGCAGGAGAATTACTCGAACCCGGGAGGCAGAGGTTGTAGTGAGCCATGATCACACCATTGTATTCCAGCCTGGGCAAAAGAGAGAAACTCCATCTCAAAACAAAAACAAAAACAACAACAACCAAAAAAAGCAAACAAAGATTGCTGTGGTCATTCTGAGTCTTTTGAATTTCCATATAATTTTTAAGATCGGCTTCTCAGTTTCTGGAGAAAAAAAAATTTCTGGAATTGTGATAAGGATTCCGTTAAAACTGTAGATCAATTTGGGGAGAATTGTCATCTTAACAATGTTGAGTCCTCCAATTCATGAACATGGAACATATCTCCATTTAAATAGTTCTTTAATTTCCATAAGCACTGTTTTGTCATTTTCAGTCTATGAGCCTAGTACCTCTTTGTTAAATTTACTCTGAAGTATTTTATGTTTTTGATGATAACGTGAAAGTTATCATCAGATTTTTATTTTTATTTCAGATTACTTATTGCTAGTGTATAGAAATAAAACTGACTTTTGTATGTTAACTCTGTAACTTTGCTGAATTTGTTTATTAGTTCTAATAGGATATTTTTGTGGATTCTTTTAGTTCTTTTAGTTCCTATTGGTTCTAATAGGATTCTTTGTAGATGCAAAAGACCATGTTATCTGCAAACAGAGATAATTTTACCTCTTCCTTTGCAATTTGGACATCTTTTATTTCTTTTCTTACTACATTTTTCTGGCTAGAACCTCCAAGAAAATATTGGGTAGAAGTGATGAAAGCAGACATTCTTGTCCGTTACTTGTTCTTAGGAGGAAAGCATACAGTTTTTCACCACTAAGTTTCATCTTTGCTATAGATTTTTCCTAGATACTCTTCATTAACTTGGGAAAGTTCCTTTCTATTCCAATTTTACTGGCAGTTTTTTCTTTTTAATCATGAATAAGTATTGGATTTTTTTATATGCTTTTTCAGCATCTATTGAGATGACTGTATAATTTTTATCCTTTCTTCTATTGATATATATTTTATTAATTTATTTTTGGTTAACCAGCCTTTCCTGGAAGAAATCCCACTTGGTCATGGTGTACAGTTATTTTTATTTATATGCTACTGGATTCAGTTTGCTAGTATTTTGTTGAGGAGTTTTGCATCTATATTTACAAGGAATATTGATTTCCTTTTCTTGTGATGTCTTTGTGTGATTTGGTATCAGGACAATACTGACTGCATAGAATGAGTTGGAAAGTGTTCTCACATCTTCACTTTTTTGGTTTGCTTTGGACTAGTGTTAACTCTTCTCCAAACATTTGTTAGAGTTCACCAATGAGACCAGCTGGACGTTGACTTTTCTTTGTGGGAATTTTCCAGATTACTAACGAAATCTCTTCACTTGTTATAGGTATTAATATAATTCAGATTTTCTATTCCTTCAGTTTTGGTCATTTGTGATTTACAGAAAATAATTTAATTTAGATTATCTAATTTCTTGGCCACAAGAGTCTCTTATAATACATTTTATTTCTATAAGACTGGTAGTAATGTCCCCTTTCTCCTGATTTTAGTAATTTGTATTTTCTCTTTTGCTCTTAGTCAGTCTACAATAAGTTTGTCAATCTTTTCAAAGAACCAGCTTTTGTTTTTTAATCTTTTCTATTGTTTTTCTATTATTTTTTGTTAATTTCCACTTTCCACTTTCTCTCCTTATACTGGTTTGGGTTTGGTTTGCATTGTTTTTTCTAGTTTTTTAGTGTGGAGGTTTAGGCTGTGGATTTGAAATTTTTCTTCTTTTTTTAATGTAGGCATAAATTTTCCTTTGAGCATGACTTCCCTACATACCACAGTTTTGGTATCTTGCGTTTCTGTTTTCATTCCTATCAACATACCTTCTAATTTCCCTTGCAATTTACCCTTTGATCCATTGTTATGTAGGAGTGTGTTGTTTAATTCCACATATCTGTAAATTTCCCAAATTTCCTTCTGTCTTTGACTTCTAATTTCATCCCATGTGGTCAGAGAACATACTTTGCTGATCTCAGTCCTTTTAAATTTATTGAGACTGATTTTATGGCCTAACGTGGTCTATCCTGGAGGAATGTCCAGTGTGCTCTTGAGAAGAATACATATTCTGCTGTTGTTGAGTGAAATGTTCTATACATTTCTGTTAGGTTTAGTTGGCTCGTGGTGTTGTTCAAGTCTTCTTTTTCCTTATTTTGTCTAACTGCTCCATATATTAGTGAAAGTAAGGTATTGACATCTCTAGCTATTTTAGTTGAATTGCCTACTTTTATCTTTAATTCTGAGTTTTGTCTTTATGTCTCTTAGGACTATGTTGTTAGGTGCATACATGTTTGCGATTGCTATATCCTCTTGATGGATTGACACTTTCATCATTATAAAATGTCATCTCTGTTTCTAGTAACTTTTTGTCTTAAAATGCATTTTGTCTGGTATTAATATAGCCACTCTAACTCTTTTTATATTTTCATGGTACATCTGTTTCCATTTATCAATATTTTCTACCTGTTTGTGTCTTTGAATCTACATTATGTCTGTTATAGATTGCATATAGTTGGATCATATTTTTTATTCATTCTGCCAATCCTTGCATTTTAATTGGAGTTTTAATCCAATTGGTATGATATTTCATGTCATTATTATTATTATTATTTTCTTCAAATTTTTTTTAAGTTCAGGGTACATGTGCAGGACGTGCAGGTTTGTTACATAGGTAATCATGTACCATGGGGTTTCCAGCACAGATCATGTCATTATTGATAAGGTAGGATTTGTTCATCATTTTGCTGTCTATTTTCTATGTCTTATTCCCTTTTTGTTCTTATTTTCCACCATTACTGACTTATTATGTTTTAAATGGATATTTTCTAGTGTACCATTTTAAAACTTTTCCATTTCTTTTACTATGTATTTTTGAGTTATTTTCATGGTTGCATGGAGATTACAATTATTATCTCTATTTATAACAATTTACTCCAGATTAGTACAAAGTTAATTTTACTACTACACAAAATCTTTGTTTCCCTCTAGCTCTATGTCTTCTCCACTCTTTTATGCTGTTATTGTCATACAAAATACAACCATATACATTGTTTTCTCATCAACATCGATTTATAATTATTGGTTTGTAAAGTTTTCTTTTAAATTAGAGAGGAGAAAAAAATAACAAAGATACATTCATATTGTTTTTTTGGATTTACCTATATAGTTATATTTACCAGTGCTCTTTGTCTCTTTATGTAGATTTGAGTTACTATTTAATGCCCTTTCTTTTCAGCATGAAGAATTTCTATAGTATTTTTTGTATGGCTGATATTATGGCAATAGGTTTTTTTCAGTTTTTGTTTATCTGAAAATATGTTTGTTTTTTCTTTATTTTAAGGATAGTTTTGCTGGCTATAAAACTATTGGCTGACAGTCTTTGCTATTAACGCTTTCAGATGTTATGTTATTTTTTTCTGGCCCCACAGTTTCTGAGGAGAAGTCAGCAATTAGTCTTATTTGAAAACCATTGTTCCTTGTAAGTAGTTTTCTCTTGCTACTTTCAATACGTTCTTTTTGTCTTTGACTTTTATCAGTTTGACTATAATGTGTTTAGGTGTGGATCTCTGAGTTTAATCTACTGAGATTTTGTCAAGCCTCTTGGATGTTTTTATTAATGCTTTTCATCCAACTTGGGAACCTTTTAGTCATTATTTCTTCAATCATTTTCTGCCTCATTCTCTTTTTCATTTGGGGGCTCCCATTATGCATATGTTAGTACATGTGATGATTTTTACAGATATCTGAGACTCTGTCCATTTTATCTTCATTCTTTTACTTTTGTTCCCTATACTCAATGATCTCTATTGGTCTATTTTTAAGTTTACCAATTTCCTTACTCTGTCTCTCTCTCTGCCACCACTGAGAGAGAGAGAGAGAGAGAGAGAGAGAGAGAGAGAGGGAGAGGGAGTTTTTATCTGAGTAACATTCAAAACAGTTGATCATTCCATCCTTTTAATTTTATTATATTATTTTTTATTATACTTTAAGTTCTGGGATACATGTGCAGAATGTGCAGGTTTGTTACATAGGTATACATGTGCCATGGGGGTTTGCTGAACCCATCAACCCATCATCTACATTAGGTATTTCTCCTAATGCTATCTCTCCCCTAGCACCCCGCCCCCCAACAGGCCTTGGTGTGTGACATTCCCCTTCCTGTGTCCATGTGTTCTCATTGTTCAGCTCCCTCTTATGGGTGAGAACATGTGGTGTTTGGTTTTCTTTTCCTGTGTTAGTTTGCTGAGAATGATGGTTTCCAGCTTCATCCATGTCCCTGCAAAGGACATGAACTCATTCTTTTTTATGGCTGCATAGTATTCCATGGTGTCTATGTGCCACATTTTCTTTATCCAGTCTATCATTGATGGGCATTTGGGTTGGATCCAAGTCTTTGCTATTGTGAACAGTGCTGCAATAAACATACGTGTGCATGTGTCTTTATAGTAGAATGATTTATAATCCTTTGGGTATATACCCAGTAATGGGATTTCTGGGTCAAATGGTATTTCTGGTTCTAGATCCTTGAGGAATTGCCACACTGCCTTCCACAATGGTTGAACTAATTTACACTCCCACCAACAGTATAAAAGTGTTTCTATTTCTCCACATCCTCTCCAGCATCTGTTGTTTCCTGACTTTTTAATGATCTCCATTCTAACTGGTGTGAGATGGGATCTCATTGTGGTTTTGATTTGTATTTCTCTAATGACCAGTGATGATGACATTTTTTTCATATGTTTGTTGGCCTCATAAATGTCTTCTTTTGAGAAGTGTCTGTTCATATCCTTCACCCACTTTTTGATGGAGTTGTTTGGTTTTTCCTTGTAAATTTGTTTAAGTTCTTTGTAGTTTCTGGATATTAGCCCTTTGTCAGATGGATAGATTGCAAATATTTTCTCCCATTCTGTAGGTTGCCTGTTCACTCTGATGGTGGTTTCTTTTGCTGTGCAGAAGCTTTTTAGTTTAATTAGATCATATTTGTCAATTTTAGCTTTTGTTGCCATTGCTTTTGGTGTTTTAGTCATGAAGTCTTTGCCCATGCCTATGTCCTGAACTGTATTGCCTAGGTTTTCTTCTAGGGTTTTTATGGTTTTATGTCTTACGTTTAAGTCTTTAATCCATCTTGAGTTAATTTTTGTATAAGGAGTAAGGAAGGGATCCAGTTTCAGTTTTTTGCATATGGCTAGCCAGTTTTCCAACACCATTTATTAAATAGGGAATCCTTTCCCCATTGCTTGTTTTTGTCAGGTTTGTCAAAGATCAGATGGTTGATAAAGGGGAGATCACCACTGATCCCACAGAAATACGAACTACCATCAGAGAATACTATAAACACCTCTATGCAAATAAATTAGCAAATCTAAAGAATAAAATAAAATAAATTCCTGGACACATACACCCTCCCAAGACTAAACTAGGACAAAGTTGAATCCCTCAATAGACCAATAACAAGTTCTGAAATTGAGGCAGTAATTAATAGCCTACCAACCAAAGAAAGCCCAAGACCAGACGGACTCACAGCCAAATTCTACCAGAGGTACAAAGAGGAGCTGATGCCATTCCTTCTGAAACTGTTCAAAACAATAGAAAAAGAGAGACTCCGCCCTAAGTCATTTTATTAGGCCAGCATCATTCTGATACCAAAAGCTGGCAGAGACACAACAAAAAAAGAAAATTTCAGGCCGGTATCCCTGATGAACATCAATGCAAAAATCCTCAATAAAATACTGGCAAACCGATCCAGCAGCACATCAAAAAGCTTATCCACCATGATCACCATGATCAAGTCAGCTTCATCCCTGGGATGCAAACGTGGTTCAGCATATGCAAATCAATAAACGTAATCCATCACATAAACAGAACCAATGACAAAAACCACATGTTTATCTCAATAGATGCAGAAAAGGCCTTCGATAAAATTCAACACCCCTTCATGCTAAAAACTTTCAATAAACTAGGTACTCATGGAACATATCTCAAAATAAGAGCTATTTATGACAAACTCACAGCCAATATCATACTGAATGGGCAAAAGCTGGAAGCATTCCCTTTGAAAACCAGCACAAGACAAGGATGGCCTCTCTCACCACTCCTATTCAACATAGTATTGGAAGTTCTGGCCAAGGGATTCAGGCAAGAGAAAGAAATAAAGGGTATTCAAATAGGAAGAGAGGAAGTCAAATTGTCTCTGCAGATGACGTGATTGTATATTTAGAAAACCCCATCGTCTCAGCCCCAAATCTCAAGCTGATAAGCAACTTCAGCAAAGTCTCAGGATACAAAATCAATGTGCAAAAATCACAAACATTCCTATACACCAATAATAGAGAACCAAATCATAAGTGAACTACCATTCACAATTGCTACAAAGAGAATAAAATACCTAGGAATACCACTTACAAGTGATGTGAAGGACCTCTTCAAAGAGAACTACAAAATACTGCTCAATGAAATGAGAGGACACCAATGGAAGAACATTCTATGCTCATGGATAGAAAAAATCAATATGGTGAAAACGGCCATACTGCCCAAAGTAATTTATAGATTCAATGCTATCCCCATCAAACTACCATTGGCTTTCTTCACATAATTAGAAAAAAACTACTTTAAATTTCATATGGAACCAAAACAGAGCCCATATAGCCAAGACAATCCTAAGCAAAAAGAACAAAGCTGGAGGCATCACGCTACCTGACTTCAAACTATACAATAAGGCTACAGTAACCAAAACAGCATGGTACTGGTACCAAAATGGATATATAGACCAATGGAACAGAACAGAGGCCTCAGAAATAATGCCACACATCTACATCCATCTTCTTTAAAAAAAAAGTTTTATTGAGATATATTTCATATAATATAAAATGGATCCATTAAAAAAGTTCAGGTTCAGTGGTCTTTAATATATTTACAAATAAGTGCAACCAGCACCACAATAAAGTTCAGAATTTTTTTTTTTTTGGTGAAAACAAGAACCTCTCAGACTGCATTCTCTTTCTCTTACTCTCCAAGAGGAAGACAAGAACAATCACCAATGGTAAGTGGCAGCTGCAGCAAAGCAACACCAAGTGCCAGCTTCATGCTCAGGAGAGAACTCTGTGCCTCCTCCTCATAGTTTCTGGTGCTCTACACATTCAGAGAAACTTCTCTAGTAATGAACTATAGAAATGATCCCTGAAAGTATAGTCTTCAGAACATTTTTATTACTTCAGAAAGAAACTTGTATTCTTTAACTATCATCCTCCTACTTTCCATATGCTCTTCCTCCCAGGCCTAAGCAACTACTAATGTACTATCTGTCTCTATAAATTTTCCAATTGTGGACATTTCATATAAATGGAATTATATAATTTGTGGCCTCTTGTGACTGGCTTTCTTTACTTAGCATACTTTTTTCAAGGTTTACCCATATCATAGCATATATCAATACTTAATTTCTTTTTATGGCCAAATAATATTCCATTATATGGATATACCACATTTTGTTTATCCATTCATTAGTTGGTGGGCATTTGGATTGCTTCCACCTTTTGGCTATTACAAATTTTTATCAGGTATATGATTTGCAAATATTTTCTACCATTCTGTGTGTTGTCTTTTCTCTTCCTTAATAGTGTCCTTTGGAAAAACAAACAAACAAAAAAAATTAATTTTGATGAAGTCTGATATGTCTGGTTTTACTTTGGTTGCTTGTGCTTTTGATGTTATATCTAAGATCCATTGCCAAATCAAAGATTATGAAGATTTTACCCCTTCTGTTTCCTTCTAGAATTCTGTAGTTCCAGTTTTCACATTTAGAAATTTGATCCATTTTGAGTTAACTTTTGAATACAGTGTGAGGTAAGGGTCCAATTTCATTATTTTTGTGTGTGGATCTCTAGTTGTCTTAGCACCATTTGTCAAAAGACCATTCTTTCTCCAGTGGGTGGACTTGGATTCTTGTCAAAAATCAGTTTACCCTAGAAATGTGGGTTTATTTCTGTACTCTCAATTCTATTCCATTAATCTATTTATCTACCCTTCTTCCAGTACTGTACTATAGTAATTATTCTTGCTTTGTAGTAGGTTTTGAAGTCAGGAAGTGTGAGTCTTTCTACTTTGGTTTTCTTTTTAAAGATTATTTTTGCTATTTTGAATACCTTGAATTGCATATGAATTTTAGAACTAGCTTGTCAGTTTCTACAAAAAAAAGCTGAGATTCTGACAGGGATTGTGTTGAACTCATAGATCCATTTGGGAAGTATTGCCATCTTAACAAAATTAAGTCTTTCAATACAGGAACATGGGATATTTTCCCATATATTTAGAGCTGTATTAATTTCTTCCAACAATGTTTTGTGGTTTTCAGAGTATAAGCTTTGCAATTCTTTTGTTAAACTTATTCCTATTTCATTTTTATTATGCTTTTGTAAATACAATTATTTTCTTAATTTCATTTTTAGTCTGTCTGTTGCAAGTGTATAGAAATGCAAGTAATTTTTATGTATTGGTCTTATATCCTAAAACCTTACTGAATTTGTTTATAAGTTCTAATAGTTTTTTAAAGTGGGTTATTCATAATCTATATATATATATACAAGATCATGACATATGCAAATAGAGATACTTTTACCTTTTTTTTCCCAATCTAAATGTCTTTAGTTTTCTTTCCTTGCTAATTGCTCTGGTTGGAAACCCCAATACGATGCTGAATAGAAATGAGGAGAGCAGACATTCTTGTCTTGGTCTTGATCTTATAGAGAAAGAATCCAGTCTTTCACCATGAAATATGATGTAGCTGTGAGTTTTTCTAAGATGCCCTTTGTCAGTTTCAGAGAAAATTATCTTATATTCCTAGTTTATTGTGTGTTTTCATCATAATGTTTATTGGGTTTTGTCGTGTAGTTTGTCTGCATAGAGATGATCATGGAGTTTTTGTTTTTTAATTCTATTGATATAGAGTGTTGTATTAATTGATTTTTGTGTGTTAAACCAACTTTGTATTCCTGGGATAAATCTCACTTGGTCATGGTGTAGAATTATTTTTATACATTGCTGGATATGATTTGCCACTATTTTGTTGAGGATTTTGCATGCATAGTAATAAGAGATACTGGTCTGTAGTTTTCTCTTCTTGCGGTGTCTTTCTTTTGTTTTGGTATCAGGGTAATACTTGCCTCAGAATATTCATAATTTGGGAAGTGTTTCCTCCTCTTCTACTTCTTAGAAGAGATTGTGAAGAATTGGTATTCATTCTTTAAAAATGTTTGGCCTCTGATTCTTTCTTACTTGAGTTCAAATTCATTCTTGAGCTCTCTAGTGAATTTTTTATTTTAGGTGTTGTACTTTTAAGCTCCCAAATTTACGTATTTATTTAAATTCTTTGTCTCCCAAATCTAACATCTAGGTGCCTTTAGGGGCATTTTCTGTTGGTTGGTCTTTTTCCTTTGAATGGGCTATATGTTCCCATTTTATTGCATATGTCATAATTGTTTGTTGGAAACTGGACATTTTAGATAACACATTGTAACAATCTGTCGTTAGTTTCTCCTCTTCCAGGAATTGTTCTTGCTGGGTCTTTCTTTTCTCTTTTTGCTTGCTTTTGTTTTTATTTTTGCTGCCTGTTTGTTTAGTGGCTTTCCTGGCATAACTCTGTTTCCTGTACTATGCAGCCACTAAATTCCTTGTTCCCCACCTTTTGATCAGTTTGTTTATATCTTTAAGCCTGGTCTCCTGGGGTTCAGTCTTTTGTCAATACAATTTATTGCTCAGCAAGTGATCGATCAGATTTTCTTAACTGCCTTGAGCATCGGTTCTCCATCCTTTGCCAAAGTTATCTGTGTGGGAATGTACATACTTTCAAACTTCAAGCAGTTTAAAAACCCTCTGTAGTTTCCACTTCCTGCTTGTTTAGGGCCTCAAGGTCAGCAGTGAGCGACAGGGCCTCCTCCTTCCCCAGGTCTTTCTTGGACGTGTATATAGCCCTGCACAGGCAGAAATACAGAACTCTTCAAGTTCCCCATGGCTTTTTAGTTCTATATGTCTTCCTTTTCATTTTTCGGCCAGGCTCTTGTTAGCCCCAACTGAAATCATAGCCTTAGGCAGCAGCAATGTTACCAGCAGATTCTTACCGTTTTCAGTAGTGCCATGGGCATGAAGTTTTATTTGCAGAGCTGAGTTCACAGACAAGTCAAATAGCAACAACATCATAGGAATAGAGATATTCTAGGCAGCTTCTGGTTGGGCTAAACTACTGACTTTCTCTGAGTATAGGCCCTTTAAAAAAATTTTTTTTTTGAGGCAGGGTCTCACTCTGTTGCCCAGGCTGGAGTGCAGTGGTCCGATCATGGCTCACTGCAGCCTCGAACTCCTGGGCTCAAGTGATCATCCCACCTCACAGGTGCATATCACCTGTGGGATCACAGGTGCATATCACCATGCCTAGCTAATTCTTAAAAATTTTTTTGTAGAGACAGGATCTTGCTATGTTGCCAGGGCTGGTTCCAAACTCCTGGGCTCAAGCGATCTTCCTGCCTCAGTCTCCTGAAGTGCTGGGATTGCAGGCATGAACCACTGTGCCTGACAAAATAAAAATTACTTTTAATTGACACATAGTGATTGTGTATATATATATATATAAAATGGATAATGATGTTTCAATATATGCCATGTTAATGATCAGATCATGGTAATTAGGATATCCATCATCTCAAACATTTATCATTTCTCTGTGTTGAGAACACGCAATATCCTCTCTTCCAGCTACAGAGCTTTAAAGCAGTCAATCCTCTTTTGGCTGCGAGAATGTTGGCTTTTCACCACCACTGCACCTCTGAGCTGGAGGGTGAGAGAGTATGAGAATAGCCCCAAGTTAAATACACCACAGACCCACTGGTATTACCAAGGTTCAGTAATTGGTAATTGGTGTTTTTCAGTTTGTTCTCGCGTGTAGTTAATTTCCAGAATTCAAAAATGGTCGAATTTTATTGTTTTGCAAGTATTTCTGTTGCTTTTGGGGGAGAGGGGGTTTACGGAATTTCCTAGTTATGTCATTTTTAGCATAACACTTTTGAGTTTCACCACGTTCCACATATCCGTAGTTTGTTTATATTTTCCAGTACAAGTCCATTTTATGGATATACTTCAGTCTGTTTATGCATTTCATCGGTTAAATAAAATTTGTGTTATTTCTAATTTTTGGTGATTATGAATAAAACCACCGCAAACTTATACACATAAGTGTTTGTGTGAACATAACTTCTTTTCACTTCCTCTGGGTAAATATCTTGAAAGAGGATTTGCTGGGTTGCGGGGTAAGTGTGTGTTTAAAGCAATAAGAAACTGCAATTGCAAACCTGTTTTCAAAGCAGTTGTAACATTTTGCATTCCAAGCAGCAAAAAAGAAAAAGGGTATCTCAATTGCTCCACATCCTCACTATCACCATGGTATTCTTGTTTTTTCTTTTTTAAAAGAAAAGATGCCTCAGTGGCCCCCACCTTGCTGAGCAGGAGGCAAGTCTGCTCTCGGCTGTCAGCAGCAGAACCTGAAAGCGTCAGGCTTCTTTTAATCAAATCTAGGAAGTTTGCTCACCAGCCTGGTTGTCTAAACTTCCCCAGGGAAGATATTGTCTGAGCTCTGCATGGAGGCTGCTCCCACCTGGATCCAAGGAGCTCACAAGACCCTCCCAGGCCCCTGCAGGTGAGCCGTTCCCAGGGGAACCACTGCCTTCTCCTGCCCTCCGCTGCAGGTGTGGGCTGCAGGTGGGCTGATCCCCCCCTCTGTCCCCACGGGTGACTCCTGCGTCAGGAGGGAAAGGACCCTTGGCCTTGGAGTGCCTGGGAGGGGCGGGGGCCAGCTCCAGCTGCAGCTGCCTTTTCCAGGGGTTCTCAGGAATAAGCCATGAACAAAAGCAGATGTCTCAGCTTGGAGGAACTTTGAGTCATCTGGACCAATCCAGTCAGGTCACAGAACTGCACACTGAGGCACAAACTCCAGAGGGAGCAGGGTCTATGCAGAAAGAAAGCTCAGCACTGGTGTGGTCTTGGACAAGTCACTTCCCCTCTGTCTGGGGCCTCAGTCTCCCTGAGGGGAGTGGGTGGGCTGACCCGGTTGCCCTCCAAGTTGCCTTCTGTCTGTGACACTCCAAGTCCAGGGTCTCCTGCCCAGCATCTGACCTAGAGTTAAATTGGGTCACAATAAGTCTGGAATCATTGGAGAGTTTCTGGTTGCATGGCTGAGCCTCAAGATTATAAAATGGAAATAATCCCTGCACCAAAGATACGGCCTGCTGTCCCTCCCTCCCCTCCTTTCCTTCCTCTCCTTCCTCTCCTTTCTTCCTTCCTTCCTTCCCTCCCTCCCTCCCTCCCTTCCTTCCCCCTCCCCTCTTCTCCCCTCCCCTCCCCTTCCCTTCCTTCCCTCCTCTCTCCCTCCCTTCCTTCTCTCTCTGTGCCTCTCCCTCTCTGTCTCTGTTGTAGGGAGTTATCCTCCCTCTGTCCCTTCTTTCTCTCTGTGCCTCTCCCTCTCTGTCTCCATTGTAAGGAGTTATACCAGCGACTGAGGGAGATTGACTTTAATTCTCCTCCTCCCTTGCCATTCACCCCCATTCTCTGCTTACCTTCCCTTTCCTGCCCCCATGGCTGACTGCAGCACCTCCACCTGGCAGTCCCAGTTGGTCTCTGCCAGTGGAAAGGACTGTGTCCCCATGAACCATGGGCTTTGACACCACTGTGGAACTGAAGAACTGTAGACATGGAATTGCCCCAGGAGCTCAGGGAGGCCGCGGCAGGCCTGGGATTCCTGACAGCCTGGGCTGCAAATGCTCACCTTTCTTCACATAAGGAAAGGGGAAGAGCAGGCAGTAGGAAGGCAGGGGCAGGGAAGGATTTCAGCCTAACAGCAACCTGACACCCACTGTGTATCACCTGAGGCCGGGCGTGGGGAGGACTCGGGACTGACCACGCTGCTTCCTTTGAGTCTTTGGCAAGGGATTCTGATGGAGGGGAGGCCAGATTGGGCCGGGGTGGGGCAGAGTGAGTCATGGCAGCGCCACCCACCTCGCCGGGTGAGGCCAGGGCGTGGGCTCTTGCCTGAACACTCCAGGGCTTGCTTCCCTGGACTCCGGGCTGAGGGACAAGAAGCCGGGGTCGCGCTCCCACTCGGGGGTCTCAGCCTCCCTCCCAGTGCCCACTCCCTCCCGTAGCTCCCCCTCCTCCTCCCCACCTCCCTCCACCTCCCTGCCTTGCTCACCATTTCCCATGGCGTCCATCACCAGGGGCAGTGGGGATGGAGCAAGAGCCTGTGCCCGGACAGCCCTCCCGGCTTGGGCCTCTCCACGCCTTCCAGAGGGAGCGGAGCCGTGAGATTCAAGGCTTCGCCGAGACTGCCAGGGAGGTGGGCTTTCAAAGAAGCGGCAAATAAATGACCGCGGAAGTTGTGGCCCCTGAATAGGTTGCCACCAGCCGGCATGAACACGGCTGGTGTCTTTGCCAGCCCAAAAGAAAATCATCTCCCCCGCCCCGCCTTTTTTTTCTTTTTTTCCTGAAAGCCAGTTGGAAACTGGAAATCTGCTTTGGCGAGTTCTCGCCGCTCAGCAAAGCTCGTCAGCAAAGCAAAACTCGGCCAGTGCAGCTATTTTCGTAGGTCGGTGCCAGTGGCGGCGCGCAGGGCCAAGTCCTTCCGAGCTGAAGTGACCCTGGTTTTCTCAAGGCTCCCCCTCCATGGTCTCACTGCTGGAGGGAGAGAGGAGCGGGTCTTGGGATGGACCCCAAGGCAGGGAGAAACGGGGTTTAGTTATGAACGTGCTGTCATCAAGGTGTGGTCTCTGGAACTGGGTTTCAAAATGGCTTGGATGTCCTCAATGGGAAAAGGAGGAGTCTTTAGGCCGGGTGATGGAACTCACAGGTGCCATTTGCAGACATCTCCGTGGAAGTGAAAGTCTGATTTCCCGGGGCTTGATTCCTAGAGAGGCAGTGGCCAGCCTGGGATGCTTCTCATGGGTGCACCAGGAGAACCGGGGGTATGTGAGGGCCTCAGAGACCTGGCCCAGGACCGCACCTCCGCCCCTGGACAACCTCGTGAGCAATGTAGGGGAGCGTGGCTCACCCCACAGCCATCTCAGGGCCGCTTATGAATATTGGAATGTTCTTCCTTAGATGAAGCCAAATTTGCCTCTCTGTACTTCACACAGGACAGTCACAAAGCTTTTTCTTTTAAGCTGGTGGAGATTTTGCATAGCATCAGTTTAATCCTCCTCATTTCAAAGATGGAGAAACTGAGGCCCAGAAAGGGACAGTGGTTGAACTGGGGGCAAAGCCAGGTCAACCCTCTTACATCGGCCCCCAACCCTGGCCCTAGCTCTGCCCTCCGAGACCACTTGGCCGAGCTGTCCCCTTCTCAGGGAGACAACCTCTCCCTGAGCTCTGTGACGCTGGCCTGGGCACAGACCCTAAGCCCCCTCCCAGTTCCAGCCCACACCCTGGCCGTCCTCGCTCAGGCACTTCCAGAAAAATCTCCAAGTCCATTGGTCAGCAGCCGTCAGACACTCAGGGCTCCTGGGCTCCCAACCCTCTCACCAGGTCTAGAGCTGCCCCCGAGCCCCTCCCCCAGGCCTCCCTCCAGGCCCACTTTCCTGCCCCATTGTCCTTCTTACCCCAGACCCAGAGCTCACATTGACCTTGGTGGGGTCTGGTTCTTCAGTGCCCCGTAGGCACTTCCTGCTGCTGTGTGCATCTGGCCACGAGGTCCTTTCAGGAGAGTCTTCCCTTCTCCTTCCTCTTTGCTGGGGAATCCTAGAGACATTGCCTTGGGACAAGCCTAGTGCTGAACATAATGGGAGATCCTTGCTTTGCTCTGTGGGAGAAGATGCTTGGCTGACCCGGATATGAGGTGTGCAGCCTCCCCCGCACCCTATCACAGCAGAGGAAGAGCTCAGATAACTTTTGCATCTGGGGTCTTTCCTCCTGTTCCAGGGAATGTGAGGTGGGAACTCAGCCTTGCAGATGAGCCAACTCCCTTTCCAGGGCCTGTGGGACCCATGCTGGGGAGGGGGTCACCCCTCTGGGTCCCTGCCTACTGCCCCTGACACCCTGGTGTCTCAAGTCAGTAAGATTCAGACTCTTTATTTGAATTAATTTAATTTATTATTTTAATATGGAAGCCCCAGTCCTCTTCCTTCTTCTTCTTTTTTTTTTTTGCAATTTTTACAATTGAAGTAGAATCAATATACAATAAAATATATCTCAAATAAACAGCTTGATGAGTTTTGAAAATGCAACCACCCACATCATTAACCCACAAATCAGGACATAGAACATGTCCATCACCCTAGAAAGCCCACCCTATCTCCAGTCAATGGACCCCTCCCCTCTAGAGGCTGACGCTGCTCTGACTCACATCCCCATGGGTTGGCTTTGCCTGCCCTAGACCTTCACAAGAATAGAATCATTTTGTGTGTGTCTGACAGCCTTCACCAAGTAAGAGGTTTCTCCACAGGGCTCCCTCCTTGGCTTGGCTTGTGGATGGCTGCCTTTTGCTGCGTCCTCACAGGGCATGTCCCTGTGTGCACATATCCCTGGTGTCTCTTTCTCTTCCTGTAAGGTTCCCCAGTCATATGGGATTAGGGCTCCACCCATACAACCTCATTTAACCTTAATCACCTAACCTTAATCATGTAACCTTAATCACCAAGGGTCCTATTTCCAAATACTGTCACATTCTAAGGTACTGGGGATTGGGCTTTAACATAGGAGTTTTGGAGGGATGCAATTTAGTTCATAACAGAGTGATATGGTTTGGCTGTGTCTCCGCCCAAATCTCATCTTGAATTGCAGCTCCCATAATCCCCACCTGTCGTGGGAGGGGTGCAGAGGGAGGTAATTGAATTGTGGGGGTGGGGTTTTCCCATGCTGTTCTTGTGATAGTGAATAAGTCTCATGAGAGCTGATGGTTTTATAAAGGGGCCTTCCCCGCACACACTTTCCTGCCTGCTGCCATGTAAGATGTGTCTTTGCTCCTCCTTCACCTTCTGCTGTGATTGTGAGGTCTCCCCAGCCATGTGGAACTCTGAGTCCATTAAACCGCTTTCCTTTATAAATTACCCAATCTCAGGTGTGTCTTTATTGGCAGTGTGAGAACAGATAAATACACACAAACATTTAGAAACTGTTAATTTCTAAATGTCTTTCCTCATTGATAGTTTTTGATGATTTTCTAACTTCATCTTTCCTTCCATATTTATTAGTTTTAATTCTTCTGAAGGAAGAACTTTCCCTTCTCCACATTTATTTCTTTATTCATTTCAGCATAGATGTGGATTTCTCTTATATTCAATGGGTTGAAACTCATTACTATCATTATTTATCTTTGTGCTCTAATTATCCTGAATTTGGCCAGTGGTAGCTTCTTTCATCTGGTTCCTGTTTTTTTGGCAAGTGCTCATAATTTTTTTCATAGATTTTATATTTTAGAGCCATTTTAGACTCATTGCAAAATTGAGTTGGAAGCTCTGAGGTCCCATATACCCCCTGCCCCCACACACATAATCCCCCTGCCCATTATCAAAATTCTGCACCACATGGACGTGTTTTCTGAGCACTTCCTCCAGATATTTGTGCTTGTTTTTATTCCCCAGTACCTTCAAAATTCTTTATTATGTCCAGGTTTTACAATTGTTTTCTGTAGGGTGTGTGTAGGGGTGGGAGTGTTTCAGTAGGGTATTGCCTCACCACGCCTGAAAGCAGAAATCCCACGCCTATCTTTTATTATCTGGAGTGGAGATGTTTCATTTTAATTAGGGGGTTTAGTCTACTTGCAGTTAATAAAATGATTGATACGGTTGGGTTCAAGTTTACTATCTTACTGCTGGTTTTCTATTTACCCCCTTTTATTTGTTCTTTGCTTTCTTCTTCCATACCTTCGTTTGAGTTATTTGGGGGTTTTTTTGTATTCCATTTTATTTCCTTTTATGGGTTTTCAGCTATACTTCTTTGTATTAGTTTTACTTGTTTCTGCAGGCTTACAATATGCATTCTTAACACATAATGGTCCAATGGGAATGAATGTTATGCCATCTCACGTATAAGCTAAGATGCAGCAGTATAATTCCATTTCTTCCCTCCCATCCTCTGAATTATTGCTGCCATAAATCTTACTTCAGTAAGTGACAAGCCCTATTGTTCACCCATTGAACAATCAATTGTCTTTTAAGGAATTAGAAAAATACAATTTTCCATTTATGCACATAGTAACGATTTCCAACGCTCTGCATTCCTCTCTGCACAGCACAACTTTCACTCATTATCATGTCCCTTCGGACTGAAGAAATTCCTTTAGCATTTCTTGTAGTGCAAGTCTGTTGGCAAAGAATCTTCCTGTATTTCATTTCCCCAAGAATGTCATTATTTCTCTCTCATGTTTATTAGACTTTACTTTTTTTATTTTTTAGAGCTGTTTTAGTTTCACTGGAAAATTGAGCAGACGGTACAGAGAAGGTACATACACCTCCTGAGCACCCCTCACGTGCCCAGCCTCCCACATTATCAGCATCCCCCACCAGAGTGGTCCACTCGTTACAACTGATGAACCTACAGTGACACAGCATTCCACCCATAGTGTATGTTACGGTCCACTCGTGATGTTGTACATTCTATGCATTTGGGCAAATTTATAATAACACTATAGTATATAATAACCACTATAGTATCATACTGAACATTCACTGCCCTAAACATCCTCTGTGCCTCACCCACTCATCTCTCCCTCCCTCCTACCCCCTGCTATTGATACTGTCTCTATAGTTTGCCCTTCCCAGGGTGTCATATAGTTAGAATCACACAGTATGTAACCTTTTCAGGGGACTGGCTTCTTTCACTTAGTGATACGCATTTAAGCTTCCTCCATGTCTTTTTATGATAGCTCATTTCTTTTTAGCACTAAATAATATTCCATTGTCTGAATATACCACAGTTTATTTATCCATTCACCTCCTGAAGGACATCTTAGCTGCTCTCGAGTTTTGGTAATTATGAATAAAGAGTCTATAAATATCCATGTGAAGGTTTTGCATGGACATAACTTTTCAACTCCTGTGAGTAAATTCAACGTGATTGCTGAATTGTGTGGTAAGAGTGTGTTTAGCATTGTAAGAAAGTGTCAAACTGTCTTCCAGAGTGACTGTAGCATTTTGCATTCCCGCAGCAATGAATGAGAGTTCCCGTTGCTCCACATCCTCAGCAGCATGTGGTGTTGTCGGTGTTCTGGATTTTGGCCATTTTAATAGGCGTGTAGAGGTAGCTGGTTGTGGTTTTAATTTGCACTTCTCTGACAATGTTGAGCATCATTTAATTATGCTTACTTGCCATCTGTATATCTTCTTTGGTGAGGTGTCTATTAAGGTCTTTGGCTCATTTTAAAAATAAAGTTGTTCATTTTCTTATTATTGAGTTTTGAGAGTTCTTTGTATATTTTGAATAAAAGACATTTATCAGATATATCTTTTGAAAATATTTTCTCCTAGTCTGTGACTTTTCTTCTTATTCTCTTGAGAATGCCTTTTGCAGAGCAGAAATTTTTTATTTTTATTTTTTTGAGACAGGGTCTCACTCTGTCACCCAGGCTGGAGGGCAGTGATGCAATCATAGCTCACTGCAGCTTTTAACCCCTGGGTTCAAGTGATCCTCCTGCCTTAGCCTCCTGGGACTTCAGGCATACACCACCATGCCTGGCTAATTTTAAAAATTTTAATAGAGATGAAATCTCACTATGTTGCCCAAGTTGGGAATTTTTTTATTTTAGTGAAGTCCAACTTATGATTTTTTTTCTCTCATGGGCCATGCTTTTGGGGTCATATCTAAAAAGTCATCTCCAAACCTAAGGTTATTGAAGTTTTCTCCTGTGTTATCTTCTAGTAGTTTGACAGTTTTGCATTTTACACTTAAGTCTGTGATCGTTTTGAGTTAATTTTTGTGAAGGATGTAGGTCTGTATCTAGATTTATTATTTTGCATGTGGAAGTAGAGTTCTTTCAGCACCATTTGTTGAAAGAATTGTTTTTCTTCGTTGTATTGCCCTTGCTTCTTTCAAAGATCAGTTGACTACATTTGTGTGGGTCTGCTTCTGGGCTGTCTATTCTGTTCCACTAATTGACTTGTCTATTCTTTTACCAATACCACACTGTCTTGATTACTATAGCTGTATAGTAAGTCTTGAAGTCAGGTAGTATCATTCCTCCAACTATGTTCTTCTCCTTTAACATCATGTTGGCTATCTTGATCTGTTGCTTTTCCATATAAACTTTAGATTCAATTTGTTGATACCCACAAAATAACTTGCTAGGATTTTTAATGGATAACATTAAAACTACAGATCAGTTTGGGAAGAGCTGACAACAATCCATGAACATGGAATATCTCTCCATTATTATTATTATTATTTTTTATTTTTTTGAGACAGATTCTCAATCTGTCACCCAGGCTGGAGTGCAGTGGTGCAATCTTGGCTCACTGCCACCTCTGCCTCCCAGGTTCAAGTGATTCTCCTACTTCAGCCTCTTGAGTAGCTGAGACTACAAGCACGTGCCACCAAACCCAGCTACTTTTTGTATTTTTAGTAGAGACGGCATTTCACCATGTTGACCAGGCTAGTCTTGAACTCCTGACCTCAGATGATTCACCTTCCTCAGCCTCTCAAAGTGCTGGGATTACAGGTGTGAGCCACTATGCCTGGCCATTCTTTGATTTCTTTCATCCGAATTTTGTAATTTTCTTCATATAGATCTTGTACATATTTTGTGAGATTTGTACCTGAGTATTTCATGTTCAGGGTGCTAAATTTCAAATTTCACTTGTTTATTGCTGGTATATTGGAAAGCAGTTGATTTGGGGTATTAACTTTGTATCCTGCAACCTTGCTATAATTGCTTATTATGCCCAGGAAGCTTTTTTTCTATCCTTTTTGATTTTCTATAGAGACAATCATGTCTTTTGCAAACAAAAACAGTTTTATTTCTTCCTTCCCAAGCTTTATACCTTTAATTTCATTTTCTTGTATTGCATTAGCTAGAACTTCCAGCATGATGCTGAAAAGCAGTGGTGATAGAGACATCCTTGACTTATTCTCAGTCTTAACAGGAAAGCTTCAAATTTCTCACCATTAAATATGATAGCTGTAGGGTTTTTGCAGATATTCTTTTTTAAGGAAGTTCCTCTCTATTTCTAGTTTACTGAGAGTTTTAAAAATCCATGAATAGGTGTTAAATTTTGTCAGATGGTTTTTCTGCATCTATTGATATGACCACATAATTTTTTAACCTGTTAATGTGATGGATTACATTTGATTGATTTTTGAATGTTGAATCAGCCTTGCATACTTGGGATAAATGCCACTTGGTTGTGGTATATACTTCTTTTTATACAGTGTTGGATTTATTTGCCAGTATGGTTTAGGGTTTTTGTATCTCTGTTCATGAGCAATATTGGTCTGTAGTTTTCTTTTCTTGCGATGTCTTTGGACTGGTAGTAGGGTAATGCCGGCCTCATGGAATGATTTAGGAAGTATTCTTACTGTTTCTATCTTCTGAAAGAAACTGTAGATAACTGTTATAACTTCTCCTTTGAATGATTGGTAGGATTCACAGGTGAACCCATCTGGATCTAGTGCTCTCTGTTTTAGAGGGTTCTTATTTATTTATTTATTTAATTTCCATAATAGATATAGGCCTATCAGGTTATCTGTTTCTTCTTATGTGAGTTTTGGCAGAGTATTTTTCAAGGAATTGGTTCATTTCTTCTAGATTATTAAATTTGTAGGTATAGAATTGTTATAGCATTCCTTTTTTGTTCTTTTCATTTTCATGGGACCAGTAGTGATGGCTTCTATTTCATTTCTGATGTTAGTAATTTGTGTCTTCTTTCTTAGTTAACCAGGCTAGAGGTTTACCAATTCTATTGATTTTTTTTTTTTCAAAGAACCAGCTTTTGGAGTTAGGTATTTCCCTTCCTCCATGTAGAAGGCTAGAGCTGGCTGAAAATGGGTATTTTCCTTTCCCCAGGTTAGTTAGGCTCTGATAAAACCCCAGCAGGTTAAGCTCTGGTCAAATAGTTTCTCCTGAGGGCAGACCTTATTAAGAAGAATATAATGCTCTAGTATATATCAAAATGGTTCCCTTTCCCCTTTCCTTGCCAGAAGCAGGAGGGAATTTTTCTCCAATATTCACTATGAGGACCTGATAGAGGTTCTGCAGGTAAAACTCACAAGATAGTTCCCTCCTACTCCCATGACCGGCTCTTCCTGGAATTTTTAGCTCTCAGATTTGTCCACATTAAGCCTCCAGCAATTTTTTGATTACACTTTAGGTTTTTCTATGCTGGCACTGGTTTCCATGAGGTTTCAGTGAATGGGTTTCTGTTCCAGTAAGTTTTGAATCTCTGAATTTGCCTATCTTTCCAATTCAGGGGGGAAGAGGAGTGCCCTGCATCTCACCTCTTGTACAGATGTAAGAAGAGTCATTGATTTTCAAACAAGTCGTTGGTTTTGAAAGCAGTTTGTTCAGTTTTTTTTTTTTTTTTTACCTTTTGGGAGAGAGTGGCAACTTTTAAGCTTCTTACATGCCTGACTGGAAACTGAAAATCTCCTTTATTTTTGAAAGATATTTTTGCTGGAGACAGAATTCTGGAAGGCCATATTTTTCTTTTAGCACTTTAAAGATGTTCTTCTATTGTTACGTGAAAGATTCTCCCCAGGGCCTGAAAGCTTGAAGGGATGAGTAACTCCCCCCTTCTCAGGCCCAGTCCCAAGGCGCAAGGCTACTTACTTCAGCAGCGTGTGTCAGCAAGATAGCAGAAGCAGGAAGAGAGCCCACCAGAAGACACCTACCCTGGCCGGAAGACACGTACCCCTAAAGATCAAGAAAGAGGCCATCCGGGTACTACCTAGCAGTCACGTCAGACTGGGACACTTCCTGTTTACAGAGGACTATAAAATTCCTTCCCCCTCTTCATTTGGGGCTGACGCCATTTTAGGCCTCAGCCAGCCCGCACCCAGGGGCTCATTAAAACAGCGTGTTGCTCCACACCGCCTGGTGTTGTCTGTTGGTGCGCTCTCGAGGTTTGAACGGATACAAGGACCTTTCATTATGACCTCTATTATTTCTGACAAGAAGTCCATTGTTATTATTATCATTGTCTACGCTGTATGTAATGCACCATTTTTCTTTGACTACTTTTAAGATTTTTCTTATCTTTAGTTTTCCCAATATTACTGTGGTATATCCAGGTGTAGTTTTCTTTGTATGTATACTGTTTAGGCCCACAGAGATCCTTAGACTTGTGTGTTAGTGTTTTTACTTAAATTTAGATTTGGGGGAGGCTATTAATACTTTACATATTTTTCTGTTTCATTTTCTTTTTTTTTAATTCTAGGAATCCAATCACATATATATTAGATTTCTTAACATTGTCTCACATTGAGTTCTGTTTGAAGTTTTAACTTTTTTCTAGGTTTCAATTTGATTAATTTCTATTGACCTATTTTCAAGTTCACTGATGCTTTCTTCTGGAGTCTCCAGTCTGCCTTCTAATACAGTGTTCATTTCAGATATTGAATTGTCCAGTTTCCAAATTATTATTTGATTCTTTTTCTTTTTTATTTCTCTTCTGATATTTCTCATTACAGTGGAAATATACATAATATATCCATCTTTTTCCTGTAAAAAATTTACTTAAACTTCTTCTCAACTAACTCAAATATCTGAGTCATCTGTTAGTTTGCTTCTTTTGCCTGGCTTTTTTCTTTTGATTATGAGTCACATTTTTCTGCTCCTTTTCATGCCTACTTTTGACCTCAAAAAAGCCAAACTCTGTAAAATATTTAAAGAGGTTTCTTCTGAGTCTTATATTTGAGTGCTCATGTCCTGTGGCACAGCTTCAGGAGGTCCTAAGAACATGTGCCCAGGGTGGTTGGGTTATAGCTCGGTTTTATACATTTTAGGGAGACAGAAATCATAGGCAAAGACACACATCGGTACATGTAAAGTACATTCAGCCTGGAAAGGCAGGACATCTTGAGGTGAAGAAGGGTTGGGGTAGCTCACAAGTCCTAGCTGGATTCAAAGATTTCCTGATTGGTGATTGGTTGAAGAAGTTAAGCTTTGCCTGAAGAGTTGAAGTCAGAATAAAGAAATGCTTGAGTTAAGATAAGGGGGGGTTGCAGAAGCCAAGGTTCTTGTTACGTAGGTGAAGCCTTCAAGTAACAGGCTTCAGAGAGAATAGATGGTAAGTGTCTATAGGACCTTAAAAGGTGTCAGACTCTCTGAAAAAGACCTAGTAAGGAAAAGAGATTCTCTAGAGAATGAACATTTCCCCTACAAAAGATGGCTTTGCAGGGGCTTTTCAAAATATGTTAAAGAAAATGTATTTTGGGGTAAAATACTTTGGTTTCCTTCAGGGCCTACTATCTGTCATGGGATGCTATACCAGAGTCAGTTTGGAGTGGGTATCATTGCTACAAAGAGTCTGTTTTGTTTGTCTTATGATCCCCATTGTAATATTAATGCTGATCCGTTGCGCCTTAATTCCAAAGGGAGAAGAGTATAATGGGCCATGTCTGATCTCCACTTGCTGTCATGGCCAAAACTAGTTTTTCAGGTTTCTTTGGATCCCCTTGGCCAGGAGAAGGATCCATTCAGTTGGTTGAGGGGCACATAGAATTTTATGTTTGGTTTACACTATTAATTTTTGACCATACAATAAACATTATAGGCGATACATCATAGAAGCTCTGGATTCTATTATTTTCCTTTAAAGAGTGTTTCCTTTTTTCTGGAAGGCAAATAAATAAGTGGCAGTCATTACTTTGGTCTGGGAGAGGCTTGCTTTAAGGTTTTCAAAGGGCGAGTTCCTTCCCATTTTTCCCTTAGTCCTAGAGTGTGGTCCTTAGCCCTGGAACATGGTCCTTATACATAAGGCATGGCTCCTTTGGCTTCCGTTGAAGGGATAACGTTTCAAAAATGGAACTTCAAGTTCTATCCCTCCTGAACTGGGCAGCTGATTAAATCTCTGCTTGGATCTTTCAGACTTCTAGGTGCTGCTTTTCACTGAGATTTTTAGAGTCTTTACTCATACATAAGCAGTTTAGGAGTTAGCTAAGATTTTGAAGAGGAATTGGTATGCAGATTTGGGGATACTTCCTTCCACCCCATGACTCTCTCCTTTCTTCCCCACTTTCAGCTTCTATGGTTTCTCTTAACCCAGGCCTCTGGTTCAGCAGCCTCTTTAGACTGTCACTTTCTGCTTGAGCTTATTCCTGCATGTGATACACACTGGATAGTGTCTCTCGGGGAAACATCATTTAAACATACATCTCACCTAATGTTTCCTTGTTTTAGGTGTCATGTCTTCTTAAGTCTTAGCCTGTTTCAGGTTTTTCTTAAATGTTCATTCAAATGGCTGTTTTTATATTTTGTCCAGAGTGTAATTATTGTCAGGAGAAAACAGAGTCTGTTACAAGCTATTCTGCCATTATTGGAGTACTCAGACTTTTACTTTAACTTAAAAAATAATTATAGACTCACAGGAGTCTATAGGAAATTGCAAAACTAGAACACAGACTCCAATATACCCTTTTCCCAGTTGTCCTTAATGGTGCTAACTCTAGTGCGGTATCAAAACAAGGGAATTGACATTGGCGCAATGCTGTTAACTAGACTACAGACCTTATTCCATTTTCACAGGCATTTATTTGTGTATATGTAGAGGGTGTATGCAGTTCTGTGCAATTTGATTCCATACACAAATTTGTGTCATCACCGATTATACAAAGAAGCTGTCTTGTGCTGCCCCTTTCTTACAACCGACTCACATAACTATTCACTATTCAAGTAGTTTGCACAACCCATTCCATCTCTGTCTGCTGGAAAGCATTAATAAGTTCTCCAGTTCTATATCTTTGTCATTTTTAAATGTTGCATAAAAGGAATCATATAGTATGAAGATTTTGAGATTGACTTTATATATAAAATACAATGCTCTGGAGATCCATTCTGGTTGGTGCATGTACCAACAGTTCATTCCTTTCTTTCTCTTCTCTTTTTGAAATTTTTTTGAATTTCTAATAATAAACTTTTAATTTTAGAACAGTTTTAGATTTATGGAATTATTCTAAAGATAGTACAGAGAGTTGCCGTATACCCACACCCAATTTCCCCATGTTTTTGACATCTTACATTAGTATGATACATTGGTCAATTAATGAACCACTATTGATGTTATTTTATTTATTTATTTATTTATTTCAAGACGGGAGTTTCACTCTTGTTGCCTAGGCTGGAGTGCATTGGTGTGATCTCGGCTCACTGCAACCTCTGCCTCCCAGGTTCAAGTGATTCTCCTGCTTCGACCTCCCGAGTAGCTGGGATTACAGGCATGCGCCAACACACCCAGCTAATTTTGTATTTTTAGTAGAGACAGAGTTTCACCATGTTGGCCAAGCTGATCTCAAACTCCTGACTTCAGGTGATCTGCCTGCGTCGGCCTCCCAAAGTGCTAGGATTACAGGCGTGAGCCACCGCTCCTGGCCTGATATGTTATTGTTGATTCGAGTCTGCAGTTTATTTGTATGCTTTCTATTTAAAAGTGAGCTTTCTTCACTTTCTCCCTGATATCCTTTTTCTGTCCCAGGATTCTGCTTCATGTAGTCATCATGTCTCCTTAGGCTCTTCTTGATTGTGACAGTTTCTCAGGCTCTGTTTTTATTTTTTGATAACCTGGAGGGTTTTGAGGAGTATACATGAGGTATTTTGTAGACTTTCCCTCAATTGGGATTGATCTGATGTTCTTGTCATGATAAGGATGGGGCAATGTGTTTGGGGGAGGAAGATCACAGAAGTAAAGTGCTGTTCTCATTATATCACGTCAAGGGTATATATTACCAATGTTAACATCACTGCTGATGTTGACCTTGATCACCTCATTTGAAGTAGGGCTTGTGAGGTTTCTCCACTGTAAAGTGACTTTGTTCATCTCCCTTTCCATACTGTAATCTTTGGGAAAAAGTCACTATGTGCAGCCTACACTGAAGGAGTTGGTAGCGCCGCTCTACCTCCTTGAGGGCACGATACCCACATCATTATTTAGAATTCTGCACAGGAGATTGCCTGTAGTCATTTATTTATGTATTCAATCATTTATTTATATCAGTATTTATTTTATACTTTTGGCTATCACCCAATACTACGTTTATTTTATCACTCATTGTTTTAGCTTTGACCATTGGAAGCTCTTTCAGTTGGTTCCTCTAACCCATTGACATACCTCGTATCACTGTGAGTTTCCCGTTTGGGTTTTTTTGTTTGTTTGTTTGTTTTGCACTGTCTTTCTTCCTGGCACTACAAGATACTCCAGGCCCATCTTGCACTTTCCTGACCCAGTCCTAGAATCAATCATTGTTCCAAGAATTCCTGGTTCCTTTTATTGGAGAATGGTGTTAGAAACCAAGGTCTGGGTGAAAGATGTGCTTATTGCTACTGTAGTGTCATTGCTTCTAGGCCCTCTCAACTGATGGAGCAAAGCGATATGTTTGTTTATACTAAATCATGTATATACACATCTTTACTATTTCTGTATGTAACTATATGTATTTACATTATTCTAAACATGAATTTATACTGATGTCAACTCTAATCGATTGCTACATGTATCATTTTAGACTCCTGGCTTATCTGTAATTTACTACTTAACAATAAAAAACTTGGCTCCCATCCTCTGTCATCTGTTTACTTAATTGTTTCTTCCAGTGTACATCTATAGCAGTTTCATGTCAACCTGTACCCTCTGTGGGAACAACTTTATCAACTAGAATGCAGTGTTTAGGTACAGTTCTTTTGCTTTTAGTGTTCAGACTCTACTACATTCAAAGTCACTTAAGTGAGCACCTTATCCTCCCATTCCCTTCAGTTAGGCTGTTTTATACATCTATAATGCATTTAGATGATTTTTTCACTGACTGCCTTCCATTTTGGGCTGTCCCAACCTCCTAAATGATTTTTAAATTTGCATATATGGAAAAGAATTTATATGTTAATGTGCTGTAAAGCTTTATTGATTTTGACAAATGTATGTATCATGTAGCCAACATTACAGTATAATACAAGATTGTTTTCCTGCCCTAAAATATCCCTCGTGATTCACCTATTCAATTGTACCCCCAGTCCCCTAGAAACCATCGTTTTTTATTGTCTCAATAGTTTTGCTTTTCTCAGAATGCCATATAATTGGAAACTTACAGAATGTAGCCTTTTCAAACTGGCTTCTTTCATTTAGCAATATGCTTAACAGTGGTCTTTCACTTAGAAATGAGTATTTAATATTTATCCATGTCTTTTGTGACTTGATAGGTCATTTTTTTAATTGCTGAATAATATTCCATTGTATGGATGAGCCACAGTTTGTTTATCCATTCTATGAAGGACATCTTGGTTATCTCCAGTTTTTGGCAATTATGAATAAAGCTGATATAAACATTTATATGCAGGTTTTTGTGTGGACATAAGTTTTCAACTCAGTTGGGTAAATACTGAGGAGCATGATTGATGGATCATATGGTAAGATTATATTTAGCTTTGTAAGAAACTGCCAAACTGTCTCCCAAAGTGGCTGTGCCATTTTGTATTCCAACCAGAAATGAGTGAGAGTTCCTGTTGCTCTGCGTCCTCACCAGCAATTGGTATTGGATTTTAACCAACCTAATAGGTGTGTATTGGTGTCTCATTATTGTTTTAATTTGCAAATTGCTAGTGACAAATGATTTTGAGCTCCTTCCACGTACTTATTTGCTATGTATATATCTTCTTTTGATGAGGAGTCCATGAAGATCTTTTCCCTACTTTTGAATTAGGTTGTTTGTTTTCTTACTGCTAATTTTTAATAATTCTTTAAAAAATTTTTGGATACAAGTTATTTAACAGGTATGCATTTTGCAAATATTTACCCCAAATATGTGGTTTTTATTTTTATCCTCTTATTGTCTTTTGCAGTACACAAGATTCTATTTTAATAACATCCAATTTATCATCATTTTCTTTCATGGATCATGCTGTTGATGTTGTATCTAAAAATTTATCAGCAAACCCAAAGTGAAGTAGAATTCTTTCTGTATTTTCTTCTAGGAGTTTTATAGTTTCACATTTTACATTTGGGTTTATGACCTGTTTTGAGTTAATTTTTGTGAAAGGTGTAAAGTCTGTGTTTAGAATCATTTGTTTGCATATGGATGTCCAATGATTCCAGCACTATATTTTGAAAAGATTACTCTTTCTCCATTGAATTGCCATTGCTCTGTTGTCAAAGACCAGTCGGCTAGAATTGTGTGGGTCCAGTTCGGCATTCTGTATTCTGTTTCACTGACCTTTGTGTCTATTTTCTGCTAATGCCACATTGTCTTGATTATTGTAGCTCGATTACTATACTTCTTGAAATCATGTAGTGTGAGTCCTTCAATTTTGTGCTTCTTCAGTATTGTGTTGGCTATTTTGTGCCTTTTCCCTTTCCATATAAACTTTAAATAAGTTTGCTGATATCAACAAAGAGTTTTCTGGCAAGTTGACTGGGATTGCATTAAATCTATAGATTAACAATATTGAAACTTCCAATCCACAAACATGGAATGTCTATTTATTTAGGTCTTTAAAATATTTCAGCCAGATGCAGTGGCTCATGCCTGTAATCCCAGCACTTTGGGAGCTGAGGCGGGTGGATCACCTGAGGTCAAGAGTTCGAGACCAGCCTGGCCAACCTGGTAAAACCCCATCTCTACTAAAAATACAAAAATTAGCTGGGCATGGTGGTGGGCACCTATAGTCCCAGCTACTCAGGAGGCTGAGGCAGGAGAATCACTTGAACCCAGGAGGCAGAGGTTGCAGTAAGCCGAGATCGTGTCATTGCACTCCAGCCTGGGTGACAGAGCAAGACTCTGTCTCAAAAAAGAAAAAAAAAGATTTTATCAGAGTTTATTTCCCCTTTATTACTGAAGAATTTTTTTTTCAGGATATAGAATTTGAGGGTTGACAGTTCCATTCGTTCAGAACTCAGAAAATGTTGTGCCACTTCCTCTTGGCCCTCATGGTTTCAGATGCAAAATCGGCTGTCATTTGGATTGGTGTTCCCCTAAGCATAATACAGTCATGCATCACTTAATGGTGAGGATACATTTTGATAGATTAGTCAGTAGGTAATTTTGTCATCATGCAAATATCATAGAGTGTACTTATACAAACCTAGCCTACTACACACATGGACTCTCTGGTATAGCACATTGCTCCTCAGCTACACACCTGCATAGCGTTATACTGTAGTGAATACTGTAGGCAACTGTAATACTTCAGTCAGTGTTTTTGTATCTAAACCTATCTAAATGTAGAAAAGGTGCAGTAAAAATACGGTGTTATAATCTTATGAGATCACCATCGTGTATGCAGTTTATTGATCAAAACATCATATGCAGCACATGACTGTATGTCATTTTTCTCTGGCTGCCTTCAGGAATTTTTCTTTGTCTTTGTCTTTAGTTTTCAGAAATTTGATTATGATTTTTCTTGGCAAGGATTTCTTTGAGTTCATCCTCTTTGGGGTTCTCTTCATGTCTTGGGTTTGTAAGCTTATGCTTTTGACAAACTTAAATTAAGTCCAAGGTGGGAGGATAACTAGAGGCCAGGAGTTCGAGACCAGCCTGGGCAACATAGCAAGGCCGCTTGTCTTTCTAAAAAAAAAAAAATTGGCAAATTTCCAGCCTTTATTTACTCAGATCCTTTTAATGTCTCACCTTACTTCTCCTCTCCTTCTAGGACTACAGTGACAGGAATATTAGAACCTTTGTAATAGTCCCAGAGTCTCTGTTCATTTTCTTCAGTCTGTTTTCTCTCTGTAGCTCAGATTGGTCTGTCTTTGAATTCTATTGATCTGTCTTTGAGTTCACCACTTCCCTCCTCTGCCATCTCTAATTTACTACTGAAACCATCTAGTGAGTTTTTTTTTTTTTTTAATTTAGTTACTATACTTTTTCAGCTCTGAAATTTCCCTTTGGTGTGTGTGTGTGTGTTTTTTTTTTAATATCTTCATTTTTTTGCTGAGATTTCCTATCTTTCCATTTGTTTCAAGTATGTTCACAATTGCTGCTAAAGCATTCTTAAGATTGCTGCTTTATAATTCTTGTCAGATAATTCCAACATCTGATTCATCTCTATGTTGGCATTTGTTGACTTTCTCATTTCAGCTGTGATTGCCCCGGTTCCTGGTACAATATGGCTTTTTTATTGTGTTCTGGATATTTTGAGTACTGTGTCAGGAGACTCTGTATCCTATTTAATCTTCCTCTTTAACAGGCAGTCATGCTGCTCAGGTGTAGTGGTCAGGCCTGGGTGAGGGTGTGGTTTTACTGTGCACCTTGCTCTTTTAAAACCACTCCAGCTGGCCAGATGCGGTGGCTCATGCCTGTTAATCCCAGCACTATGGGAAGCTGAGGTGGGCAGATCACAAGGTCAAGAGATCGAGACCATCCTGGCCAACATGGTGAAACCCCGTCTCTACTAAAAATACAAAAATTAGCTGGGTGTGGTGGTGTGCGCCTGTAGTCCCAGCTACTCGGGAGGCTGAGGCAGGAGAATTGCTTGAACCTGGGAGGCAGAGCTTGCAGTGAGCCGAGATCATGCCACTGCACTTCAGCCTGGCGACAGAGCGAGACTCCATCTCAAAAACGACAACAACAACGACAACAACACCCCAGCAACAGTGGTTCCCTGACTCATCCCACCTCATTGCTGAAGGGTGAGGCTGAAAGTTGACCCCGCTCTCGAAAGCAGAGCACTAAACTTGCACTGCCTGTTTGCTGCTGAGTGGGGGTGGAAGTATGGTTCTCTGTTAAACCCCATTGACATCAGCAGGGTGGGGGCAAAGCTTCAGCTAGCACTGCCTCATTCAGCCTTACGCTGCCTCACCGGTTCTGGGTAGGGGGGATATATTCAGCTCTCAGCCGGACCTCACCAGCACCACTGGCTGATGGGACCATAACGCACGTGTGTAGGCTGCTTGCTCGGCCTTGCTGCTGCTGGGTGGGTGGAGATGGAGGTTGAGCTTCCTGATTGGTCTCTCTGGCAGGGAGGCAATCATTTCATTGGTTTGGCTGCAGTAGGATGGGTGTTTTAAAAAAGGTTTTCTGTTCTGCTAAGCTGCCATTTTATCTTTGGCTAGAGGAAACAGGCTTTTCTTATGGCTTTTTATTTTGTTTTTGTTTTTGTTTTTTTTGGTCTGTGCCTGTTGGTGGTTAGGGTGGCAGCTTCTCTAGCACCCAGTACAGGAGATACAGGAGGCAAAAAGAAAAGCCGAACACTCACTGCCATGCTGTTCCTATGGTTCCGAGGCCCCTGGGTCATCCGTCTCCTTCTTCCCATCTTTCAGAAGCTTATCAAGCTTGTTTGTTATGTCCAGAATTGTTGGGATTTTTTTAATCAAAAAAGAAACTAGAGAGGGAGGAGGGCCACTTTATCTTGCCTGGAACCAGAAGTTTCTACCTTTAATTTTTCCCCCAACCCTTTAATAAGGAAACAAAATTCTCAAAGATCTCCCAAATTAAATCAGTGAATGCTCTCAGGGACTACAGTCCTCAGTGTGGAAGACACTGAATAAAACACCACAAAGAGTTTTCCCTGTATAACTAGTAAAAATCTTTTTAGATTATTATTAAAAAGAAAACACATGTCAAAAATATCCTCAGAGAATTTTCAAACTCCTGAAACTCCGTGCCCAGTCCCAGAGAGCTCAGTTTTGGTTAAGGAGCAAAATGTGGGTTCTGGCCTGGGTTCCCGTGCCCCTCACCTCCTCCCTCCAGCTGCTGGTGTTCTGTACCTGACCGCTCCTTCTCCTTCTGGTTGCTGACCCTAGCTCTTCTCAATGTGGCCAAATGGGTGACAAAGAGCTGGGTTCAATTCCTGGCCTTGCCACTCACTGGCTGAGTGACGCTGGGGCAGTCTCTTAACTGCTCTATACCTGGGTTTGTTCCTGTGTGAAAATGGGATAAAAGCTGTACAAACCTTATAGGGTAGCTGTGAAGATTCAGCTAAAAAGTGTGTGTAAAAGTAAGAACGTAAGGGCAAATAGTGGGTTCTCGAGAACTAGTTTTCGAATGGATGGAAAAAGAGCCCAGCACAGCGGCAGGGCTATAGCCATCACTCAATAGCGCATGATGTCATTTCTGCCTAGATAGACCCTTCTCATGATTCTAGACTCTTCTCCAGCAGCCATTCCTTGGCTGCCCCTGGGGTCCCCTTGACTCCAGCTTTCTGGGCTGCATCAGGGCTTTGAACAAATCCTTCAGGTTTTCCTTGACTGTGTCCACACTTCAACACTTTTGGTAGATATTAATTGAGCATCTACTGCACACTTGATTTTCTTTGTCTATTCAGGCTGAATACCATAACCTGGGTGGCTTAGCAACAACAGAAATGTTTTTCTCCCAGTTCTAGCAGCTGGGACATCTAAGATCAAGGTACCAGCAGATGCTGAATTCGCTGGGGTCCTGCTTTCTGGTGCATAGACAGCCATCTTCTCTCTGTGTCTTCACATGGCAGAAGGGACAAGAGAGCTCTCTGGGGTCTCTTTATCAGGGCTCTAATCTCATTCATGAGAGCTCTGCCCTCCTGACCTAATCACCCGCCAAAGGTTAACACCTAATACCATCACTCCAGGGATGAAATTTCAACCTATGAATTTTGGAGGGACAGGAACATTCAGTCTATCACATTCTTGCCATGCCCCCCACAAATCCATGTCCTTCTTACATGCAAAATACATTCATTATGTCCTAACAACCCTCAAAATCTTAATTTGTTTCAGCACCAACTCTGAAGTCTAAAATCCAAAGTCTCATCTAAACAGCATCTAAATCTGATATGGGTGAAACTCAAGGTACAACTGCCCGAAGCCAATCTCTCTCCACTTGTGAACCTACGAAGCCAAACGAGTTATGTGCTTCCAAGATCCAGTGGTGGGACAGGCATAGGATAGGCATTCCAAAAGGAAGAAATAGGAAAGAAGGAAGAAATGATAGATCCAAGTAAGTTCAACAGTCCATTCACAGCAGCATCTGTTTTTCTAGCACCCACCTTCTGTCCCCTGTCCATGACCCAGTTCTGCATTTTTAAGGATTTTGGTACAGCAGCACCCTGCTTTTTGCTACCATTTTCTGTATTAGTCTATTCAGGCTATGATAACAAAACTACTGTAGATTGGGAGGTTTCAAAACAATAGAAATTTCTCTCCCATTTCTGGAGGCTGCAGGTCCAAGGTCAAGGCACTGGTAGATTTGGTGTCTGGCAAAGGTCCACTTCCTGGTTCACAGCTGTGCCTTCTCGCTGTGTTCATACATGGCAGAGGGGCCAATGTGTTCTCTGGGGCATTTTTTATAAGGGCACTAATCAATCCGATTTGTGAAGGCTTCATGACCTGATCACCTTTCCAAGGCCCCACCTCCTATTGCCATCGCCGTGGGGATTAGGATTTCAGCCTATGACTCCTGTGTTAGGCCGTTCTTGTGTAGCTGTAAAGAAATCCTCAGGGGCTGGGCGAGGTGGCTCACGCCTGTAATCCCAGCACTTTGGGAAGCTGAGGTGGGTGGATCACCTGAGGCCAGGAGTTCAAGACCAGCCTGGCCAATATGGTGAAACCCATCTCTAGTAAAAATACAAAAATTAGCTGGGGGTGGTGGCACGCACTTGTAATCCCAGCTACTCAGGAGGCTGAGGCAGGAGAATCGCTTGAACCCTGGAGGTGGAGGTTACAGTGAGCCAAGATGTCGCCAATGCATTCCAGCCTGGGTGACAAGAGTGAAACAAAAAAGAGGAAAGGAAAGGAAAAGAGAGGAGAGGAGAGGAGTACTCGAGCCAGGTAATTTATAAAGAAAAGAAGTTTAATTAGCTCATGGTTCTGCAGGTTGTACAAGCAGGTGCCACATCTGCTCCACTTCTGGAGGGGCCTCAGGGGGCTTTTACTGATGATGGAAGGTGAACGGACAGCAGGAACATCAACCGGTGAGAGAGGGAGCAAGGGTGGGGGTATGTGCCACACACTTCTAAACAACCAGGTCTCGCAGGAACTCACGTATGATCATGAGGACAGCGCCAAGGGGACAGTGCTAAACCATTCATGAGAAGCCCACCCCCAGGGTTCGTTCCGTCACCTCCCACCCACCCCCAGGGTTCGTTCCGTCACCTCCCACCCACCCCCAGGGTTCTTTCCGTCACCTCCCACCCACCCCCAGGGTTCGTTCCGTCACCTCCCATCAGGCTCCACCTCCAACACTGGGGATTACAATCTGATAGGAGGTTTGCAGGGGACATAACTTCCAATCTGTATTAGTCCATTTTCATACTGCTATGAAGAAATAGCCGAGACTGGCTAATTTATAAAGAAAGAGGTTTAATGGACTCACAGTTCCACACAGCTGGGGAGGCCTCACAATGATGGCGGAAGGCAAAAAGGTATGTTTTACATGGCGGAAGGCAAGAGAGCTTGTGTAGGGGAATGCCCATTTATAAAACCATAGATCTCATGAGACTTATTCATTACCATGAGAACAGTTTGGGGAAACTGCCCCCATGATTCAAATATCTCCCACTGGCCCTGCCCTTGACACAAGGGGATTATTACAATTCAAGGTGAGATTTTGGAGGGGACATGGAGCCAAACCATATCAAAACCACATCGGCTCAGGTGGGTGATACAAGCATTTAGTCTATAGCACTGGTGGATTCTTTTCCTACTGCTCCCATAATCACCTTCCACAAATGTGGTGTCTGAAACAATACAAATTGGTCCTACAAGTCTGGAGGCCAAAGGTCTGACACAGGGCTGAAACCAAGGTGTGGGCTGTTTCCTTGTCTGTTTCCTGGAGGCTGTTTCCTTGTCTTTTTCAACTCTAGAGGCTGTCCACATTCCTTGGCTAGTGGCCTCATCACCGCAACATCTGCTCCATGGTCACCTCTCCCCCTCTGACTCCAACCCTCTTGCTTCTCTCTTCCCTTTATAAGGACCCTTGCAGTTACGTTGGGCCCAGCAGACACTCCAGAGAGACCTTTCCATTTCCAAATCCTTAATTAAATCTGCAAAGTCTCTGAGCCAGGTAGGGTCACACAGTCATAGGTTCTGGGTACTGGACACCCTTAGGGGTCATTATTCTGCTGCCCACACCCAGCTGTTGCTCAGGAGCATGTGTGATGTGGCCCTTGTGTGGCCTCAGTGAGCCAGGCATTGGTTCAAGTAACAGAGAGGCTCTATCTACAGTCCTCTGAGAGAAAACTGAACAGGCCACCCCACCAGCAGACACTCTGGGGTGCCTGGCATGGAGCCACCCTTCTGATGGGGCCTCAAGGTGCCTGCAACGTCCACACCCCTGAGGGCCTGGGCATCGCCTGCCTTGCAGAGGAGAGGAGGTGGCAGGAGCTCTTCCCCTCACCAGGTTCCCACGGGCAATGGACTTTTATGGGGTGTGCTCACTGCAGGGCTCCATGTAATTACTAAGTGAGGTTACAAGTTTCCTATTGCTGTAAAATTTAACCAGTTGAAGTCCCCTCATAAAAAAGAAGCACTTCCCCGTGCAGATGTGCACACCCCGAGCAGGGACCTCATCTTCTGGGTTGAGCCTGCTCCCACCGGCTGCATCCTCCCCCATCCCCACCCTGGGCCTCCATCCTAAGAGTTCCAGGAAGTCTGGCACAGGGCAGCTTGCAGACGAGGCCCAGAGAGGGCAAGGGGCTTTCCTGAGCTCCTGCCTGGCTCAGGACATGGCTGGCACCCCACTTGGCCAGTGTCACCCCAGCCCAGTGCTCAAGCTCCCCTCACCCACCAGCCTGCACCCCAGACCTCTCTCACAAAGAGGGAAAGAGAACACCCTCCAACTTCACTTTTTTCCAAAATGCCAGTCAGCCACGCAGAGGCAGCAGGAGGCCAGCACCACTGGAGGCCACACGCTAGGCTGGCTTTGGAAAAGGCAAATGTAAAATACACACCGGGCAGCTGCCTTCCCAGCCTGCAGGTGGAGGCCGGCGATGGCTGATGCGTGGGCTGGCACATGTCTGAGTGAGGGCTCACGGGGACATAAGTGGCCGGCGGAGAGCTCAAGTGTTTGCTGCCACCGCCCACAGCTCCCCTCTGCCACCACAGGCTCTGGTTTCTGTGTTCCCCGCAGTGGTGAGGGCGGCAGGGCTGGCATTTTGCAGTGACCCCTCGGGCTCTGTTGCTTGCACTTTCTCGCAAGTCTCTTCCAGGCCCTGAGCACAGGAGGCTTATTGCCTGTCTGTTGTTTTAAAGAAAGAAGGCAAAATTATTTTTTTTACAAAACAGTATGGGCTTGGGAGAGAGAGCAAAGGCGGATGTGGAGATGCTGGCTTCTGCTGAGTCTCCTCTGCTGGGCCCCAGCCGGTCCTTCCCTCGATTCCCCTGCCACCAGGACCACAGTCTCAGAGAGAGTCCCTTCCTGGGTGGCACTGTCTCCCTGGTATAGGTGAGGACTCTGGGCCCTGCCCAGTCCATCCGTTTCCACTTCACTGGAGGGACAACGTGGGCCTAGAGAGGGTGAGTGACTTCCCTAATGTCACAAAGCAGGTGGAGCGCGGCAGATCCAAACAGAAGGCTCTGCCTGGCAGGTGTGGGCAGGAGGCCAGGGGTGTGGGCAGGAGGCCAGAGGTGTGGGCAGGAGTGCGTACCCTGCTAAAGACATGCCTCCAGGTCTGCACTCCACGTGGGCTCCTGGGTCAGAGTCAGGCAATATACATGCAGATGAGAGGTGAGGCTCACTCAGGGCTCTCCGCACCTCCCTCCCACAGAACCCAGCCCTTGCCCAGGGCTGCATGCCCCCAGTGAGGCACCATCACTAGAGGAACCTCAGATGGCAGCAGAAAGCAATACTCATTCCGTGGGTGACAAAACCAAGTGCCCATTCTAGTTGGTGTGAGCTAAGGCCAGCATCTTGGGACATTTTTTGGCCAAATGAATGAAGGATGGTGTGGCAGACAGACCCCAAGGTGACCCCAATAGTCCCTCCCTCCCCACACTGTCCGTGCCTGTGCAGTCCCTCAGTGTGGGGGACCCAAGGCTGAATTCTAAGCAACAGAACATGGCATAGGAGATGAGTTATTGCAGATCGAGGCTGGTGGATTTTGAAGTATTAATATCACACTTGGTGAGCCTGCGTTCTTCAGGCAGAAGCCCTTAAAGGAGGGCCTGGACCTCAGGGTCAGATGCTGTCTCCTGCTGGTCTTGAAGAAACCAGCCTCCATGAGTTCTCGAGCCACAAGGAAATGAGTTCTGCCAGCAACCCCAATGAGCTTGGGAGCCAATTTCCCCCCAGTTAAGCCTCCAGATGAGAATGCGACCCAGCCAACACTGATTGCAGCCTCATGAGACGCTGAGGAGAGGCCCCAGGTCAGCCAGGCCTGGACTCCTGCCCCACAGGAACTGTGAGAACAGAAACGTGTTACATCAAGCCATGCAGTGTCTGGCCATTTGCTGTGTGGTGGACATCGCTGACACCAAGGGAAAGGGCCAGGACATCTTCAGGAGTGAGGTCTGCTGGGCCACTCACCAGCAAGGCCACTTCAGCGGTGTCACCCGCAAAGTGGTGTTATTAGGCCTGGTTCTTCACAGCTGCTGTGCAGACCAAAGACAATAAGAGAAGGGCAGGTGTCTCCTGAGCCGGACTCAGGCTGTTAGGGAGGGAGGGGGATGCTGCTGCCTCAGCATCGGTAACTGGGGCCACTGTACAGAAAGTGACATGGCCTGCGTTTCCCCCACCCACCTGGACCTCCCCTTAGGCCAGGTCCCTGGGCTGCACAGTGTGTGCTTAGGCTCATGAGCACCCCTAGGACCGTAGCCCATCAGCCAGTATGAGCTTTACAACATAGGCCAACCCCTTCCCACCCCAAGTCAGAGGCCTTGCCTGGCCCCTGTGGCACATCAGAAGCTCCCCTGCCATCAGCTTGGCCTGCTATCGAGGCCCCCAGCCTGGCCCTCCTGGACGCTCCTGATACAGGGCATTGCTCAGCACCTTGGAGCTCAGCACACGATTCCTGAACACGTTCTCTGGGTGGTGTCCCGCTGAGCCCTGGAGGAGACACAGGGGAGCCGGGGGCCTGCCTGGGTCAGCGTCCTCTAGGCATTCCCAGGCCTGGTACAGAGCAGGCACTTAAGAAATCCGGACAGGTCACACTGTCCGGGTAACGGTCATCTACGTGTATTCCCAGGACTCTGGGCCAATTCCCTGTCCATTAAAAGGAGAGTCATTTGGCCATGATGTACTGCAGAGCTTAGAAGGACCAGACATGTGCGTGGCAGTGGCATAGGCGTGGATGGTAGGACATGTAAACATGATGGTAGCAGATGCGCTGGGCCTGCCCTGCTACATCCCCTTGGATCTAACATTTCAGAGCGTGCCAGCCGCCATCCAGCTGCCAGTTGCTGCCTCTCTCTGCCTGAGGTGCTTTCTTTGAAGCTGCTAAGGTCTGCTCTATGCACACATGGCTGGCCCGAAATACTAGGAAGCTGACATCTCTAGGAGCAGTGCTGTCATTCAAGGACCCCAGCGCTCCCCACTTCTGCATGGGGTAGCTCCAGGGCACATGCCCTACACTGACCCCTGGGGCTCCCCAGGAGGATTGTGCCTCAGTTTCTCCCAGTGGTAGCTTGCTTGGAAATGCATCCTGCCCCTTATTTGTGTTTACTGGGATCACCTCCAAAGAAACTGCTTGTACTAAAACCTTGTCTCAAGTTCTGCTTCTGGGGGAATCCAAACTAAGACAATAACTCAGAAATGGCCCCCGTCTTCAGGAAGTGTAACCGACAGTTACAACCGGACACAACACGAGCTGATGCAAAGCACCAGAGTTACGCGAGAAGCCTGGTGTCCACCCGGTGTCTGCTGCTGTGACCCATATCCCAGTCTGGCATCCAGGGGCCTCCAAAGACACTGTTAGTCCGCGCAGAGATGGGAAAGAGTGGCCTTTCCTGGAAAACAGGCCCGCCTGCCAGAGCTGTAATCACAGAAGAAAATGACAACCATCCCAGCCAACCTTCGATCGCTGATTGAGGTAAACACAGTGGGAATAAAAGAAACCACCAGAATTCCAGCTCATTAGCGCTGAAACGTTACTAAGCTTGGAACATCGTCTTGCTGGGTCCCTCCAGACTCAGGCAGCCGGTGGAAAATACGGCTAATTCAAAACGGAGTGTGGGAGTCTTCTCCCTCCCAGGCCCGAGGGTCACGGATCTGGCTGCAGAGACGGTGGGCCCCCCGGCCAGGCCTGCTCAACTCTGTGACAGCAGTGATCTCATCCAGCCCTCCCGCCTTCCTGTGAGAAAGAGGCCATCACCCACTGAGGCCAGAGAGGGGCAGGGGCTTGCCTTGCTCATGCAGTAATGGGTGGTGGATCCACATCCATAGCTCTCTCCCCCATGTGCAAGTCAGCTCAAGCTCCCATCCTCAGCCCTCCCGGAGCTCCTAGGAGAGGGTCAGCCCCATGTACATCCTCCCCCTTGTGCAGAAAGGGCTCAGGAAGCCTTGCTGTAAAGGCCCAGGGAGTAAACGTTTCAGGCATTGCAAGCTGCATACGGTCTCTGCTGCATATTCTTCTTTGCCTTTTTTATAAGACAAGCTTTCACACATGTAAAGCCATTCTTAGCTCACAGGCCATGCAAAAAGAGGTCTCAGGCAGAACATGGACACGGGGTGGCATGTGCTGACCCTGGGTCCACAGGGACAAAAATGTTCATTCTAGCACGAATTTCTCCACTTCTCCCTCTCACAGACTCCTACTCAGCCTTTACAACCCAGCTCAAATGTCCCCTTCTGCATGACCTCTTTCCCAACTTTTTTCCCCTAGGCACCTACAAATCCAGAACCGCCCCCTGGCCCAGCAGGGCTCCAGGACCCTGGCACCCCTCTCAGCGTTATTCACCTCCAGACTCTTCCGTTTATTCACTAGCTGTAGGGAGCCACTTCCACGTACCAGGGGCTATTCTAGGCAACAGGGCTGTAAGGGCGGGTGTCATAGTAATGCTGTTCAGTGTCAGAGTCACAGATGTCCAAAGCGACCCTGTGCAGGGAGACCAACTGCCCTGAGCTGGGCGTGGGACAGGGTGGGTGGAGACATGGAAATTCCCAGCCGTCCTCCAAGATGGAGAGCGATCACTGCCGCGTCCGAGCTAGAGACCCAGGCTTCTGAGAACCCGGAACAGCATGGAACGGACTAGATTGGGCAGCAGGAAGACATGGGTTCCTGAAAAGACTCAGAGAAGATGAGCACATGGCAGTGAAGGCCAGCCGGGCTCTGAGGTGGAGCTGGAGGCAAGATGTTCTTGTGGGGAGGGAATGGCACAGACAAAGTCTCCGAGGTGAGAAACTTGGAGCACGATTCAAGAGCAAGGACCAGAGTGGGCACAGGATGGAGAACAGGGTTTGAAAATTAGTCTAGGCCAGGCGCAGTGACTCACGCCTGTAATCCCAGCACTCTGGGAGTCCAAGGCGGGTGGATCACCTGAGGTCAGGAGTTTGAGACCAGCCTGGTCAACATGGTGAAACCCCGTCTCTATTAAAAATTTAAAAAATAGCCAGATGTAGTGGTGGGCGCCTGTAGTCCCAGCTACTTAGGAGGCTGAGGAAGGAGAAGCTCTTGAACCAGGGAGGCGGAGGTTGCAGTGAGCTGAGATTGTGCCGCTGCACTCCAGCCTGGGCCACAGAGTGGGACTCTGTCTCAAAAAATAAAAAATTAAAATAATAATAATAATAAAGAAAATCGGTCTAGATGGGGTTGGGGAAGCAGAACCTCTCCTCCAGACCACAGTGAGACCCCATGGTCAGCATGCTGGGGCTCTTGATGAGGGCCTTGATGAATTCTCTTCAGACTCAGAGAAACAGGGGCATCCTCAGGTCCCCAACAGAGTCCCCACAGGGACTCAACCCACTCTGATGAAAGGTGAAGGCCAAAATGAGGCAAAAGTAGAGGAGAGGAGGCAGAAGCCCAAACACAAGCTAAGCCTCCCATCATGCTGTCTCTGAGAAGGCCTCGGCCACGCCTCACTGAGGACCTTAGCTCAACCTTTCCAGCTAGCAGGGCTCGTGTGTGTGGGCTGCATTCCCCCAGTAGGGCCCCAAAATGCCAGGCTCTGTGGAAAGCAGACCTTGCCTGCTGGGGCTGGGGCTGGGGATGGGGGGACTTCACGCTCAGCCCCCTCCTCCTTCCCCGCCGCCTTGTCAACATCAAAGGCCTTGCTCTCCACAGGCAGTGCTCACAGCCTCGGAATTCTGCAGCAGCTGCTGAACCCTGCCAGGACTGCGTGCAGCAGGCGTCCCTGGTGTGCCAGGCTGGGATGGGAATCACACTCTTGCAGCCTTAATGTGAAGCACGTGTTTTACATGCTTTGCCCATGTAGGCGAGCTGCCCACGCCCCCTCCCTGCCCTAGCTCTGCTGCTGACACTTACGGGGGGTCAGTCCCAGCACACAGCCACCCACCTCCACTGGCCACACCAGGGTCACAGGGGGCTCAGGCTGCCCCTGACCCACACTGGCTTCGACCAGCAGGGCCTGAAGTTGGCCCTACTCAGTTGAGGTGCAGGGCCTCAAGAAAAGGCCTGCATCCCTGAAACTGGGCTCCAAGGCTGCCTCTGACTAGCCGCTGCCAGGCTTGGCAGTTGCCTTTGTTGGGAAAATCACAGGATGCCCCTGAAGGATGCCCATGTCCCAGCCCTTGGGACCGGTGAATGTGTCACCCTGTGTGACAGAAGGACTTTACAGATGTGATTCAGGATTTTGAGGTGGGGGATGATCTGGGATGATCCTGGATTATGTAGGTGAGCCCAGTGAGATCGCAGGGTTCTTATAAGGTAAGAAGGAGGTCAGTGGGTGGGAGGGCTCAGGGTCAGCGAAGGAAATGTGACAATGGACAAGATATTATTAGAATGATGCTGCCATGAGCCAAGGAATGCAGGCTCCTCTAGCAGCTGGAAAAGCTTCAGGAGGGAATTCTCTCCTAGAGCCTCCAGAGGAACCCAGCTCTGAGCACACCTCAATTTTACCCCCGTAAGCTCCATGTCGACTTTCTGATTCCAGAAAAGTTTGCGTTGTTTCAAGCTGCTAAGTCTGTTGTGATTTGTTACAGGAGCGATAGGAAACTCATCCAGCCTCTGGTCACCATCTCCCAGCCACACCCTTCTCTGCACCTCCTCTAGCCCCTGCAGGGCCTGCTCTCCTGCCTGCACCTCCCTTCCCTGCTCCCTCTGGGTCACCCCCCCCCCCGGCACTCAAGATCTGTTCCAAGGGCACCCCTCCCAGGAGAGTCCTCGGTAACTTCTTTCTAGACCCATTGGTGAGCTGAGTGGCTTATGCCCTCCTTTCCTCTCCCGCTATCGCATTCTCAGTCCTGACACACCTCCCATGACAGGGAGCTCATTACCCTTCAAGATATCCCGATTCACCTTGTCCTCAAAGGGCTGTGTTGCTGGTTGCCTGCTCAAGGCCCAGGGTATGAAGAGGTGAGGGCTGAAATCCAGCCCAAGATGGCAAGGGGTGCTGGTGTTTAGTTATCACAAGGGGTGCTGGTGTTTAGTTATCAGCAAGGGGTGCTGGTGTTTAGTTATCAGCAAGGGGTGCTGGTGTTTAGTTATCAACAAGAGGTGCTGGTGTTTAGTTATCAGACTCCAGCTCTTCCCTGCTAAGTCCCTAACTCCCATACCCAATTAAGGAATAGTGTGACATGGCCCAAAGCCAGAGGCTCACAGCCACCTGTATGGAGCCTGCCTGCCCTTGTCATAGGATTGCCTGATTTTGCAAATGAGAAAAAGGATGCCTTGTGAAGTCGGAATTTCGGATAAACAATAGATACTTTTTTAGTATAAGTATATCCCACATATTGCATGAATATCCTTATATCTAAAAATTATTCATTGGTTGTCTGGGATTCCCACTTAATCAGGCACCCTGTGTCTTATCTGGTGTGCCTAAATCATCATTTCTGTCGAGTGTGATGCCCAGAGTGCTCACCATGGCTCAGAACTGGGGCCCAAAGAGGATGTGTGGGGAAGTGGGGAGACCCATCAGCCTCAGACCTGAGGTGCAGATGTGGGCATGTCTGGCTCCCCACTTCCTTCTCCTTCTTGGCCAGCTCTGGTCTCCAGATGTAGTGAGGGTTTGTGGGGTAAGTGGGGAGCTGTTTCCAGGGCCCATGGATTTGGAGGCTTCAGTGGCCCTGCTCACCACTCTGCAGAGCTTCTGCTGTGAGCTTGAGCCACTTCCTTCCTTCCCGGGCCCCAGCTCCTCACTTATAGTGGGAGGTGTGGGTGGGGAATTAAGCCTTCTAAGCCACCTGCAGGACCACCATTTAGCCAAATCACAGAGACCAGTGCATACCCTTGCCCTGACCCCAGCCCCACTCCCTCCAACCCTACCTTCCCCAAATCACTTCCATTATGAGGAACGGAGAGTGAGGGGCCAGGGGAGGTCGAAGGATGCTGTCCTCCTGGTCAGCACCTGCCCTGTGCCTGCCCTTGCCAGGGTCCAAGGACCTTCTCTTGTGACTGCACCAACAGCCTGCAGCATATCTCCCCCAGCAGAGCCCTTGAGGACCTAGTGTCTCTAAGTCCCAAAGTCAGGCCCGCCAAGGAAGGCACTCCAGCCCCTGACCAAAGCAGGGGAGACCTCAGGCAAATGCCACCCTGTTCCAGGCCTGTTTCCCCATCTGGAACCCCAAGGCTGGAACCAAGAGAGCTCCCAAGGCCAGAGAGTGTCCAGAGAGTGACCGGCCAGTGCCCACACTCCCTCAGAGGCAGACCCCTTTGTTCTCCCTGGGGGGCTCCTGTATTAGCTGTCTGTGGCTGTGTAACAAATAACCCCAAAATTTAGCAGCTGGGGACCAAAAACATTCATCATCTCACAGGTTCTGAGCATCAGGAATACCTGGATGGCTCAGCTGGGTGCCTTTGTCCCAGGGTCTGTCACAGGCTGTGATGAGCCTGTTGACTGGGGCTATGGTCTCATCAGAGACTCGACTGGTGTGGGGATGCTCTACTCCCAAGTCCATACATGTGCTATGGGCAGGCCCTGGTCCCTGGCCACATGGGCTTCCCCACAGGGCAGCCTCAGAGCATGGCAGCTTCCTTCCCCCAGAGTGAGAGATCTAATGGAGGGGGGACCCAAAGGCGAAAGCCATGGTGTTTAAAACCTGATCTTAGAAGTGATGTCCCATCATGTCTGCTTATCGTACTCATGAGAGGCCATCACTAAGACCAGCTCCCACTGAAGGGGAGGGGATTACTCTGGGTGTGAACACCAGGAGGCCAGAGTCTCCAGAGACCATCGCAGAGGCTGCGACTATGTCTCCTGACAAGTTTAAGGGATTTGCAAGATGCACTGGGGCAGGGAGGGGTCAGGTGTTCAAACCCACTCATAGACAAGAAAACCATTTCCCTGAGAGAGTGAGGCAGATGTGTGTCCAAATCACTTTCAGGATGAATGGAAGAGTCAGGGGTGGGGAACACCCTTGGCATCTTCTCCAGCTCCGTCTCTCCCTGCCCTGGTTCAGGGCTTTCCTTGCCCCCCTTCCCCTCTTTCCCTCCCTCCCCTTCCCCTCTTTCCCTCCCTGCCTACCCCTGCTCCTTCTTCCCTTCCCCTCTTCCACTATCCTCCCCCTTCTCAGTCTCTGAGTCTCTGTCCCTTTCCTTCCCCACTCCCTTTCTTCCTTTTCCTTCCCCCTGGCCCCTCTCCCTCCCTCCTCTGCATCTCTGGTCCCGGGGTCCTCCTCACTTTCTCATTTCCTTTCATTTCTAGGGGCATCTCCCTGTGCAACAGGCCCCAGGCCCAGGCTGCAGGGACAGCAGAGCCAGGCTGCTCCCACCCACCCCAAAGCCCTGCTCATGCAGCTGCCGCCAGCCCGGATCCCGCTAGGGGGCACCATGAGCTGCGGCTGCGGACGAGGGGCTGCTTTTCCCCAGGCGCTGTGGGCTTGGAGAGAAACCCTGGGCAGGAAGGGTCCTCTCTTTCCAGTCCTGGAGCCAGGCCACCTGGTGGGCAGTGCAGCCTTCACACTAGGACCGCGGGGCAGGGATGCCCGGGACCTCCGGCCCAGCCCGCCCAGGCCACACATGTGAGCGTCTAGCACAGCGGCCACCTGCAGGGAAGGCATAGGTCTCTCCCAGGAGGCTGTCAGCAGCTGGGAGGCCGGCAGCAACCCCACTCCAGGCCTGAAGTATCTGCCACCTTTGGCAGGCTCTGGGCCCCATGGAAAGGCTGAGGGGCGCTCATCCCGGGTTGCCATCCCCAGAACCGGTGTGACAGGCCCCACAAGCACGCATGTGAGTCAGCTCATGCACAGGAGAGCCTCATGGAGCCTGCCCGGCCAAGGTCCCCAACCCCAGACCCAGCAGCTGCCACTGCGACCACCCTGAGAGCTGTGACTGCACCCAGGCCTGAACACACATGCATGGCCTGAGATCTGGGGGTGTCCTCCAGAATGAGGTGGACCCAGCAGGGGAAAAGGCTTTGCAGGGAGCGGTCACAGCAGGAGTGCCCCACGTGCACTGAACCTGCCCTGGGCCCCACCTCTCTTCACATGGGTGATGGGGGGGGTGCCCCAGTTTTATGGGATCTAAGGTGAGAGCATTAAAGACGAACAGGCATGCGTGGACAAGATGTGTCCTGCTGAGACCCAGAGAAAGACATTGCAGCAGGTCCTGCCGGATCCCTACAACCCACGGCTGCGTCCGGGGGTTGCTGCATTTTTCATCGTGGAAGATTCTTCCTAAGCACCCTCCCTAGACAGGCACGCACGCGGCGTGGATGCACAGGCTTGCACCTGCTGCTCACACCCTTGTCAGCCCTGGCTACTGTCAAACAGGAACTCTTGGGCCGATGTCAGCAGCAAAAGGAACCCCACATCTCATTGTTTCATTTTGTAATGTAAAATTCTCTGGTCAAGAAACTCTTCAGATGTTTCTGGCTATTTTTACTGCTCTCCTGTGAATTGCCTCCTTGGAGCCTTTGTCCATTTTCCTATTGAGAGTTGTTTCAATTAATTTATAACTTTTTTGTTTATTAAGGGTATTGCTCTTTTGTCTATCAGAAACATTCAACTATATTCCTCCAGTTTGTTATTTATCTTTTAATTTTAGTCTGTGTGTGTGTGTGTGCGAGTGTTTGTGTGTGTGGCGTGTGTGTGTGCATGTGCATCTGTGTGTGTGCGTGTGTGTGTGCATCTGTGTGTGTGCCTGTGTGTGTGTGTGTGCGCATCTGTGTGTGTGCCTGTGTGTATGTGTGTGTACATGTGTATGTGTGTGTGTCTTTCAGCACTCAGTGGTCTCATGATCTTACATTGGTTATTATTTTCCTTCACGGCATCTGGATTTTGCATCTTGCTTGGAAAGCCTTCCCCATCTGAGGGTCCGGTATTTTTCTTCCCTTTTCTAATGCTCTAGCTATTTGTCATTTATTAAATCTTCAGTCCCTTTAGGGTATTTGTTGGGTATGAAATAGGAACTAACTTTCACAGATTTTTGCCAGATGGAAGATAGAACTCTGGGGTCTCAGTCACCGACAATGAAGGTGTGGCGGAAAGACGTTTCCTTAGAAACTACACCCGAGGCCCCACCGATCCCGGCTTTCACCTCAGCAGAGCAGCAACCGGACCTCTGTGTCTTGTGCCAAGCAGAGATCTAAACCTCTTGCCAGCTCCCAGGCAGTTCCAGTGTGTCCCTTCCTCTTGGAGATATGCAGACCTCAGGGAAGGGGTGCCGGGGGTGCCCAGAGCCACCATGGCCCAGTCCTCCCCCCTGGGCTGGACCCTCACCTTGGACAAGATTGGAAGAAATGGAATGGCCCCTGCTTAGCTGCGGGGGCTTCCAGAGATATTCAACTGGGTCACACCCAGCAGAGTCTGCAAGAGGAGGAAGGAGGTGCTGAGATTTGCCCAGCTTCCTCCCGGGGTGGGAAGAGCTTCTCTGGCTTTCCTCCTTCCTCCAAGGTGAGATGCAAAGACAGGACATCGAGGTTGTGATCACAGCTGTGACTTGGCGGCCTCCCGTGCCCCCAGCCCCGGGCCAGCTCTTGGCCTCACTATCACCTGTCCACACAGCAGCCTGCAAGGTGGGTTCCATGATCCCCACTTTACAGAGGAGAAAACAGAGGCTCAGAGATGTCAAGCAACCTGTGCAGGGCCACACAGCTTGTAGGGAAATTGAACTCACCTCAGGAGGTGGTTGAGACGATGGAACCAGGCAATAGCAGCATAGTGACCACAAGGGTTTGCACATAGTAGGCCTTCAAACATTTAGCCACCCTCTTCTTTCCCTCCCTCTCTTCCTGGCTTCTTTCTTGGTTCCTCCCTCTCTTTCCCAGGAGACTATACCACCATCTGAAATCCATGATGACAATGACAAGCAAACTCATGCCTTGAGACAGGATACACTACAATAGAGGAAGAAACGGGAACTCATAATGGACTGGCAAGCACTATTGTTTATGGACAAACTTCCCCTTGGGAGGCAAGTCCTTAGACAGGTACCCCCAGGAGTCCCCATCCCTGAGCAGCTCCCGGTCTAACCAGAGATTCACACGGGGGAAGTTTCTACCCGTAGGAAGCAGCTCTCAGCATGCAGGGGAATCCAGAGGGGCTTCCTGGAAAAGGGGGCTCCTGATCAGATAGTCAAGGATTTGAGGCATGATAGATGCCCAGAGGAGCAGGGTCGCATGGTGGGGTCTGTCTGGGAGGTGCCTACTATTTCCTGGCTGTGTGGGGTATGCAGAGCTGGAAGGAGAGGCCACCTTTTTAAAGCATATTGAACACAAAAGCATACACAACGTACTGTATAATTTCATGTATAAAAATGTAAAAACCACTTAAAAATAGTGTGGAAAGCAGAGTAATTGTCACCCCTGGGACAGAAGGCTGCCAACCGGAAGGGAGGTGTGGTGGGAGGTTTTCTGGGGCGTTGGCATGGTTCTGTTTCTTGTTCTGGGGGATGGCTAGAGGCCTGCACCGCTACTCTGTGAAAATTCAATATGTACACCTCCAATCCATGTACTATTCCACCTGTGTATTATACTCCAATAAAAAGTTGAAGTTTGTTGAAACAGGAGCTCAGGGGATGGGAGAATTTGAAGATTATTCTGGAGGCGGTGGGCAGACCCAGGCTTCTGAGCAGTTCGTGACCAGAGCTATGTTTTCCGAGGATGAATCTGGCAGTGTGTCTTGGATGGATTAGCGGAGGAGGGGGGTGGGCTGGTGAGTGCTCAGAGACTGTCGCCAGTGCAGGTGAGAGGTAATTCACAGCCGCCCTGGGGAGGAGATGCCGTGCCACGGCTGTCTGGGGCTTCATTAAATACCAGAAAGAGAAATGAACCAATTTCACAGCCCTGGTCTGTGACTTCTCTGAGGATGTGAAGTCAAAGGCTATGCGACTCAAGGCCAGTAGCAATCCGATTAATTCCCCAGGATAAAGCCTTTAATCTAACACATAACAGCAAATTCTTGTTATTCCATTAAAAACAATACCTCAGCCCCCACGTTGGCTCCCAGGGCCTTAATGAGACCCCTTCCCTGCCCAGGAGGCTGAATTGGTCCTTTGTTCTTCACAGCATGGGGTTCAGAAGATTGCTAGTTTGGTGGTAGGGCTGGTTGGGGACATTGGCACTGATGGGAGTGTAAGGCTGGATGTGACAAAAGCCACCGGGAGTTCTGGGTGACCTCAGCTGAACTGAAAGTTGGCCTCGCTTCTTGGGAGGAGAATGTGGGGGGTCTGCTGGGGCCAGGTCGTGGCAAGGTGCATGGTAGAAAAAGCCTTGTGCTGGGAGGTCAGTGCCCTGGGGTCTGTCCAGATCCCCACAGTGTCACCAACTCACTGAGTGACAGTGGGCCAGTCTTGTCCCCTCTGGCCTCGGTCTCTTCCCAAGTGTGTTGAGAGAACTGGCCTCTTGGGAAGGCCAGTTACTCATGGAATCAAGCTCCCTGGGTGCCAGTCCCCTGGTGCTGAGGACTGAGAATGACCCCAGACAGTAATGTGCTGGTTTGCCTAAACTTCTTGGATGAAGAAGAAGTGGAGAGAACATCCCTTGGCACTTGGAAGCAGCCGGGGAACACTTACAGTGTTACGCAGGGTGTGCCCTGGCGTCCATGCTCCTGCAGTATGGTGGAGGAGAGATACGTTCCACTTGGCCCCCCTACAGAAAATGACTTTTCACCAAAGGCGGCGGCATAAACGCTGCTTATCTGCCTCCCTGGTGTGCCCGGAACTCTCTTGATTTTAACTCCGAAAGTCTTGCATCCCAGAAAACTCAGTCCCAGGCAAGCCAGGATGGTTGGTGACCCTACTTCCAGTCCTCGATAAAAAACTGGGCACCCAAAGTGCACTGAGAGCAATTGCACCTGTGATGCCTGCAAGTCAGGTGCAAAGCAGGAGATACAAACCCATCCTGGGACCAGCAGCACCTGGAGGCTGAAATCACAGCAGAGAGGGGTGCCCCTGGCCACAGATTGCCTCCCAATTCGATCGTCAGAGAGGAGGAACTGGAGGTGCTCTCAGAATCCAGCCAAAGCCCAGTTGCTGAAGAGAACCGGACTGGCCTACAGACTCTGACTAGTGTTAGGATGTTGGCTTTGGGGGATCCGAAGGACAGATGCCCTTTCTATGCTGTGGGCTCCACTGTACTCATCAAACCCTCTTCTGCTCTCCAGAGATCAGAGTTAACAAGACGCCCTCCAGGAGGAGCCAGGGAGGAACTACCTGGCCCCGTGACCCCACCTGACTTCTGTAGCCAAACTCCAGAAGCCAGAGGGGCCAAACCAGGTTAGCACTCCCACCCCCGCCACGCCCCACTACCTTGGCTCTCAGGCGTAATTCTGACTGGCTGTGTGCCAGTCATGACCTTGGCCAGCCATGGCCACAGGGCCTGGCCCACTTCACAGGGCAGCTCGGGCTCCAGCCACCTCTGCTTCCAACATGGAGACAGGCCATCAGACGGCCACCAAGACAGGTCGCAGGCCTTGGACCTGAGAAATCACTTTCGAGGTAGTTTTATGGCAAACACAATTTCTGGGGCTGGAAGTCTCACCTCTGTTAATGAGGTGTCACTGGAGGGGTGTCCAGGACAGGCTTGGATGTCTGACAGGCACACACAACACCGAAACAGATGACACCCTGTATGGTGTAAAGCCAGCTCGGACGCCTCCTGCCTAATTCCCGGTGGCTGAGGGGACGACCTGTGGGAAATAGCACAAAGCAGTGACCTGTAAAATCAGGAGCCACAGGATGAAAACATTTTGTCACTGAGAAAATATGTTTATGCTCATTAGAACAACGTTTTTTGGGCTCATGTAGAATAAACATATTGGGTCGAATGTTGCTACAAGGTCTACATTTACAAAGAGGCAAGGAAGGTATGAAATTGCGGTCAGGAGCTGGCAAGCGTGAGAAATTACAGTGGGATGAGCTTCTCGCACTGCAAATTGGAAAATTCAGAGATGTGTGGCACGGCTGCGGAGGCCCAAACTTCTAAATGAAATTTATTATTTCTGTAAAATCTGGGAACAACATCTTCAGGGATAACAAATATAGAGAAAACATGATTTCAGCCTCGATATTTGGTCTCCTTGCAGACGGTTTTCATTAAAAAGGGCTTTATAAAAATGATAAAAATGTTACAGTTTGCTAAATTAAGTCTGAAGCAGCTCTATTTAATAATCTGGTGCATTTTAATCATTTTTTGAAAAGCCTGACATATTGAAAAGAACTTCAGACTTGAGCACCAAAAAAAGAAAAGGAAAAGAAAAAAAGGAAAATACTCTCAACTCATCTTGGGTTGTTTGTGCATTTCTAAACCTAAACTTGTCCCTCTCAATGGCAGTTAGTGCCAAGCGAGCAAGCATCTGTGACCCAGAATGCCAGACCTCCAGAGATTTTGTAGCTGTGACAGGGACCACATGACAATGGGTTATTTTTGTTCAATTGTCTCTCAGGAAACAAAGTCAAAAAGGATGGGTAATTACTCTGTTTCTACTTCTTGCCCCATAATGCAACATGCTTAGTAATGTGGGTACATAAGGAGGGAGGGCCTGGGGGGAGGCAAGAGGAAAAAACCGTAGTTTAAAGAATAGCATGAAGTTCTCCATGGAGTCTTTTGCCAAAGAACAGTGGAGAGGGCCTTCTGAGGGGTTCTCAGAAAAGGTGTTGGTTTGGGAGGAGGAAGTTGAATTTGAGAGGCCGCTGTGAGGAGCTGTAAGAGCAGTGAACTCATGCTACAGAAATCCAGAGCTGTGACATAATCTAGGGCTAAGGATTGGAAGCAGGGAAGGAAGGAAGGAAGGAAGGAAGGAAGGAAGGAAGGAAGGAAGGAAGGTTTGTTGAGAGAAGGGATAGGAGAATGCATGGGTGAATGGGTGAGTGGATGGATGCATGGATGGATAATGAGAGAATGGGTAGGAAAATGGGTGGATGGGTGGATGGATGAATGGATGGATGGATGGATGGATGGATGGATGAATGGTTAGATGGAGGGAGGGAGTGAGGGAGAAGGGAAGGGAGTGATAGTTGAGTGCATGGAGAAATGGTTGGATGGGTGGAAGAATAGATGAGTGGATAGACGGATGGATGGATGACTGGAATGGATGCATGGATGGATGGAGAAATGGCTGAATGCATGGAGGAATGATTGGATGTGTGGAGGAATGGATGAATGGATGGATGGATGGAAAGATGGATGGATGCATGGATAGATGGATGGATGGATATATGGATGGAGGGAGGGATAGATGGATGGATGGATGGTTGGATAGATGGCTGGATGGATGACAGAATGGATAAGAGAATGGATGGGTGGACGGGTGAGTGTATGGATGGAAAGTTAGATGGATGAAAGTTTTGGGTCCTGGTTGCCTGTCATGAAGGAAGGGCAGGTGCTTGTACTACCAATCCACCTGACACATGCCAAGCACTGAGTTCAGTATTGTGTTTCCTTGCTCAGTCTTCATCACAACCACGTCAATTTTAGGTGAGAAGATAAAGACTCAGAGCAGCAATGTGATGCAAGCAGCATGACACAGCCAGGTGGAGACTCACCTGGGCTTCCAAAGATTACATTCTGCTTTGGAATCCTGCAGCTTTCTCTGAAGCCATCCTCAAACCTGCAAATCTTTTTATTGTTAAAAATAATGCTTTTGGTTGATGGAAAGTTCTAGAACTCAGCTTTCTCGGTCTCTATCCTAGGATCTTTCTACAGCCTTATGATGTCCAGATCAAGGGCTGGGAAGCATGAGAGAGATGAGCTTTGGTGAGGAGTCAGTGGAAACGACATGAGGAAAAAATCCAGAAAATTGTGAATTGTGAGAGAGGAAGGTGATTGCAGCCAAGGTCCCTGGGACGGAGTTGGTGCTGGGCACAGGAGGATGGCCCCATATGGGTGGGGTCCAGGACACAGTGGATTAGAAGAGTGGAGTAAAGACTTGCTCCGAGAAGTGGAAATCCTTGTTTTTGGTTTTCTTCATGAGAAAGAAGATGGAAAGAGGTTCCCATGCTGCTGGATGGGAAGAGGTTCAGCCACAGGATACGTCCCACAAGACTTCCCGTATAGTGGGAGCAGTGGGGATGAAGCTGGAAGGCCTGGGCCAGCCCTCACCACATCCCTCCATGGGGGATGCCCTTGGAAAGCCACCCGACTTTCCTGGACCTCAGTTTCCTTCTCCCTAAAGTGGAGCCGACACTGTCTCCATGCTGGAGCCACTGCAAGGATGAAACGAGAGAGCGGATATGATTTGTCACTATCCATTTGTCACTGTCAAGAGCTCATTATGCAGATGGGGCCCAGGATCCTCTCCAAGCCCCAGAGCCTGCCTTTGTGCAACCCAGCCCAGAATCCACCCTCCCATCCCTACCCCTGCATCTACTCACCCTCCCCAAGCTGACTCTCAGGACCCTGGCAGCATCTGTGGGGGGAAGCAGACAAACCTCACCTTTGGCAAGTAGAGATGAACTGAGCCTGGAACAGTGTCAATCAGAGACCTTTCAGAAGCACCAGAGGCCATAGCTGGTGTTGAGGCCAAACCTGGAAGGGCTGCCCCTCCCTGGCAATAATGCTGCTGCACGGTTACCTCATTTGCCTTTGTTTTTCTTCTTTTTCCTTTTTAATTACCTTATTAAAGATTACTTAACTGCAAAGTAAAACCATCCCCAAGCTACTAAGTAGAATGTGACTCAGTTCCCAAGAGCAGGGTGGCCTGTGGGTGGGCGACTTCTGCAGGGATGTCACCCCTGGTCACCTGGAAATGGGGCTTCAGCTGAGACGAGCAGGAACATTTCCTCCAGTGCTGACCTTGCCTTCACCCCGTCCAGTGTCTGGGAGCCCCTCACCTCAGTTTACCCAGATGCAGATTCCGGTCCAATCAACACAGATAGAGGACCAGCCAAGTCCACGACTCCACATCATGCACTTGTAAACCGTCGACAGGTCACCCGTGAGATGAGAGTCTCCTCCCAGGTCTGGGCATTGCTAGGCTGGGAAACCTGTCTTCTGTCTTCCCTGACCTGACTGAGGAAAGTGTGGGGCAGGAAGAGGCAGGGCGGGCCTGTTGCTGAGGCTTTGTTCAGGGTCCACGCTGTATCCTTGGGCACAGTCATGGATCTACAGTTCCTCTGTGATTTTACTGAAAGGCCTTATGGTTCTGTCTCGTTCCCATGGCTGCCCAAGGGACCCTGTTAATTCAGTGCCTCTCTGGAAGCCAGAGATGACCTGTCTGCCTGCCTACTGGCTACCAGTTCAGCAGTCTCCGCAAGGCAGAAAGGAGGCTTGATTTCTGCTCCCAGGCCATCTGTTACCATGTTTCTTCTGGAATTTGGTGGGGAAGCACCAGGCAGCTTTGCCAGGGGACCTCCTGGGATGTTGATGATTCCTATTGGAAACCTTCAGCCTTAAATCTTGTTCTGTCCCAGAGGACTCCCAGACAGCTCTCCTGTCCCAGAGGACTCCGTAGGGTGCACAGCATGGGTGGAACAAAGGCCAAGGAACAAGGGCGACCCATCTGAGAGAGGCCCACAGGAGGCCCTGGGGGCCTGGAGAAGGAAAGGCCATTTCTGGCAGGGGCTGGGGAAGGCAAGAGGGTTTGAGGACGGTTTCTTGGAAGAGATGGTCTTTGAGCTGGGTCTTCAGGGGATGGGAGAGGTGCAGTGTCATTCTATCCTCACCCAGCAAGCACATCCACTCGGCCATACACTCCCCCAGGGGGACCAGCCAGGGAACTTGAGGGGCTTCTGGCAGCTGTGGGGGGCAGTGCTCACACAGGCTTCCAGCTCCCTTGGCCCCGCGACACAGGAGCTGCTGTAAGAACAGAAATTCTGCTCAATACCAAAGTTCTCTGTGCCTTTCCCCACGAAGAAGGCTCCAGTGGGTCAGTCAGACAAACCCATCCCAGGGGGCTGGGACACAACTTTACTAGAATGTCATTAAAAAACAACTTGTGTTAGTTTGTCATCTGTTATTACAAATCACTCAGCTTTCTGCTGCTACAAGCATCCCCGTGTCCAGATTTAATGAACTGCAGGGAGAAGTGGATGCCTCCCTCTCCCTGCAAGACGCCTTTCCCCATCTGCTAGGAAAGCTCCGTTTTGGGGCTGACACAGGCAGGCAAAGCCGAGGAGGGAGTGAGAAGTGAGGTCCCATCCCCAGCAGAAACCACATGGGCTCCACCCGTGTCAGATGTAGCTGGCTGCTGGCACCCTGGACCCTGAGTGAGACAGGTCTCATCAAAGCCTCGGCACCCCGGGGACCAGTGGCCATTGTTCCTATGCAGAGCAGAAATACTGAGCACCATCCACAGCTGGTTCCTGAAGCAGCAAGCCTCAGGTGCCAGAGGCAAACATCATGCTGCCTTGAAGCACCCCTGCCCTTGAACAGGGGTCTCCCCCAACTACGGCAGCTGCAGGCAGGAGTGCCCTGGCTGGTCACAGCCCTGTCCCTTCAGCCTGGTCCACTGCCATAGTGGCCCTCATTTACCCATCTCCTGGAGGTGAGCAGACAAGTGGTCTGGGAAGCCCTGTCTGCCCTGGGCCTAGGTGTACGAATCCTGCTGGAGCCCTGGCCCCTGGTGCCTGGCCAGAGGAGAGCAGCTGACAACCTACATGCACAGTGAGCACTGCCGTTTATGAGCGCAAGACACCAGGAGTGCAGCGGGCTCGGTGCTGGGGGCTGGTGGGGTTTCAGAGTGCCAGCGGGGTCTCATCACGCCTGAACCAAGTCATGACTCCTGCTTCTGGACTCCCACTGCTAGCGGGCTGGAGGAGCTGGGCGTGTGAATGGAGGCTTCTGCCAAGGGTGTTACCATGTCCTTCTGGGGCTGTGTGGGCACTTCCAACTCTGCAGAGTGTTCGTGCCTCAGTTTCTTGTTTCATTCTCAGGACAGCCACGTCAGGCTGGGGCTCACTAAGCCCTCTCCAGGGGAGACAGGGCACGTCTTGAGAGGCCACAGTCAGGCTGTGGCCAGCAAAGGAGGGGGTACTGCCCCGGCCTGTCTGCCCCAGGCCTGGATTTCTCCCGGGAGACCTTGCTGTCCCTAAGGGTTCCCGCTTGGGTTCAGGCACTTTTGACAACACCTTAGAAAGTCCAGCTCACGGAACGATTTGTCATCCTGCCCTAGACACGTACCTATTTCTCTTATTCCATCTCCACTGAAGCACAGGAAAGCACTTTCCTTGCAGGAAGCAGCCCCAAGAGGCTCGTTAGGAGGGCAGAGCGCCTGCCTGAAGTAATGAGCGGTTATCAGCTGAGCCATGCGGCCTGGCAGGGGGCTGGGCACATAAACGCTGTCACCTTGGTATCCACCTGCCGGCATTAGCATTCCCACCAGGTTCTCGGCCCCCTGCTGTGGGGCTACCACAGTCAGTGTGGCATTGGCTGCCGGAAGGCCCTGGGTGCCCAAAGCAGGTGGGAACGTGCACACCTGCCAGCGTGGGGGTGCCTGAGTGCCCTCAGCAGCCACGCAAGTAGTCTCTGCCCTGGGGGCCTGCGAGAGACACAGAAGGGGAGGAGTGAGAGGGTTTCCTGAGGTCAGAACCCCTGCAGCCCTCACCTGCCGCTCTGCCCAGAGCTGGGTTCCAGGCTGGGGGCTGTGCGCTTACAGACAGTCAGCACCTCCAAGCCCCACAGTGAGAGGCGGCAGCACCTCTGATGCCCGTGAACACTGGGACTCTGGGTGGTCTTGTCCCCGAGTCTGCCCCATAGGAAGGGGACGAAGAGGCAAGGCCAAGCCAGGTCTTCCAGGCCTCCCAGCCCACCGCCGGCCGGAGCATTGCAAATATCTGAGCTGAGAGGATCCTAATTTCAGTCTCTACCCTCTCTTCCCACAGCCCTGCAAGAAGACAGCCTCCAGGAATGAGGCATTCACTCCCAGCCCAGGTGCCCCTAAGTCTGAAGGTGAGGTGCAAGTTGGTCCATAGCCCCTGCCCATGTGCTCTGCTGCCTGGTGCCACATAGTGGGTGGGTGCTCAGGCCTGTGGGAGAGTAGGTCCTTCGAGGTGTGGTTATATACAGGGATGGAGAAAACACCAGAGCCAGGAGCCGGCCCCCTTAGGAAGGGGATGACCTCCAGTGCCCCCAGGAACCTGTCCCCGCTGTTCACTCCCAAACCTGGGAGCTGCAGGAGCACAGGTGGAATCCTGTTTTTTCTGGAGAAAGTGACTTTCGGCCTGATCCCAGGAGAGGGCAAACGTGCCAGAAAAACCTGCAGGGGCTCCCAGGAACTTGTTCCCAGAGGAAAGTGGGAGACAAGATGACCAGGTCGGAGGTGCTAACAGGATGCTGTCCTGGGTGCCTTGCTGGGTAGAAGGAGATGACCTCTAATTCAAGAACCTTCTCTGGCTCCTTCACCCCCTGGGAGCTTTGCAGACATGGGAGGGCAGTTCTCATGCCTGTCCTGAGCCCAACACCCCAGGCTTCCTGGCTCCAGGCTTCGACACATCTCCAGTCCTGAGACCCATTTCCATGTGACAGCGTGACCACCTGCTCTGGACAAGTTCCTGAGGCAGGTGCCCATATGTGGACGGACGGTGTCACCACCCTTCTGGGGGCCCGTGGGGCTCTCCTGCTCAGGCCCCTTCCTCTTGACAGGAGCCGCTGGCCTCATGCAGGCTGTTCCCGCCCCTCCTTAGTTCCCTCCAAGCCTCTCACTGGTTTCAGAGCCTGGATCGTCTGACATGTTTTCCCAACATTTGCTTCTCATTTCAAAGTGTAAACCTGGCAAGAGGCACACGGATCCCGTCAAAGAAGGTTCCGTGTTTTTTCTCCTCCTTATGTTCCTCTCAGCTTTCTGCCTTCTCCTTGCAAGGAAAAGTGGCTCTAAAGTTGATCTTGGGTGGTTGTTCTTAAATAACTGGGCCCGATGAGCTCCAAAGAAGCGAGTGGTACAAGCTTAAGTCTTTGGCAGGCTTTGGTTTCCCGTTGATTTTTCCAAAGATTTTCGTGCAGGGCGTTTTTTGGGCTCGTTAGATTTCTCTAGCCCTTGTTGACGGCTGTCCACGAATCACCACATTTATCATGGGCAGACTGGGGGCCCCACCACCTTTCCACCCTCCTCTGTTTACGGAGCCCAGCCACCCCAGCAGCTCGGAGCCCTGCCCCCCACCCCACCCCACTGCCCACCCCCTGGCAGGGCTGCGCCTGCATCTTCACCGTCTGCTGTATGCCGGGTTCTTCTCTTGGCATCCGGTGTAGACAGGACTTTGGGCTGTGAGTCAGAACTCCTCCACTTCCCAGCCAAGGTGGCAGAAAAGGAGAGGGGTGAGAGGATGCGGTCCCCAGGTTCAAAGCCCAGCTCCATCAAATGTAAACTGTGAGATCACATTTAACCTCACGGAACCTCCATGGTGTCATCTGTACAATGGGAATCATAACAGCACACATTACAGAACATTTCAGCAAAGATAAATGAGTGTCTGGCACAGGGCGAGCCACCCATAAAGGCAGGCACACTCGTTCTTTTCCTGTTTGTCATGCTATTCCAACACACAGAGCTTCCCAGTGCTATTCCAGCACACAGAGCTTCCCAGTGCTATTCCAACAAACAGAGCTTCCCAGTGCTATTCCAACAAACAGAGCTTCCCAGTGCTCTAATTTCTACTTATGTTGCTGGAGCCTCACACAAGGGGTGAGAATCTTGAGGGGTGAGTATTTCTGCAGGGCAAAGTGTTATTAAAACCAGGTGGACAAGCAATTAAGAGACAAACTCATCTTTAGCAAGCTACAGCAACTCTCCGAGCATGAGGTCTGTAAAGGGGTCCCCTCTGCTGCCAGCCTTCCAGGGGGCCCAAAGCAGGAGCAGGTAGGCATAAGGCTGGGGTGAGGGGAACAGACCCACGCCCACCCTTTCCCAAGAGGCTTCCCAAACAAACTGAGCCTTCATTCCCAGTTCCAAGGAAGCCAAAGGGCCCTTGCCCTGCCCCTCCACTGAGTCCAACTTAACTCATGACAGAGATGGGGAAACTGAGGCTGGGATGGCCCAGAGGCAACTGGGGAGCCACAGGCACAGCAGAAGGGCCACATCAGATGCAGGATCCCTCTAGCCAGCCGCTGGAGGCAGCAGCAACCTCCTTCACTAACTAAAGGTCAGACCAAATTGCCCAGGAAACAAAAGAGGTGCAGTTCCCTAACCTTTTGGGTTAATGAGGAGGAATATTTGATGTCATAAAACATTTCATTATGAAAGCAACCAGGAAAACCTTTCCTGAGGCATGGCCAACAGGCTTACCCAATTAGCAGGAACATGGCCCCACCCCCATCCTCACTGGCCCTCCCACTCCTGCGCCAAGAAGCCAAGCAGAGGCCTGGCCCAAACCGCAGCCTCTCGGCTGAGAAGGGTTGAGTGCAGGCCTCTGGCGCTCACTTGCTTTTTACCAGCGGCTCCACCTCCGCCCGTCTGCTTTTGTGCCTCACCTTGGGCTGGGCCCTGGGTCAGGGAGAGGAGTGGGATGCTGTTCCCTCCGTAGGGAAACTCCCGGGCTGATGAAGAGCAGGCTGGCATGGCTGGGCACAGATAAGTGCACAGAGGAATCTCCAGGGCCCACAGAGCCTGGCTGTGGCTCCAGGAGGGCTTCCTGGAGGGGGAGCTGAGTCTCCAGGTGGAGTAGAGACAGTTGGGTGGGGGAGTTTGCTGGAACCTCCTGGAAGCCAGGCCATGGGCTGTGACCTGGGCTCCACCTATCTGATGCCTTTCCACTCTGGGTGCCCCTACACGTCCTTTACCCCTGCGGCAAGAGGGGCCGTCTCTGCTGTTTGCAGCCAAGGACCTTGCTGGATCCAGGGAGTCTCCTACCCTCTGGAGACCTGGGTGCAGCGCTTTCTCCTGCTTGGCCTCTCTGTCTTCTCCCTCAGCTGCCTCCTCCTCCATCCTGCTCTCTCCCCACCCACAGTGGAAGACCCGGTTTCCCCAGCACCCTCTCCCTTCCACGTAAGCCCCCAGGCCCTGGTCCACGTCTTCACTGAGGCCAAGGAAAGAGAGAAGCCACCTTGGAAGGAGCGTGCAGTCCCCGGGCAGCAAAGGGGAGGAGAAGAGAGTGAGGCCAGGAAGGAATGAGGCCAGTGAGGAGAGGGCAGGTGGTCCTGAGCTCACCAGGCACCTTGAGGCTCGAGTCTTTGCTCTCTGAGGCCTTGAAGGATATCAGGGAAGCAGCGTGAACCTGCGGCGGGAAGAGGCCTTCCTGTGGGTCCCTGGGGTGGCGCTTCGTGTGTGCCCAGGTTGTACACCTGGGGTGTGGGCAGGTCCTGCTGGGTCTTGGCAGAAGCTGGGCAGGGATGCCCAGGCCTGTGCTGAACGCATCCGGGAGCAGCATAGCAACTCGCCTGTGCAGCCTCTGAGCAGCCAGCCTCCGAGGCCTCTCCAGCAGAGCTGAGGCAAGGCTGCCCAGCTCCTCCATGAGGGTCTTCTCGGGTGGATACTGAGAGCACCAAAGTGGCCCCATAGCCGAGAGGCTCGGTCCTGGACTCAGCCCCACCCCGGGTCCCGCAGCCTCAGTCTCCCTCTTAGTTCTGCGTGAGCCCTGCTGTCAGGCGCCTCCTTCCTCCGCTCCTCTGTGCCCCCAGCCTGGGGTCGGTACAGCCGCTGCTGGGGGGACTGCAGGCACTGACTCAGCCGGCCCCTCAAAAGCCTCTTGGGGCCCATGAGAGCTTTTCCCTCCTGACTTCCAGCCCTGTGGTCCTTACTCCCCACGGAGAGTCAGCTTGTGACAGGAGCTCAGAGGACCCTAGCAGTGACCTAGCCACAGCTCCCAGTCATGGGAGAGACCTCAGGGCCCTACGCTGTGTCTCCCTTCCTTCCAAGCCCACTGCTCATGGCATTTCCCTCAGGCCACCTCTGAGCTGAGCCCACCTGAGCTCACTTGCAATTATCTGTGCCCACCTGCACCCATCATGAGTCAGAGCCACTCCCTTCTCAGGCACTGGCCATACCCAGCGGTAAACAAAGAGTCTGTTATAAGCGAAGCAGTCTGGAAGGCCAAATGTCTTCTATATAAACTTACTTTCTTAGAAGGGGATTGAAAACACATTTGAAAATCTTTGTCCTGAATAAAAAATGCTCCGGCAGCTGTCTCTGGATGGGCCGTGTTGTTTGTGCCTTCCAATGATATCTGGACTAGACTATGTCACCCCACAGCCGACCCCAGTGCTGACCACAGGTCAGAGCAGGCCGTGGCTGGGCAGGGGGCAGGGGGCAGGGGGCAGGGGGCAGGGGGTGGGGGGCACAGAGTGGAGCGATGCCTGCCCTCCGTATATGTCGGGGCACACAGCCGCGCTCTCAGCCTGGCAACATGCACCCACCCTCATTTGGCCCCAACTAGCATCCGCAGCTTGTGTCTCCTCTCTCCCCTGCAAGTTGCCCCATCAAACTGGAAAAGGAAACACAGATGTCCTCTCCCACCTCTGTGCCTTTCCCTGCCCTCCCTTCCTCCCCTTTCCCAAGAAGCAATTTGGGATGGCTGTGGCCTGCTGAAGGCGGAGCAGCCCCAGAAGTCCAGGTCCACGGTCTGTGCATCCAGGGACACTGCCTTGGGCCATCACCATGTGGACATCTTTTTAATCCTCTGGGCAGTGAGACTGTGAGCTCCTGGGGAGGCGAAGGGCTCATTTCCTAACTGTGTGTTTTGGGGTTGGTAAAACGTGTGACACCTCATCAGCATGAGAATCGCTACAGGTTATCTTCTTCCTTTAAGAGATGGCAGACTCAGCCGGGCATGGCGGCTCACACCTGTAATCCCAGCACTTTGGGAGGCCAAGGTGGGCAGATCACTTGAGTTCAAGAGTTCGAGACCAGCCTGGCCAATATGGTGAAACCCCGTCTCTACTGAAAATACAAAAATTAGCCGGGCGTGGTGGCGGTCACCTGTAATCCCAGCTACTCAGGAGGCTGAGGCAGGAGAATCACTTGAACCCGGAAGGTGGAGGTCGCAGTGAGCCAAGATCGAGCCACTGCACTCTAGCCTGTGCAACAGAGCCAGACTCCATCTCAAAGAAAAAAAAAAGATGGCGGACTCCAGAGCTCAGAGAGCTTAAGCATCCACCTCTAGATCACACAGCAGGTGGCAGGGCCAGAACTCAGACTCCATCCTCAAGGCTCCTGCTCGTCCCCTAACTCTGCCCCGGACGGTCTCCTCTCTGAGTGTGAGACAGGTGAAGGAAGGCACCATGTTTATGGCAAGATCCTAGACCCCAGATCTCCTATCCCCACCCCCAAATCTGGACCTGGAGTCCGAGCTGCAAGCCTGCAGCAGGCCTCCCAGCAACCTGTGATTAATTTTCCTGTCCTCATTAATTCCCAGATTTCTCCCGCTCATTACAAGGTGGCAAGGCAGTGGGCAACGTGCTGGGGCCGCCTGCCTGTCTGGCTGTGAGAGCAGTTCTGAGAAGGCCTGGCGCTCCTCATTGCCTTGCCCAAGCTCAGATGGGCTCATTAGAGGGAATGGAATCGAGGATCCCAGGGTAGGTGGAGGCGTGCTGTCCTCCAGGGAGCCATGCAGGCAGGACTTTTCAGAAGGAAAACATCCCTGAGAAGCAAGGGGGTGCAGAGAACCCTGTTCGAGCTGGAGAGCGGGGGCTCCATTCACAGGGCAGCAGGGAGAAGTGGGCCAGGGCCAGGCCTCCAGGACATGGGAACCATCCTGGGGAGGGTTCTGGCTCCTTCCCCCAGTGTTGTATTGTAAGTGACATTTTCTTGGAAGAGCAGCCCGGGTGCCCTGCCCCAGCCACCCATCTCAGGTAGGGGTCTTGGCTGGCACTTGTTCTCCATCCCACTCCCGCTGTGGGCTGAGCCCATCCCCTCTTTGGTGAGTGAGACTCCGGCCTCCTCCCTGGCCTCAGTCTGCAGTCTCAACCCTGCCAGATCCTTGTCCGTTTGGGGCTTCCAAAGAGAGCCCTCTAGAACGGTCCTGGCTCCCCGTGCCCCCAGGACAAGCTCAATCTTCTGGGTTTCATGCTCAGCCCTCCAGGGCTTTGCCTGGGGCCTCAGGACTCCCCACACAGCTCAGCCTCCAGTCAAGTGACTTCCCTCCAGCCTCTTCCACTCATGGCCTTTGCTCATGCCATCCCGGATTCCTGGATCCATCTCACGAAGGAAGCACTGGACCACCTCCTCCAGCAGCCAGCTCTCCTGGGCACTGCTGGAACCCTGCTTGCTGGGCCCTCACCTACCCTTGATCCAGGCGTGCCTCGTGCCTGTCCTGGCCTGGTCTTTGCTGTGACTCTTTGCACACTTGTATCTCCACCCCCTACTGAGAGTTTCTCTCTGGATCCCTAACAAAACCCAGCTTACGCCTCATACACAGCAGGGGCATAATAAGCAATGATGGCATGAGTTGGCAAGGCCTTCTCACTACTCATTCCCTGGACATGGTTCCTGCTTCTGCCTCTCTGTGCTTCAGAGATAGCCCCACACAATGCACCCCTTTCCTGGAGGGCGTGGGCCACCTGCACACCCTTCTGAGCCTGGAAGATGGCATGCGCTTTCAAAGAGCCGAAACTGAGAGGAGGCATGGGGAGGTGACCCTGGCATCCTGCTTCCCCACTGCATCCCAACACATATGACCTTGATTTGGAGAAGCGGTGAGCTGGACCAGGACTGCCTGTAGGCCTGGCTCCAGCCCTAGATGTCAGCCACTTCCTCGAGGGCTTCAGGATCCTCATGCGAGCTGGGAGGAAGAGTCACCAACTTCTCGGGCCCCATCCTCAATGCCGTCCCGGTGTTCTGCACTGTGCCCCGCTCACACGGGGTGGGGGCTCAGGCTTGGGTGGTGTACTGGTTTCCCTGTGCTGCGGTGACAAAGGACCCACACTTAGTGGCTTTACAACAAAGCAAATGTCTTGCCTTACAGTGCGGAGGACAGGTCTGAAATGGACGGCACGTGCTGGGCTTTCTGGAGGCTGGAAGGGGAAATTCATTTCCTGCTTGTTCCAGTTCCTAGAGGCCACTCACATCCCTCGGCCAGTGGCCCTTTCCCCGCCTTCAAAGCCAGCAATGACCGGTCAAGCCTTTCCCACATCACGTGGCTCTGACCTTGCAATTCTTGCCTCACTCGTCATTTTAGGAGGACTCCTGTGATGACATCAAACCCACCAGGTGATCCAGGCTCATCTCTCCAACTCAAAAGATCCTCAGCTTAATCACACCTGCAAAGTCCCTTCAACCTGCAGGATCACATCTGTACAGGTCGAGGAAACGGCTTAGGTATCTTGGGAGACATTATTCTGCGGAGCACAACCTGGCCCTGCTGGGGAGTTGTTTCAGAAAGCCTGGAGGCAGCCAGGAGTGGTGGCTCACGCCTGTAATCCCAGCACTTTGGGAAGTTGAGGCAGGTGGCTCACGAGGTCAAGAGATCGAGACCATCCTGGCCAACATGGTGAAACCCCATCTCTACTAAAAATACAAAAAATTAGCTAGGCGTGGTGGCGGGCACCTGTAGTCCCAGCTACTCGGGAGGCTGAGGCAGGAGAATGGCGTGAATCCGGGAGGCGGAGCTTGCAGTGAGCCGAGATCGCACCACTGCACTCCAGCCTGGGCGACAGAGCGAGACTCCATCTCAAAAAAAAAAAAAGAAGGAAAGCCTGGAGACTTGAGCATGTAGGCCCACGGGCAGGCGCTGGGGACTCGGAACCACACCTCTGAGAAGGTGCTTCTGGAGAAAGCGCCAGCATGGGGAGGCACAGCCGGCAGGAGTGCCTGGTCAGTCAGAGCCGAGCGCGTCTTCTCTGAACCAGGGAGCAACGCCGCTGGAGACCACAAGGGCAGGGAGAGGAGCCCGAATGACAGGGGCAGTTCTGGAGGCCTGGCATCTTCTGGGAGCCCTGTGCCCGCAGGGCTCACACCACTGTGCCGAAGCCCTGTCCCCTGGCCGGAGACAGCCCAGTTGACCCCATGGCCACTGAGCAGCCATCAAAGTGGGGGCCTGCCAGGAACTCCCCTCCCTCCGTCTGTCCTGGTCCACCTCGGCCACGCTGACAGCCTTTCCTCACAGGGGTCTGGGTTTCCTTCGACCCTCATGATCATTTCAAGCAAACTGGATCTGTGACTTCTCAACCCAGGCACCTAAAAATCAACGTCCTCCATGGTGGCTTTATCTCTAATCTGATATCTCGTGTGTTGCAGGCATGATGTCCACCTAGGCAGGCCCATGGAGCCTCCCCATCAGCACTGCAGTTGGCCACAGGCAGGTTGTAGGCCAAGCTCGCCAGGCCTGGCGTCCTCAGTCTGCCTAGGGAATGTTCCCATCAGCTCGGGCACACACGTGTCTTTTCTGAGGTAAATTCTGCCTCTTCTGTCATTGACTGTTGAGATGAGGCCCGCAGAACATGGCTCCACCTCACCTCCTCCAAGCTCCCCTGAGCTCCCCTCCACCTCCAATGGCCCCAGGTGTTTTTGCTCTGCCTCCTCCACTGGACCATGTGGTCCTAAAGGCAGGATGATCTGCCCCGCCATCATCCCCACTGCAGCACACGTCAAACATCCTTCCTTTTTAATGGCTGAATAATATTCCATTGTAGAGATCTACTACATTTTGCTTATTCAATAATCTTTTGATGGACCTTTGGGTGGTTTCCACTTTTTTTTACATTCCTAGCAGTGATGATGGTTTCTGAGGAAGCCAGAATGCCCCTCTCCTCCTGCCCTTGGACATCAGGACTCTAGGTTCTCCAGCTTTTGGAGTCTGGGACTAGACTAGTGGCCAACCTGGTTTCTCAGACTTGTGGCCTCAGACTTAGAATCATACCATAGCTTTCCTGGTTCTGAGCTCTTCACACCTACACTGAGCCACAGTTCCTGCTACCCTGGGTCTCCAGCTTAGGGACAGCCTATTGTGGGACTTCTCGGCCCCCATAATCAGGTGAGCCAATCCCCCTAATAAACCTTCTCTCATATATCTCTTTCTGCATCTCTCCTATCAGCTCTATGTCTTTGGAGAACCCTGACTAAAACACGTGGTATTGTATAGTATTTGTCCTTCTATGTCTGGCTTATTTCACTTAGCATAATATCCTCCAGGTTCACCCATGTTGTTGCAAAGGGCAGGATTTCCTTCTGTTTTAAGGCTGAATGATATTTCATTGTGTTTGTATACAACATTCTCTTTATCCATTCATCCATCAATGGACAGTTAGTTTGCTTACATGTTTTGGCTATTGTGAAAATGCTGTAATGAACATAGTAGCACAGATATCTCTATGAGATCCTGATCTCAATTCCTATGGACAGATATCCAGAAGTGGGATTGTTGGGTCATACTGTCATTCTATTTTTAATATTTTGAGGAACTCTATATGATTTTCCATAATAATTTTACTGATTTACATTAATGCCATCCAATTGCTGGGGGCCAGAAGGAACAAAAAGTTAGAAAAAGGGCAAATTCTTGACATACTGTTTTGATTACTGTAGCTGTGTAATACATTTTGAGATAAGGAAGTGTGGTGTCTCTAGCTTTCATCTTCTTGCTCAAAATTACTTTGGCTATGTGGGGTATTCTATGGTTTCATATGAATTTTAGGGTTTTTTTTCTATTTCTGTAAAATATCCCATTGGGATTTTAACAAGAATTGCCTTGAATCTATAGACTACTTTGGGTTTTATGGGCATTTTGACAATAATATTTTTTCCAGTCCATGAAAACAGAGTGACTTTATTTGTGTCTACTTTAATTTCTTTCATCAATGTTTTATAGTTTTTAGTGTACAAGTCTTTCACCTCCTTGGTTAAGTTCATTCTTTTTTTTATTTAAGTTCTGGGGTACACGTCCAGAACATGCAGTTTCGTTACATACGTATACACTCGCCATGGTGGTTTATTGCACCCATCAACCCGTGACCTACATTAGGTATTTCTCCTAATGTTATCCCTCCCCTAGCCCTCCACCCCACAGCAGGCCCTGGTGTATGATGTTCCCCTTTCTGTGTCCATGTGTTCTCATTGTTCAACTCCCTCTTATGAGTGAGAACATGCAGTGTTTGGTTTTCTGTTCTTGTGTTAGTTTGCTCAGAATGATGATTCCCAGCTTCATCCATGACCCTGCAAAGGACATGAACTCAGCCTTTTTTATGGCTGCATAGTATTCCATGGTGTACATGTGCCACATTTTCTTTATCCAGTCTCTCCTTGATGGGCATTTGGGTTGGTTCCAAGTCTTTGCTATTGTGAATAGTGCCTCAGAACATATACATGTTTATGTGTTTTTATAGTAGAATGATTTATAATTCTTTGGGTATATACTCTGTAATGGGATTGCTTGGTCAAATGATATTTCTGGTTCTAGATCATCGAGGAATTGCCACACTGTCTTCCACAATGGTTGAACTAATTTACACTCCCACCAACAGTGTAAAAGTGTTCCTATTTCTCCCCATCCTCTCCAGCATCTGTTGGTTCCTGACTTTTTAATGATTGCCATTCTAACTGGCAATCATTAAATAGTATCTCATTGTGGTTTTGATTTGCCTTTCTCTAATGACCAGTGATGATGACCTTTTTTTCATGTTTATTGGCTGCATAAATGTCTTCTTTTGCGAAGTGTCTGTTCATATCCTTCTCTCACTTTTTGATGGGGTTGTTTGTTTTTTTCTTGTCAATTTGTTTAAGTTCTTTGTAGATTCTGGATATTAGCTATTTGTCAGCCCTTTCATTTCTTCTTGTCTAATTTCTCTGGCTAGGATTCCTAGCACTACATTGAATAGAAGTGGCAAAAATAATTGCAAAAATTTTCTTTCATTCTGTAGGTTGCCTGTTCACTCTGTTGATAGTTTCTTTTGCTGTGTGAAGCTCTTTAGTTTAATTACATCCCGTTTGTCAATTTTGGCTTTTGTTGCCATTGCTTTTGGTGTTTTAGTCATGAAGTCTCAGCCCATGCCTATGTCCTGAATGGTGTTGCCTAGGTTTTCTTCTAGGGTTTTTATGGTTTTAGGTCTGATGTTTAAGTCTTTAATCCATCTTGAGTTAATTTTTGTATAAGGTATAAGGAGGGGATCTGGTTTCAGTTTTGTGCATGTGGCTAGCCAGTTTTCCCAACACCATTTATAAAATAGGGAATCCTTTCCCCATTGCTTGTTTTTGTCAGGTTTGTCAAAGATCAGATGGTTGTAGATGTGTGGTGTTATTTCTGAGGCAACTGTTCTGTTCCATTTGTCTATATATCTATTTTGGTACCAGTACCATGCTGTTTTGGTTACCGTAGCCTTGTAGTATAGTTTGAAGTCAGGTAGCATGATGCCTCCAGCTTTGTTCTTTTTGCTTAGGATTGTCTTGGCTATGAGGGCTCTTTCTTGGTTCCACAGGAAATTTAAAGTAGTTTTTTTTCCAAATCTGTGAAGAAAATCAGTGGTAACTTGATGGGGGTAGCATTGAATCTACAAATTACTTTGGGCAGTATGGCCATTTTCACAGTATTTTTTCTTCCTATCTGTGATTCTTCCTATCCATTTATGGATCCATAAATCCATGAATAATAAGTATTTTATTCCTTTTGGATGCTTTTACAAATGGGATTGCTTTCTTCATTTCCTTCTTAAATAGATCATTGTTAATGCATAGAAACAACTTATTTTCGTATGCTGATTTTGTGTCCTGAGTTTACTGAATTCATTTATTAGTTATTTTGTTGAGTCTTCAGGGCTTTCTCCATATAAGATTACATCATCTGCAAAAAGACCATGATTTTACTTCTCCCTTTATGATTTGGATGACTTTCATTTCTTCTTGCCCAATTTCTCTGGCTAGGATTCCTAGCACTACATTGAATAGAAGTGGCAAGAATAATCATTCTTGTCTTGTTCCAGATCTTGGAGGAAAAGCTTTCCGGTTTTTACCATTTAGTATGATGTTAGCGGTGGTATTTTCACATATGGCCTTTATTGTGCTGAAATAAGTTCCTTCTTTACCTAATTTGTTGAGAGTTTTTATTACTAGAGGATGTTGGATTTTGTCAAATGCTTTTCTGCATTTATTAAGAAGATCATGTACTTTTTATCATGTGATTATTCTGTTAAAGTGTTGTATCCCATTGATTGATTTGCATATGTTGAAGTATACATTCATCCCAGGGTAGATATCACTCGATCGTGGTATATGATCCTTTTAATGTGTTGTTAAATTTGGTTTGCTAATATTTTCTTGAGGATTTTTATATTCATTTTCATCAGGGCTATTGGCCAATTGTTTTCTTTCCTTGTGTTCTCTTTGTCTGGTTTTTGTGTCAGGATGACTCTGGCCTCATAAAATGAGTTTGGAGCTGTTCCCTCTTTTTTTTTTTTTAGAAGAGTTTAAGAAGGATTGGTATTAATTCTTCTTTAAATGTTTGGTAGATTTTACCTGTGAAGAAACCTGGCCCTGGGACTTTTTTTTTCTTGGGAGGTTTTTGATTACTGATTTTATCTCCTTGTTTGCTATTGTCCTGTTCAGGCTTCCTGTTTCTTGATTCAGCCTTGGTAGGTTGTATATTTACAGGAATTTATCCACTTCTAGGTTGTCCAATTTGTTGGCATATAATTGTTCATGATAGTCTCATAATTTTTTTATGTCTGTGGCATCGTTGTGATATCTTGCCTCTCATTTCTGATTTCATTTATTTGAGTCTTTTTCCTTTTCTCTTAGCCTACCTAAGGGTTTGTTGATTTTGTTGATATTTTCCCAAACTAACTCTTATTGTTGAATTTTTTCTATTTTTTTAATTCTCTATTTGATTTATTTCTGCTCTACTCTTTGGTATTTCCTTCTTTCTGCTAACTTTGGACTTAATTTGTTCATATTTTTCTCATTCCTCAAGGTGTAAAGTTAGGTTGTTTATTTGAGATCTTTCTTTCGTTTTAATATAGGCATCTGTTGTTATAACTTCCCTCTTAGTATTGCCTTTGCTGTATCCCATACATTTTGTTACATTGTATTTTCATTTTTATTTGTTTTGAGATACTTTCTAATTTCCCCTTTGAATTCTTCTTTGGCCCAATGGTTGTTCAAGAGTGTTTTGTTTACTTTCTGTGTATTTGGGAATTTTGCCTTCTTCCTTGTGTTACTGACTTCTGGTCTCGTTCCATTGTAGTTGGAAAAGGAACTTGGAATGATTTCAATCTTCTTAAATTTGTTAAGACTTCTTTTGTGACCTAGAATGTGATCTCTCCTGGAGAATTTCCTGTGTGTGCTTGAGAAGAATGTGTGTTCTACTTCTACTGGGTAGAATGTTGTGTGTGTGATAGGTCCACTTACCCTATAATGTTTGACACTGCTCTTTCTTTATTGATTTTGTGTTTGGATGATCTATCTGCTACTGAAATTAGGGTATTGAAGTCTCCTGCTCTTATTGTATGCTCTCTATTTCTCCTCTCAAATTGTCAGTATTTGCTTTACATATTTAGGTGCTCTGATATTAGGTGCATACACATTTATTATATATATGTATGTACATATATATGTATATACACACGTATATATACTCCCTTTTATCATTTTATAATTTCCTTCCTTGTTTCTTGTGGTACTTTTTTACTTAAACTCTATTTTGTCTGATCTAAGTGTGGCCACCCCTGCTACATTTTGGTTACCATTTGCATGAAATATCTTTTTGCAATACCTTCACTTTCAGCATTTGTGTGTCCTTAAATCTAAGGTAAATATCTTATAGACAGTAATAGTTGGATTGGGTTTTTTTAATTCATTCAGCCATGCTACATATTTTGATTAGTGCGTTTAATCCATTTCTACATAAGATGATTGTTGCTAGGTAAGGAGTTACTATTGCCACTTGTTAATTTTTTTCTGTCTGTTTTGTAGTTATTTCGTTTCTCTTTTCTCATCTTGCTGCTTTCTAATTTGATGGTTTGATGGTAATATACTTTGATCTTTCTTTGTATCTAAGTTTTTTTCTTTGTGTTTACCATGAGGCTTGCATGAAACTTCTTATAGTTGTAACAGTCTATTTAAGCCAATAACAACTTGAATTCAATTACATGTAGAAAAACTCCTCCTCCAACGTGTGCATACACTTTAAGTTATTGATGTTGGAATTCACTTTTTTTTTTTTTTTTTTTTGGAGACAGAGTCTCGCTCTGTCACCCAGGCTGTAGTGCAGTGGCACAATCTCGGCTCACTGCAACCTCCGCCTCCTGGGTGCAAGTGATTCTCCTGCCTCAGCCTCTCGAGTAGCTGGGATTATAGGCATGAACCACCATGCCCCGCTAATTTTTTGTATTTTTAGTAGAGATGGGGTTTCACCATGTTAGCCAGGCTGGTTTTGAGCTCCTGACCTTAAGTGATACACCCGCATCAGCTTCCCAAAGTGCTGGGATTATAGGCATGAGCCACTGCGCCCAGCAGGAATTCACTTTTTATATTTTGCTTCCATTAAGAAATTTTTATGGTTATAGTTTTTCTTAGTATTTAATCTTTTAACTTTTATACTAGAGTTAGAAGTGATTTTACATACCTCCATTACAGTATTACATTATTCTGTATTTGTCTATATATTTGCCTTTGTCAGTGAGATCCACACTTTCATATGCTTTCATGTTGCTGTTTAACATCCTGTTATTTCAACCTGAACTCTTACCTTAGCACTGCTCATATAGCAGATCTAGTGGTGACAAAATTCCTTAATTTGTGTTTATCTGGGAAAGTCTTCGTCTTCCTTAATTTTTAACAGACAGTGTTTGGGTATAGTATTCTTGATTGGCAGTTTTATTTCCTCAGCACTTTGAATATATCATTCCACTCTTGTGTGCTGCAAGGTTTCTGCTGAGAAATCTGCTGATAGCCTTATGAGGATTCCCTTGTATGTGATAAGTCACTTTTCACTTAAAATTCTCTGAGAAGGCTGGAGAAGTTGGACACTCACTTTGATCTATCTTTTCCTCACAGGAGAACTTGTAGACCAACAAGCTCTCTCTTGGTGCTGCACTCTGTGAGCTTGTAAGAGAAGCGATGCAGGTCAAGTGAAACTATTTTTACCCTTTTCAATGCATTATTTCTCATTTCTGTGCTCCATCAGGATGGTACTCTCACCTGCATCCTGGAGCTCTTATAAAGGTATATCCAGTTCTATAAACACCATTTGTTGAAAAGACCTGTTTTTGTCCCATTGAATTTTCTTGGTCCCCTTTCCAAAAGTCATAAATGCAAAGGCTAATTTCTGTATTCTCAAATCCATTCTATTGATCTATATGGCTATTCTTATATAGTGCCACATTCTTGATTACTGTAGCTTTGTAGTAAATTTTGAAATCAGGAAGTGTGAGTCCTTCAACTTTTTTTTTCTCTTTCAGAATTGTTTTGGCTAGTCCAGGCTCTTGCATTTCCATATGGATTGTAAGATCAGCCTGTCAATGTCTGCAAAACCCAGCTAGGATTTTCATAGATATTGCATTGAATCTGTATCAATTTGGGGAATGTAGCCATTTTAACAATATTAGCACTTATAATCTCTGAACTTGGGTTATTTTTCCATTTATTTAAGACTTCATTAATTTCTTTCAATATTTTATAGTTTTCTATGTATTATCCTTATACTTCTTCTGTTAGATTCATTCCTATGCATTTTATCCTTTTTGCTACGATTGCAAGTTAATCGTTTTCTTAATTTCATTTTTTGTTTGTTCAATGCTATTGTAAAGAAGTAAAATTGATTTCTGCATATTCATTTTGTAGCCTGCAACCTTGCCAAATGCATTTATTAGGTCTAATTGTGTGTGTGTGTATGTGTGTGTGTGTGTTCTGTAGGATTTTCCATATACAAGAGTATATCAGTTGTAAATAGAGATTGTATTCCTTGACAATCTGAATGCCTTTATTTCTATTTCTTGCTTAATTTCTCGGCTAAAACCTTCAGTGTAATGTTGAGTAGAAGTGAAGATAGTGGGCATCCTTGTCTTCTTCCTGACCCTAGAGAGAAAGCTTTCGGTGTTTCACTATTAAACATGACAGTTGTTGTGGGATTTTTCTAGATGCCATTTATTAGCTTGAGAAAGCTCTCTTGTATTCCAAGTTTATTAAGTGAAACAACATGTAAAGGAGTTATGAAATGGTGTTAGAATTTTGCCATTCTTTTTTGTATCTATCAAGATGAACATGTATTTTTTATTCTTTATTCTACGAATATGGTGTATTACATTGATAAACTCTTGGATGTTAAAGCAACCTTGCAGTCCTGGGATTAATCTTACTTTTTCATAATATATATATATATATATATATATATATATATATATATATATATATATATTTTGTTTCTAGAATTGCTTTGCTAGTATTTTGTAGAGAATGCTTGCATCTATGTCATAAGAGATATTGATCTGTGGTTTTATTGGCTTGTGATGTTTTTGTCGGGCTGTGGTATAAGGGTAATTAATATAAAATAAGTTAGGAGATGTTTGTCCTTCTATTTTTAAAAGACTTTGTGAATGGTGTTAACGCTTCTTTAAGATTCAAGGAAGCCACCAAGTCCTGGGCCTTTCTTTGTGGCAAATATAATGTTGTTATTATTATTATGAATTTAACCTCTTTATTTATTATAGATTTACTCAACATTTTTATTGCTTACTGAGTTGGTTTCAGTAGTGCATGTCTTTTGTTTTTTTTTGAGATGGCCTCTTACTGTGTCACCCAGGCTGGAGTGTGGTAGCACAATCTCGGCTCACTGCAGCCTCCGTCTCGTGGGTTCAAGTGATTCCCCTGCCTCAGCCTCCTGAGTAGCTGAGATTGCAGGTGCCTACTACTACGCCCAGCTAATTTTTGTATTTTTAGTAGAGACAGAGTTTCACTATGTTGGCCAGGCTGGTCTTGAACTCCTGACCTCAAGTGATCTGCCTGCTTGGGACTCCCACAGTGCCGGGATTACAGGCGTGAGCCACCACTCCTGGCCAGTAGTTCACATCTTTATAGGAATTTGTACATTTTTTCTAGGTTACCAAATTTGTGGGCATTTTTTTTATTGTATTTCCTTATCTTCCTTATTTCTGTAAAATTGATACTAATATCCTCTCTTCCATTTCCAACTTTAGTAACTTAAGTCTTTTTTTTTTCCTTGATGAGTCTAGCTAAAGGTTGGTCAGTGTTGTCAGTCTTTCAAAGAACCAACATTTGGCTTCACTGACTTTCTCTTACTTTTCTATTCTCTGTTTCATTAACTTCACCTCTAATCTTGATGATGTGCCTTCTTATTCTTGCTTTGGGTTTCATTTACCTAGTTTCTTAAAATTGGAGTTTAGATTATTGACATAAGACCTTCCTTCTTTTTTAACATCAACATTTATAACCATAAGTTTGCCTCTAAGCATTGCTTTAACTGCATCCCGTGAGTCGGAGTGCCTCAACACACACGCACACACACACACACACACACACACAGAGAGACACATACACACATACACACAGCACACACACAGAGAGAGAGAGAGAGCTCCTTGGCAAAGACTGAGAGAGCACATTCTAGCATTAAAATGTCCAGCCAGGCAGTTCTGCCTTAGCCTTTCCTTTTTTGTTTGTTTGTTTTTAGAGGGACTTTCGCTCTGTTGCCCTGGCTGGAGTACATTGGCGTGATCTCGGCTCACTGCAACGTCCGCCTCCCGGGTTCAAGCAATTCTCCTGCCTCAGCCTCCCGAGTAGCTGGGATTACAGGTGCCTGCCACCAGGCCCAGACAATTTTTGTATTTTCAGTAGAGACGGGGTTTCACCATGTTGGCCAAGCTGGTCTCAAATTGTTGACCTCAGGTGATCCCCGGCCTTGGCCTCTCAAAGTGCTGAGCCTTTACTTCTTACTTCTGTAGAGCCTCAAGACCAGCCAGAGGTAGAGGTGAGAGCTCAGGCCTTTCCTGAACATGCACATGGCCTTCTGGATTCCTGGAAAGATGTTGGTTCGCAGCTCCTGTAGACGTGTCATTCCCCAGCTTTGTAATTTGAAGCTTGTTGGCTACCCTATTGTTTCGCAAACTCTTACCCACTGCTTTGGTTACCATGAAGCTAAACATTTGCCTATAAATGTTTCCAATAAATGCCCCACTGAAAATGCTTTTTGTACCAGGAGAACTCCAAGTCAGGTCAAATAAAGACAACCTTGCAAGTGGGTTTAGTGAACCATCAGACTTCAAGTAATGACAATTCTGTTAATGAGGCTTTGAAGTTGCTTCTAGCCATTTTTCCTTTCTGGCGGCTGCCAAGCTATTAGTCTTCACCCTGATAGTGGGTTATTGGTTTTCAAGTCTACCACAGGGCTGGGGAGTGTGGCATGGGGATAGAGTAAGTTAAAGTGCTGCAAGGCTTGTTCTTTGTAAGATTCTGCCGGTTTGCTTGAATAAATCCTCCTAGAATTGTTGCAGGCCTATGGTCAATTTCCAGAACTTTGAAATCGTTGATGCTGCCAATTTTTGCCGGTATTCTCATTGTTTTCAAGGAGACACTTTTTGGAGGTCCTGACTCTGCCGTTTTCACTGACTTTACCCTGTCCCTTACTATATTCCTAGGAGGAGCCCTGGGGAGGCCTGAGGCAGAAACCCATGGATGGCCTGAGGCAACTTTCTGGATTCCTCTTGGCCTCTTTTTCCATAGCTGTAAAAAGAGATGTTCAGCAAAGATGATCCCAGAGGGCTTTCTTGCCTCAAATATCCTTCTCTGTGCCTTGTCTGAGGCATCTTGAATACATAGTGTGAATCTTTTTATTCTCAGCATCCCCCAAAGCAGCAGCTTTCCAGCTTCTCTAGAACCCACTTAGAAATAAGGACCTGGCCCATGCGTCTAAGCAGACACATTGATTCTCTTGCATTACATATGCAACAAAAATTTCATCAGGCTACTGCTCCTGCTATAGGTACTATAACAGCAGCTACGGCTTTAGGAACACATTCTGATTTTTCTATTCTTATTTCTTTAAACAACACGTTGGTCATGGGCCACAAAAATGACTCCCTGGACTCCCTAATGTTTTATCATCCACAAGTTGAAAATCCCAGGCCTAGAGGTACCCAGTTCACATGCTGGCTGACCCTGAGCTGAGGGGGAGGATGAGTGCCCTAAAGGTGAGCAGGTAGGCACAAGTAAGCCTGAATTCAAGCTGTGGCTTGAAAGGTTGGTCCTTGGGACAGTGTTGATTTGGGGGGTCCAGAGGGAGTTGAAGGTTGAGGCATCAGAGCACTTGCCCTCCTGGTGTTCCTGGAGCTCTGGGCGGGTAAATCTTACATGGGAACTGCCTCACCCCTTGACCCCTGTATTAGGTAATTTATAAACAAATTTATAATTTTTTCTATGTTTGTAGAATTGCTTTGCTTAATTTCTCTGGCTAAAACCTAGGTAATTTTTAAAGAAAAAGAAGTTGAATGGACCCACAGTTCCACGCGGCTAGGGAAGCCTCACAATCATGGTGGAAGATGAAAGATATGTCTTACAGGGCGGCAGGCAAGAGAGAAAAAGAACCAACCAAAAGGGGAAACCCCTTATAAAACCATCAGATCTCATGAGACTTATTCACCACCACGAGAACAGTATAGGGGAAACCACCCCCATGATTCAATTATCTGCTACTGGGTCCCTCCCACAACATGTGGGAATTATGGGAGCTATACTGCAAGATGAGATTTGGGTGGGGACACAGCCAAACCGTATTACCCCCACTGCTATGGACTGTGTCAGGCCATCCCCAAATTTATATGTTGAAATTCTAACCCCCAATATGAAAGTATGTGGAGATGGGCCGGGCACGGTGGCTCAAGCCTGTAATCCCAGCACTTTGGGAGGCCGAGGCAGGTGGATCACAAGGTCAGGAGATCGAGACCATCCTGGCTAACACGGTGAAACCCTGTCTATACCAAAAATACAAAAAATAAAAATAAAAAATTAGCTGGGCGCGGTGGCAGGCACCTATAGTCCCAGCTACTCAGGAGGCTGAGGCAGGAGAATGGCATGAACCCGGGAGGCAGAACTTGCAGTGAGCCGAGATTGTGCCACTGCACTCCAGACTGGGCAACAGAGCAAGACTCCATCTCCAAAAATAAAAATAAAAATAAAATAAAAAAAGAAAGTATGTGGAGATGGGGCCTTTGGGAGGTAATTAGGTCATTGAGGGTGGAGGCCTTATGATGGGATTAGTGCCCTTATAAGAAGAGCTATGACCTCTCTCTCTCTCTCTTTCTCTCTCTGTCTCTCTCTCTCTCTCTCTCTCTCTCCACCATGTGAGAACACAGCAAGAAGATGGTCGTCTGCAACCCAGTAATAGAGCCCTCACCAGGAACTGAATCACTGGCACCTTGATCTTGGGTTTTCAAGCTTCCAGAACTGTGAGAAATCAACTTCCACTGTTTAAGTTGCCCAGTCTCAGGTGTTCTGTTACAGCAGCTCAAGTTGACTCATACACCCACGTAATATGAAGTCTCCAGACACTCCACGGAGACATCTGGGCCTGGACACTGAAGAGTTCTTTGAATCACTCAGCAAAGCCACCGCAACGTGCCAAGCCACTGGGGGATACATGATGAAGACCCCTTTCCTGCCGCTAAGATAGGTGTGCATGAAGACACCTCTTTCCACTTTCTAAAGCTCTTGCATGTTGTATCACATGAGTATCAAGTGTCAAGACACCTGTAAGGCAGGATGTTGGGGGGTGAGGGGGTTATTCTGGAAGGACCTGGTCCTCCCTATCCCTCCCTGAGCAAAGCTGGAAAGCCAGCAATGACATCTGAGCTCCCCTGGGTATCACTCAGGTAGGACGTGAGCTCACTCACTGGTCTCAGAGTAACATCACTTGGATCAAAAAGACAACCCCAGTGAAGTCAAAACTTCACTAAAAACATCCCCAACAACTGTTTGTTTCAGCTTCTTGACACTTGAAAATGATGACATCCCTTCTTCAAAAAGAAAAAAGAAAGAAAAATATTTCTTAATTGACAACAGCAGAACTCTTAGTAGAAGGTTCCATGATCTCTCTGGGAGCTTAGCTTTGCAAGAGAAAAGCTAAATCTGTGAAATCTCGATCTGCAGCAATCACAGCTGGCTCCATCGCATGGGCTGGGAGGCCGCGCTCACCCTGAGACATTTGGAAGATGTCGTATTTACCTAACACGCAGTCCTTCTAATTGAAGGGCAGTGGGTCCCGGGGCTGCATGTGAGATGCAGACCAGATGTGGATCAGGCCAGGACATCAGCAGCATGGGATTAGTGAGAGGCAGTGGCGGGGACGCGGGATGATTCTGGGCTATGCAGCCTCTACCCCCAGGCATCTATGTGGGGGACAAGCATATGGGAGAGAGGCGGAATGGCAGAGGACCCGCTCTCTGCAGACTGTGGTTAACCCCTCAGTAGGCACGATGCTGCACACGGAGCACAACATGATTTTGCAGCTGAGGAAATGGAAGCTTAGTTAAGTCAATGTAAGGATAAGATGATGGACCTTTTTTGTTAATAAACAGGAAGGAGGCCGCTTCCTCTCCACCCTCTCCTCCTTAGGGTATCTCCTTGGAAAAAAATAATCAGTCCGATAAGAGGCCCAATCTTTTAGTTTTACTATGTAAGATATGAGGCCTCCTGACCCTTGGAACTGTAAACACAACCCCCTAAGAGGACCTCGGAAATCTTTCACAGATAGACAAGTGGGTCCTCTTATCTGTCTAGGAGATAGGAGAATGCTTCGTTCTTCTCTTTTCTGCATTTCTGTGCACGTCTGTTGAAATTCTGAAGTCCAGTCTCTGGAGACACTTTTGTGCTATCTTACATGCATGTGAATATCACAGTGCTTACTTAAGATTAAACTGCATTCTCTCTCTTCTATTTTGGTACAGAAGGGTCTTTTGACAGGAGGATTGTCTTATTTCCCCAACGGTCATTTGCCTGGGGCCACGCAACAGCACTGTGGACTCTGACCATGAACTCTTGCAACACCCCCATCTCACCACTGCAGTCAAGCCAGAGGGTCGTGGGAATCTCAAGGGAGAAGATTCCCTGGCATTGGAGGTCATAACCCCTTCTTTTCACAGAGAGTTTACAAAATGCTTTTACGTGTTACCTTGTTCTCAGAAGGACACAGAATGTCCTGAGGGTCCTGGAAACTCACCAATAAATACCTCCCAAACAAGCTGAGGATGGTGAGGACACCACTGTACACACCACCTTGTCTCTGTCACCGCATGGCTATGGTGAAGATTTCCTTCCATGCTCCCTAGCCACCGCCCTGTTTCTGGGAGACTAGTGGCTCTCACCCAGCACAATGCTCGTGAGCTCTCTTCCAGCTGTGGAGTGTCTCAATAGTTGCTTCCTTTCTACTGCGGAGCAGTGGCCTGTGTTTACCTTGCTATGTTCATAGGCAGTGCTTGCCATTGATCAGCTCTCACCAGGCCAAGGTCCACAGATTCGGCATCTCCTAGGTTGCTGCTGTTTTTTCTTCCTTGCTGAAAGATGGCATTGAGTCAGGCTTTACACATCGCAGGAACACAATTATTGTGCAGCTCATCCAGCTTCTTCCCTCTGGTTTCATGATGTGCAGATGGATACCATGGAGAAAAGCTAATGGAATGTGGGTCTGCTATTTTAGGTTGCTCAAATAAACAAGCGGGACACATCTTAAAACCATCAACCACGTTATTTTTAAAAGGACACACACACACACACGCACTACTGTACACACACACTACTGTAGCCTCTGGGTTTAGGGGGTTTGCTGTATCAATCTTGAAGAAATGTTTCTTTGTACTGATGGGTACTTCCCAAGTGCAATTATGGTTCCGCCTCTACTTTGCAAATCTCTCTGCACATCCAGTTCACAGAGATGGAATTAATGAGGGTGTGAAAGGGAGGAACGTCAAATACCAAGTGTGGACAGGCACCACCCAGATAGTTATCAGGGATATGAACTGTAGGCCTAAATGCACAGTCTTGATAAAGTCCACGCTGAATGAAACTGTTCCAACCTACACAAATGCAGAGCGATAAGATGACTGCACACAGGTGCCAGATGACTTCTGCTTCATGAGGGAGGTAGATGCCACAGGAAGATCCTCCAGGTAGAAGGGTCTTCTAGAAGCAGGTATGCCATTAGCTGTCTGTGCTGCTGTGGCAAGAGGTGGAGCGTCCATGCTGGGTAAAGTGCTTTGCGGATGACAGCTGTTTCAAGCAGTACATGGGAACTAGTTTTCATGAACCCCGTTGAGGTCGTCTCTTCACCATCAGATCATCATCTGCATACTGGCTTGTGGACATGCTCAGAAACGGTTCTGAACATACTCCAGACAAAGAAACGCAATGACCTGCATCATTAAACACTTCCATTCTTGGCATTCACCTTCCCGGTTGGTCTGGCCGTGCGTTTCATCCAGGACCTTCAATGCAGGGCCCTCAGCTGCTGAAGGCTGTCAGCACCCCGATCCATGTCCCTGGGTCCCTAAGGTGACTTCAGCACCAAGTGGCTCATAATTATATTTTAAAAAGCTATTTTGAATAATGGGAAAATATATATCCACATAATCACCATTCCCAGTGCTCTTATTTCTGCTGCATATATCCCTGCATCTATTTGTAATTCATTTCCTTCTGCTGGAAGGACTTCCTTTAATAGTTCTTGTAGTGCAGGCCTGCTGATCACAAATTCACAAATTCTTTTCAGCTTCTGCATGCTAAATAAGTCTATTTTACCTTTTTTTTTTTTTTTTTTTTTTTTTTTGACAGAGTCTCGCTGTGTCACCCAGGATGGAGTGTAGTGGCACGATCTCAGCTCAGTGCAACCTCCACCTCCCAGGTTCAAGCAATTCTCCTGCTTCAGCCTCCCGAGTAGCCTGGATTAAAGCCACCTGCCACCACACCCGGCTAATTTTTTGCATTTTTAGTAGAGACGGGGTTTCATCATGTTGGCCAGGCTGGTCTCAAACTCCAGACCTCAAGTGATCCACTCACCTCGGCCTCCCAAACTGCTGGGATTACAGGTGTGAGCCACTGTGCCCAGCCTTGCCTTCATTTTGGAAATATATCTTTGCTAGGTATAGAATGGAAAGCTGATCATTTGTTTTTTTCAATAAAGACTTTACCCATTGTCTTCCCACATGCATTGCTATTGACGAGACGTCTGCTCTCCTCGTTCCGTTTGTCCCTCTGTATGTAATGTGTGCTTTTTATTTTCTACAATTTTCCCTGATGTGCTTGGGTGTGCTTTTCCTCGCGTTTCATGGACTTGGGATTCATTAAACTTCTTGGATCTTGGTATGTATAGTTTTCATCAAATTTGTAAAATTTTCTGCTTTATTTTTTTCCAATGTATATTTTTTCTTTCTCCTCCTCCTCTGTTCCAGAAGCTCTAGTTTACATATTCCTTGGGTCTTTGGAAGTTATCCATAGCTTCCTTCTTCTCTGTTTATTTTTTTTTCAATTTTTGTTTTTTCCATATGTTTTATTTTGGATAGTTTATATTATTATGTCTTCAAGTTAACTAATCTTTTTTTCTTCTGTGGTATTTAATCTTCTGTTAATCCCATCCAGTATATTTTTCATCTAAGATAATTGTATTTTCAGCTCTTGAAGTTTGACTTACATCTCTTTTCATTACATGTCTCTACTTAACATGCTCAATCTTTCCTGAAGCTTCTTGAACGTGGAGAATTAGAATTATAATAATTGTTTTCTCATCCGGTTGACTAATTCCATCATCTCTAGTATTTCTGAATCAGTTTTGCTTGATTGGGTTTTCTCCTGATTATAGGGCATATTTTCCTGTTTCTTTGCATGCCTGGGTAATCTTTTCTTAAATCCCAGACATCATAAATGTTACCTTGTTAGGTGCTTGACGTTTATATTCCTATAAATACTGTTTTCAGACACAGTTAAGTTACTTAGAAACAGTTTGATCCTCTTGAGGCTTGGTTTTAAGTTCTGTTAGGTGGGACCAGAGCATCATTTAGTCTAGGGTGAATTTCACCCCACTACTGGGCTGACACCCTACTGAGTACTCTCCTGGGTGCCCAGAAGCTGTGAGATTGTCCAGTCTGGCTGGTGGGAACAGGCACTACTCCCAGCCCTTCGTGAGCATGGGCACTGTTGCTGCGAATGCTTCTGGGTGGGTCTTTCCTCCCATGCAGTTTGCCCACCCATGTGCTGATCAGCCCTCTACTGAATGCTAGGGGTCGGGGGAGATCCCTCTGCACATCTCAGAAACTCCCTTTCTGTGCCTCTCGTTCTTCTGTCCTGTGGACTCCAGCTGCCTCGGCCTCATCAGACTCCCAGTTCCATCTCAATTCAGAAAGACCCTGGCTCTGTCTCAGTCCTCCTCCCTGCACCATGGCCTGGAAACTGTCTCCAGACAGCAAGCTGGCGCAATCGCAGGGCTCACATTGTTTGTCTCAGGGATTACCGTCTTGAACTGTCTGATGTCTCATGTCTGAAAATTGTTGATTTCACATGTTTTGTCCAGATTTTTAGATGCTTCAGGAGGGAGGGGAATTCTAGTCCCTGTTATCCTTCCTAGTGAGAGGTAAAAGTTCATCAAATATTTGCTGACTGTCAAATATTTATTCCATACCAATGATTATCGAGAGCCAGGTGACTTCTATGCATTTGAGCTGCACTGGAGAGCAAGCTCTGACAGCTCGACCCTCGGGGTGGACACGAGGACAGTGAGGTGGTCTAAACCAGAAAATAAAAAATAAACAAAATAGAACAATGAATTATGTACAGAATGTTGGAAGTATTCACTGCTATGGAAAACAAGAAAGCAACAGAGCTGGTTAAGGGGTGCGTTAGGATCATGGTGACCAGAGGGTACGTTTGTAAATAGGGCAGTCCGGGTGGGTCTTACCAGGAAGGTGACATTTCTGCTTCCTCCCTCCTTCCCACCTGCCCCACCAAAACCCTAGTGCAATTATAAAGGCCACCAGGAAACCAACACAACTTCCTTACAGAGGCCTCATTCCACATCTTGGACTCCTGAAAGCCACCCCACCCCCTAATTTGATCCCCAAGGCCGGGCAGAGCACAGAGAGGAAAACGTGACCATGAGCAGGCTCCTCAGATGGCACGCGCCTCTGAGCCTGTCCAAGTGGTAATTAATTGGTATACGTGCTCCCAGAGCTGACAAATGTTTATTCTACAAAACCAAGAAGGAAGATCCAATGAGAAATCGCATTTTCCCTGGTGAGTGTCTGGGTCTCATCAGGCCTCTTGTGACCGAGGACAGCCGAACTGCACAGCTCACACTGGCCATCATCTGTGTGTTCCCAGAAGGTCGCGGTGTTTCCACAGTTGAGTCCATGGCGGGAGGTCCTAGCCCGTGTTCGGACGTCAGTGGTGCCAGCGGTGTGGCCACATGCCCCTCCCTAGAAGAGAGCCATGCCTTAAGTTACCCTTGAGTGGTGCTTCTGCCCAAATGCTGTGACCTCTTCTTTCCAGGAGTGATCGTGCCCTGCCAGTGATGCCTCTGTTGCTGGGCAGGCCCCACCACATGAAGTATGGGGGCTTTCCTTGCAGCCTCCCTGGTCACAGCTCACCTCCCATGACATGTGAAGTGTCATGGGAGGTGACTCTGCTCTTCTTCTGGGCTTCCTGGGGCATAGTCCCCAACTCACACTCCTAGCCCCCTGCCCCATTGCCATGGACAGACCCATTCCCTACACGGTGTGTCTCCCTCTTTGTTATGGAGTGCATGGTTGTGTCCCCCCAGATGCGATGTTGAAATCCTAACCCCCAAAGTGATGATATTAGGAAGTGGGGCCTTTGGGAGGTGACTAGGTCACGAGGGTGGAGCCCTCACGAATGAGATTAGTGCCCTCTAAAAGGGGCCCCAGAGAGCTCTCTCACCCTCTTTCTACCATGTGAGGACACAATGAGACGACAGCTGTCTGCAGCCCAGGAGAGGGCCTTCCCCAGAACCTGACCATGTTGGCAACCTGACTTCCAGCTTCCCGGACTTGTAGAAGTAAAGCTGGGCTATCTGTAGGCTGCCCAGGCTTTGGAAATTTGTCATGGCAGCAGCAACTCACTAAGGCGCTGCATGCTCTCAGCCGGTGACTCTGCCTTGGCCCCTCAGACCCTGCCCCATCCTCATGGATCTGTCCTGCCGCTGCCCCTGCCCCTGCTGGGGGCCTAGAACCCTTTGTCCCCAGCCTGTGCCCTCTCCTGGGCTGTGGCCCTGAGGTCTATAAAGGACACATGAGGGGGCGGTAGACAAGAATATGGTTGGTGGGGAGTAAGGAAGCTGTTCTTGATTTGGGTACTTTGACCCTAGCCCATAGATTTCTTTCAAATCCTTCAGCTTTTCAGTTGCACAAGAACAATTTACTAAAACTTTTGTAAAACGTAAAAAAAAAAATTTTTTGGCTTCCTCTTTTTCCCCAACCCATAAACCCTGAAGGAGGCAAAACAAAACAAAATAAAACAAACAAAAACAACACAACTAAACCAAAACAAAGAACAACACATCAGTGAAACTCAGGTAGTTAGGGACCTTAAAAAGCAGGCCTGGTGTCAGGAGAGGACACCGGTTCCCACAGCCGGCTGCACCTATACCCAAGGCCTGCATCCATCCAGTGTCCCCAGCTGCCTTGGTGGAGAGCTGCCCTCGGCCTCTGCTTCCCCAGAGCTCTGCCTGCCTGGGCATCCTCTGAGGGCGTGCGGGAACCGGAATCACTTCCAGATCTACGCTTTTCAAGGAGTTGAGGTTGAACTTTTCTGAACAGTTCATCTAGCCAACATTAGGAACAAAACGGTATATGTGGTGCTTGCAGGGAATTGTATATAATCTGCTTAAGGGAACTCACTGAGACCCTGGAAATTTCCTCCTCCCATCCCTGAATATGTGCCTCCAGTCAGCAATTCTTGGCTGCACACGAGGCTGTCTGAGCCACAAGGTCTGGGCCAGCTTTCATTCTGGGATGTATGGATGGAACCCAGGATAGGGAATAGTATGGGATTTTAAAACAGCAGGCTGTGTGCCCCTCCTGGGGACAGTCCTCCTGCACATGGCAGCCTTCTCTGAGTCACGGCCCCCCTCCAACTCTCCTCCCTGACAACACACACCTCAGTTTCCTTATTTGTAGAATTGTTCACGGAGCAATTGTGAGGGGTGAAAATGCAGTTTGTAAGAAGGTTTCCTTGCTCCACGAGGGGAATATGATTTATTAACATGTGAATGGCCCCATCCCCTGTGGAATAAAGAGAATTTTGACCTCCCTGGCTCGGCTTCACCCTTTCTGTTCCCCCAGCCCCAAGGAGAGCCCTCTATTTGCCAGCTGGGTTTCAAGGGTTTTTATGATGCAGATTTGGGAGACAGAGCACAAAGAGAGAGGTCTCTAGAGGGCAAGAGAGGGAGGAGGGCTCCTCCTGGCTGGGTGAGTTCCAGGGCTCCCCTTTGTTGCACAGAAATATGGAGAATGGGTAAAGCAGAAAGGAAACAAAAAAAGAAGCCAGGAGGCCAAGTCTAGCTGCATCAGAAAGAGCCGGGGGAGAGGGCGCTGTCAGAGAGAGAAAGAGCCCTGCGACGGGGCCAGGACAAGTTTTTGTAAGTGTTGGGATGAGAGAAAGACGACAGGGGCATCAGAGAGGGGAGAACTGGGGAGAGAAGACAGTGAGGGCTTCACAGAGACCTTGCTGGAACTATGAAAGGCATCTCCTAAAACGTTTTTCTCCAAAGCTGGCAACAAGGATTGGGACTCCTTCTCAACTCTCTGGTTGCTGGACTGCTGTTTCTTTGCATGTGACTCAGCGCTGTGCCTGGACATGTGGGCCTTGGGGTTTATCTGGGTTACAGACCCATTATTCCACTTGTTCCCTGGTCTCCTCATCAAACCCTGAGCCCCTGTTGTTTCTCTAGCATGGTGGCTGCTCATGCTCCAGGAATGGTGGCTGCAGAGACCTGGCAGACACATGCCTGGTGGTGGGGCCAGACCAGCCCAGGGAACAATTCCATTCGGTGCGTGGTGAGCGTCCTGTCAGGGCAAACACGGGGGTTGTTCTCAGAAGAGGGGACTTGCCAGCAGGTCCTGAAGGACAATGATATATTGTCAGTCAACCGAAGAACAGAGGCAGGAAGGAGATGCACTGGCATTCCTGGCCTGAGGGAACCGCATGTGCAAAGGCCCAGGGGCAAGAACATGGGTGGCGAGTTTGTAAAAACCCCAGCATGACTGAAGCTCTGAGTTCAAAGTCCCGTGCAGTGACAGCAGCGAGCCTGGGTTTTATTTTGTTTTGTTTTGTTTTGTTTTGAGACAAAATTTTGCTCTTGTCACCCAGGCTGGAGTGCAGTGGTGCCATCTCGGCTCACTGCAACCTCCGTCTCCCAGGTTCAAGTGATTCTCCTGCCTCAGCCTCCTGAGTAGCTGGGATTACAGGTCTGAGCCACCACGCCTGGCTAGTCTTTTGTATTTTCAGCAGAGGTGGGGGTTTCACCATGTTGGCCAGGCTGGTCTCAAACTCCTGACCTCGGGTGATGGGTGAGGAGCCCACTCTGCTCAGATGTGAGGCTTCATTCCTGCAGGTGCCCATGTCGAGCCCAGACACAGGTGTGCGTGTGTGTGCGGATGTGCATGCATGTGTTCCAGCTCCGGGAGCTCGGGGTCAGGGAAGGGACACTGAGGCAGGCTCCCTCGCATGTACATTGACTCCTTCCCCACCTCTTTCCCCCCACTCCATGTTCCTGGAGAAGCAGAGATGACAGGAGCAGACCCATGAAGAGCAGGCCGCCCACGGCTGAGTGAGGACCGAAGCTGCAGAAACAGCTGGAGGGAAATCAATTTGTTCTTTGCTACAGTCAGACATAAACCAATTAGAGCAGACCCAACGGGGGCCCTCGGTGTTCGGAGAAGTGAACATGAGTCTGGCCAATCCAGGCCTGTTAATCCCTGCTTGTACCTTCCAGCTGCCTGCAAGATAAAGGCCAGCTTTGCGGGAAGGTGGCCAAAGCCTCCTCCAGCTGCTCGCTGTCGCCCCTCTAGTGTCAGAGTTCACCACGGACCCTCCTCACCCGAATCCAGACGCAGGAGTGATTTTAGGGGGCCTTGGGGCCCATCCTCATGTGAGTCCTCTCCTTGTGAGCCCTCCCATCGCCCTGAGGGCCCGGAACTGGCCACCCTCCCAGCACACCTGTCCCCAGGTCTCTCCTGCACCCCTGCGGGGGTAGAAGCCATGCTGTCTTCCTTTAGCCAGGGGGCTCCAGTGAAGGGCACGCAGCCCCCTGTGTAGGCCAACGCCTCTGGGCTTCATTTTCACATCACACCAGCCCCAGAGGAACGCCAGGGGTCAAAAAGACAGCGCTCAGGAGAGACGCCTACAGCAGGACGCTGGGCAGAGGCTCAGGAGCTGGGGCTGTCCTGGTGAGAGGCTTGCTGGGCACAGGCTGCCTGGGGCCACGTCGAACCCATCAGGGACAGAGACAGGAGTACCCCAGGACCCTAGCCTGGCACCCAGTGGGTGTCCCCTCTCTTAAGGTGGTACTGGGGACTGATAGTGAAACTGCTACCCCCTCTGACCACAAAGTTCCCTCTTGCCCCTTTGGGCCCCACCCACACCAGCTGTATCTTGGCCAGGGAGTCTGCAGAATCCGCTCACCCCTGCTGACTCCTGGCGGCTGCCCAGGGTGTGAGCCTTCCCCACAAGGGCCCCCCGGGGGCCGTGGGACCCTGTTTTCCAGGAAACAGCATCTCAGCATCTCCAGGCTGAGACGGGCCCCAGGTCGTGACTGAGAGCTGAATTCCTGGAACTGGTCTTCCAAGGAGTGGGGGTGGGGGATGTCAGTTAGGGGTGGGCGGCTGCGGAGGGGCCTCTTTGCCTCCTCTGGATGCCTGGCCTGGTAGGCCTTGGCAAGCGACCTCAGAGCTCTCCTGTGTCTGTATGTGGACGCCTCCGCCTCTGACCCCCTTCCTGCACCTTCAGCACAACACACGCCTGCCCCTGGTTTCTGGGGTGCCAAGTGGGTGCTCCTGATCCAGGGCTGCACAGCTGCTGCCCCCGCACTTCCTGAGCGACCCCCACTGGCCCTCCTGGGGCTGACGCCCAGGCTGGGCCTCACTTTCTCAGTTGAGCGGGAAGACGTCACATCAGCCAGTAACAGGACTCTGCATGTAAGGGTTCAAGGTGCCGTGGCGTTGCCAAGGGGAACGTGAGCTTCTGGCAGAGGTGGCTGCTTAGTGGAGGGTACAGGGCTGGCCTTGAAGGGAGGGGGAGGAAAGGGCACAGCAGCAGCAGGGGTGAGGGAGAGAGTGTGGCACTGCCTGGCCTGGGGTGGCCAAGACCTGAGGTCGGCAAGGTCGTGGAAGGAGAGTCCTGCACGCCAAGTTAAGGGGGCATGGATTTTCACGTAAAGGTCACGGGATCCACTGAGAAGGTTGGGTGGGGGTGACACATCAGCTTTCAGCCTGGAAAACCTAGGGAGGAGAGACACAGGGGGGTGCAGAGAGGCCAGGGGGAAGCTGCCTAGGGGGTCCAGGGACAAACAGCTGGGCCTAGCCTGACCCAGAAGCCTGATGCAGCCAGAAGCATGGCCACCCGCTAGGCCTGTCCATAGTCCTGGGAGGGGGCAGCTGGACCACGAGCACCCCTTGCTCCCCATTTTGTGCTGAGTGAGCTCTGCCTCTTTATGCCAAGGACAAGGTGCCCCTCCTCCAGTCTGCCACACACCGTGGTGGGCAGAGGGGTCCCAGGCTGGATTCCAGCCCAAACCACTCTCCCGTTCCAGGGACCAGCTGCAGGCCACAAAGTACACAGTGCGTGTTGTGGCCTTGGCCTGGCACAGACTCAGAGCCCGCCCACAGGCCAGAGTCCCAGGGAAGTCAGTTTCATCTCCGCATAGGGCATAACTTTCTAGTAATCTCTGTTGACCAAGAAGAGACAGGGGCAGAGTCAGGGTTGGGACAAAGCTCGGGGGGGCCTGTCACAGACAGACTCACAGACAGGCACACCCAGGGACAGGCAGACCCACAGACAGGCACACTTAGGGACAGGCCAACCCACAGACAGGGGCACCCAGGGACAGTCAGACCAACGAACAGGTGCACACAGGGGCGGGCCGACCCACAGGCAGGCGCACCCAGGGGCAGGCCGACCCACAGAGAGGTGCACCCAGGGAGAGGCAGGCCCACAGACAGGCGCACCTAGAGACAAGCAGACCCACAGATAGGCGCACCCAGGGACAGGCGGGCCCACATACAGGCGCACCCAGAGACAGGCGGACCCCAGACAGGTGCACCCAGGGACAGGCAGACCCACAGACAGACGCACCCAGGGGTGGGAGGCACATAGGGAGGGACAACCACAAGGCGGGGGCCAACCCTCCTGGGGAGATGCGTGCACCCGCAGACCTGTGCCGAAAGACAGAAGGATGTGCACCTCAAGTCAGACAGCATGTGCCCACACACGCTTGCACACGCATACACTCAGAGGATGCCCAGTCACACGGCCCCGTGCGGCTCCCAAGCCCCGGACAATCTGGGCAGGTTTGTATCGGGGAGAGATGTCGAAGGTGGAGGAGGACAGGGTAAGGTTTCTTGCCCTCCAGTCCACAAACCATCAGCCCTGGAGAGCGTTCTGCGTGCCTGCAAAAGGGCAGCAGGAAGAAATAATAGATGAGAACAACAAAGAGCCGTGAAGGCATCGAAACACCAGCTTCGAGGGAGCCGCTTGAGAGAGCAGCCCTCGGGAAGGCTCCCCCACCATGTCGCCTGTTGCTGGGGATGAAACCAACTTGGGGTCAGATGGAGGGGGCTCCATGGGAGGGAGAGCCCAGGGAGAAGCAGGTCGGGGCAGGAGTCTCGGCCTGATACCCATTGGCCCTCCCTGGACACCGCAGGCCGGGGACGCTGTGCAGACCACCCTGTAGGGGCGTCAGACACAGAGCAGCTTACGCGGAGGCCTCTCTCAGAATGGCCGCAGCAGGTCACACAGTTAGTGTCTCAAAGCCCTGCAGAGCTCTGAATGCAGGTTTGGGGACTGGAGATGACCTTCGAGGCTGGCCCCTGAGTGAGGGGAACAGCAGTGCTGGATTCAGGAAAATCTCCCCGGGAACCCAAGTGGGGAGCACAGACTCAAGAGGGAGCGACCAGAGCCCCGGCCGTCCATCCATGGTGGTGTGAGGGGAAAGGGAGGGGAACCAGATGGGGCCACATGGGCCATCTTGTGGGATAATATTTCAAAGACAAATCTCCATTGCTGACCGCAGCGTTTCTCAAAATTCAAGCACTGGAGGACCCCGGAGAACGGAGCTGCAGAACCGCCGGGTCTGTGCGAACCGCGGGGTCTGTGCGAACCGCGGGGTCTGTGAGAACCGCGGGGTCTGTGCCGCCTGGTGGGGAGCGCTGAGCGCTGATTGGTGTTTGGGAGGATGTCTCTCAGCTAGGATTCAGCCTTGCAGAAGGGAAGTGTGATGTCTGGGCAAAGGATTCAGCACAGGCGCTATCCCAAATATGCATTGCCTGTGGCCCAGTCTCCGCCCGAGGCGTCCTCAGAGAAACACAGTCAATCCGAGGAACAAGGTGACAAAGTAACTCCCGTCTGCCGGTGTCCCTGGAGGAGCCCCCAGGGCTCTGGCTCCCAGCCCACCAATTCCTTCAAACAACTTCCTTTTCTTGCCAGGAATTTCACATTTCTCAACGCCTCTGGGGCCTCACAGCCCCCACCCCATCTCACTGGTTGCCCCCCAGCCCTCTGGGAGGCCAAGTCCTCGTGGCCTTAGATCTGGGTCTCTCTCCATCCTGACTTCCCTCCAGGAGAGGGGTCTCGGGGTCCAGGCCTCACCCACCGACGGTCCAGGCCACTCATTTCCTGGGCCTTCCTTGCTCTCTGCAGAAAGACACAGAGGGCCCAGCAACTGCGTTTCACTGTTTCTCTCTCTAAAAAATGAAAAATAAAAATAAAAAACTTAAAATTCATGGGGAACTTCAGGTAAATAAAATAACCAGCGTCATTCTGGTGAATGTGTGTGGCGTCTGCCAGCGTGCTCACGTCAAGACGATGCCTCTATGGTGCAGACTCACGTCTGTGGAGCCCCAGGCTTCAGGGCCAGAGCCTGGGAAGCCTCCTAGGCTGACTCCCAAGGCCCCCTGTGCCCTGCAGCTCTGCCTTCTGCCCACTGGGAGTTCCCCAGGACTGCCCAGCAGCTCACATTGGCCTCTGTGTGCAGTCTTCTCTGTCTAGAATGCTCCCTGCTCCCCAAAGCCCACTTGCCTGGCAAGCGCTTTCCACTGTCCGGCAGCCCTCCCTGGCCCTCCCCTGCCCTTGCCCAGAGACCTTGGCCCTGGTCTCCCTCTGGGCAGCTCCTCCCTTCCTTGCGTGCTCCTGGGTAGCTATCCCCTCGCTCCTCCCCTAGGTGTAACATCTTCACGGCTGTCCGTCTCTAAACACGAGCCTCCAGACTACGGATACGTCTGGGTTCTCATCCCAGCTAAGCTATTATTACCTTCCTGTACAACAGGAAAGGTTCCCTTGTCCCTCTCGCAGGGCGTGCGATGGGGATGTGACTCGCTCCATCAGTGCCCTGCTGCCCAAACCTCTAGGGGAGCACACAGAGGGCAGGTCATGGGGGTCCGACCCCATGGCCGCGTCTAGGGGTGAATGTTTACAGCTGAAACCCCAGTGGGTGTGTGTTACAGGTACTCTCTTAGTTTGCCTTTGTTAACCAGCTCAATTAGACCCTCCACCTTGAGGCAAGGACAGAGGGCTTTGTGCATCCAGGGTTCTTGCCTTGGTGTACTGGAAGAATTGAATCACACCTGGGCTTGGAGAATAAGTGTAACGTTTTATTGAGTTTTATTAAGGTTTTATTGAGTTTTATTTATAGCTCTCAGCCCATGGGGGAGCCAGAAGGGAGACGGTTTTCCCCTGGAGTTGGGCTGCTGGCGGCCCCGGCTCTCCCCTGACTGCCCCAGCCAAACTCCGACTCGTCCCTCTGGTTCAAGGGCCTGCGGGTGTGCCGGGGCTTGTCGCTGTGCTCTCCCGCCGACGTGCCCCCTCCGCAGCCTCGCCCCCTCCGCAGCCTCGCCCCCCCCCCGCAGCCTCGCCCCCCCCGCAGCCTCGCCCCCCCCGCAGCCTCGCCCCCTCCGCAGCCTCGCCCCCCACCCCGCAGCCTCGCCCCCCCCGCAGCCTCGCCCCCCCCCGCAGCCTCGCCCCCCCCCGCAGCCTCGCCCCCTCCGCAGCCTCGCCCCCTCCGCAGCCTCGCCCCCTCCGCAGCCTCGCCCCCTCCGCAGCCTCTCCATGACCAGACCAGCCGCTTGGTGTCTCCTTCCGCGGCCGATGTGCTCTTCTCCTCCTCTGGCCCGCTAGTGTCTTGAGGGTTTGTATAGGCCCAGGATGGAGGCGAGGCAGTCCAGGGTGGTCTTGGTAAATGCAGCATATGGGCAGGAAATGCCTGTCCTCATCTAGGTCCGTGGGGGTGGAGCCCCGGCCAGGGATCCGCCTTTCTCTACCCAGCACTTCCCTTCCCTGCTTCCGTATCGTTTAAAGGGACCACGCTCTTCCCTTCCCAGCACTCCTGTATCATTTGTGCCTGCTTCCAAGTCTGTGAAATGGGGATAGAGGTGTGATTGTGGATAAGATGGGGTCACCCCAAGGAAGGGCTCAGCGAGGACAAGGGCACAGGGAGGGTGTGAGGACCTCATCCCATGCAGGGACTTGCAGGTGTGTGAGCCTTGGCCCTTTCTGAGGCTGAGCTGACCATCAGTGCCCTGTCTAGGGCACCATGCCTAGGCCTGGGCTGTGGTGGTGCCCACCCTAACCTGTGCAGGTGCCTCACCCTGCTGTCTCGAACAAGCTGGAAAGCTCCAGAACCACAGCCTGAGCATTGCACCCTAGGTGACCACTAGGTCCAAGGACCAGGCCAAGGGAGAGGACAGAGCTGCTGCAGGGCCACAGAGACCTGGTGTGAGGCTGGGTCATGGATGAGATTTGGGCCCTCATCTATGAAGTGGGCCTCTGGAGCCACTGTGCTCAGTGTGGGAGGATTGAACAGGACCATGTATATAAACCTCCTATCAGGACTGGGCACATAGCAGGTGCTCAGGAAAGGCACGAGTACCTGCCTCACCCTGCAGGTGGGCACAGTGCCCAGCCAGGTTTACAAGGTTGTCTGCCTGTAGCTCACTCTCACCTTGCAGCCTCTGCCATTTGGATGCGTGCCCTCAGCTTTCACGGGGGGCAGTTACAAGAAGCAGTTTTATGAGACTCATCACCGCATTTGCTGTCCAGATGCTGTTGGGGACATTATCCATTTTTCATTTCAGGGCCACCTAGATGGAGCCTCATGAGAAAAGCATCTTTCAGAGCCAAAGCTAGAAAAAGCTTTGCACCTTCCAGAGCACTGAATGACTGCTGTCTTTGACAGAGCCTTTTCCTAACACTGGTGTGCAAAGACACTGCTCTGCTCAGCTCATGGGACGGTCTCCAGGATGATGACAGTGGCCCCATACATTTTCCCCTGGGGTCTCACATATTCTCTGTGTGCCCTGATGGATAGAGAGTTGGGAAATCTTATTCTAAGGGATTGTGAAGACAACTGAACTAATCTTATTTCCCTTTTCATTTTGGCTTCCAGGAATCTCAGAGACAAATTCAAAACTTCAGACAAATCCACTCTACAGGACCTATTGGCCTGTATATTTGTGTTTTACTTTTCTCTTTGCTGTTCAGTTCTTCTCATGTATATTTACTCTTACCTGGGACCTTTTGTGTGTTTGTGTTTCACTTAGTTTTGCTATATCGTGCCTGTAGGCTGAGGTGTTCCTTCATGAAGTGAGACAGAGTTTGAGTAAATGTTTACATGTGTCAAGCATGAAACAGACCCCAAACCCCACACAGCCCACAAGTCCCAGGAGCCAACCCTATGCCTTCCCCTCCTCCTGTATTCCTCCTCCATGAGCCTCTGCATGTTCAGAACCTACCTTGGATGCCATGGCCTTTAGACAGCAAATCCTCCTAGCAAGAGCACACAGACCTACTCTCAGGGTCACACTTCTGATTCAGGATTTCAGAGTTCCAGGAGACACCTGGCCCTGGTCCTTCCTTCTAGGGAATGTCGAGGCCAAGAGGGTGGGTGGCAGGTCCCAGGTCACAGAGTGTGGTGGTGGCCTGGCCTTGAAGCTGGCTTTCCTCACTTTCACCCACACGGGTCACGCACCAGCTAATCCACCCCCAGCTTCCAAACAAGGCGATTGTCTCTGGGGTGGAAGATTCCATATAAACATGAGATTAATTTTGTATTATTATTGACTGAGTGTCAGTTGCCTTGGCTGGAGGTTTTGGGGTCAGGATGAAAACTGGATGCTTTTGCCCACCAAACCTTTCAACAATGTGGGAAACACCACCCCACAACCAGACCACCAGACCTCCCTGCGGAGCTGGCAAACACCGCCGCCAGGGCCAAGGGAAATGGCAAAGTCAGAGAGGCATGACTTGGTTTGTGAGGAGGAGAGGAAAAGGGCCTTTCAAAACAAAGCTTGGGACAGCCCATCGGGCCTCTTTCTCCTTGCCTAGCAGAATTCTTGGTGACATGTTGCCAGCGTTCAAGCACAGTGCACACACATGAATGCCTGCATACACATGCCCACATACACATGCCCACACATGTGCCCCCCCACAGGCAGGTACGCACACAGTCACGCACACACAGACGTGAGCATATGCACTCGCACACACACACACGGTCACGTGCATACATCCGTACACACATTCTTGTAAGTGCACACACACACGCTCACATGTAAGCACGCACACACACATGAACACACAAGTGCCCCCACACACAGTGCTGTCTAGTGCTAGCCTCGGTTCCTTTCTGTGCCATCGCCCATGATTAATGTGGATGCTTTCATGAATGTGTTTTCTCTCGGCGCCGGGCCTGTGCTTAGCCCGCGTAAAGCAGTGCTCTCAGGCCCAGGAGCTGGGGTCTGGTTAAAGCGGTGCCTCGCTGTCAAAAAATGTTGGCAGCTGGAGAGCAGAGTTTGCAAAGGCCAAGAGGAGACGTGTGGCAAAATGAGGGTGCACAGTGCACCCTGGGCCTCAGGGGCTTCCTGAAAACCTGCCCTTCCTCAGGCCCCAAGGGCCCACGGCACAGACCACTCCACCCCGCACCATTCCTCCCCACACTGCTCCTTCCCGCGCATTCTTGCTCCTGCCCCGGCGGGCTGTTTGCAAAAGGTGCTGGCAGGCGTTTCCCCAGGAAGGCCAGGGCCTCCTGCATGCGCCTCTGCGGCCCCCTCCACGTGCCAAGCCACCAGGCCTCCCGCCTCCCTAAGCCCACCCAGACGGGGGCTGAGTCTTGGTGAGCAAGATTGATGGCACAGGATCAGAGCCAAGGGGAGGCTCCTGCCAGCCGGAGGCCTGGGGAACTGAAAACATGGCCTCAACAGCATCTCGGGACCGAGGAGCTCAGAGGAGCATGGGGAATGAAAACCTCAGTTTTGGTTACTCTCTTAATAATCCAGGGCCCTCGGAGACGGTGGGGAAGATGAGGCCTCTTATGCTGATGGCAACGGGAATCCCTCAGGATTTCAATCCCCATTCTGGGGGAACTGTTGAAAGGGGCCCCTTGCCGGGTGTATAAAGGGATCCTCACAGCAACCCCAAAGGTTGGGCCCCATTGTCCTCGTTTTACAGCAGAGGAGGAGTGGAGACTGGGGGATGGCGACTCCCCAAGGCCACACAGCGGAGGGTCGGAAGCAAGGCCCACCTTCCGCCCTCACCCACACAGACCCCAGCCTCAAATGCAAGCCCGTTAAGGCACACTCTGTATGTAGAAACTCTCACCGATTTTGTCTGTGCACAAAGCTAAACAAACGTCCCTAGAACAGGATATGGGATTGTGGCAGGCTTGTCTGGCAACTGGGAGAATTGGATTTAGCCAGAGAATTTCTTCCATGAAAAAAGGCTGTGGGCTGGAACCTGTTCACAGCAAGTGGTGAGGCCAGACCACGGCCCACAGCCACAGCCCACAGCCCCATGGCCCCACAGCCCCAGAGCCCCAGAGCCCCAGAGCCCCACCACACACCCTGCCTGCTGCAGATGTACCCTCTGCTGGGGCCTCCCACGTCCCCCTCTTTGAGGTGAGGGAGTCGGGTGGCCCTCCTTCACCGCACCAGCAGAAAACCCAACAAGGAAAGCGCAGCCAAGGGCTCTGCACCCACAGCCAAGGGCTGTATGTCCAGGGGGTAGGAGAGACGGTCCCCTGGGGGAGCAGAGTAGGGAGGTCTCGAGGAGCCATGACCTTTCAGGCAGACATGGCACTTAGGGGTGAGGAAATGCTTGTTTGCAGAGAGAGGAAGGGAGTGGGAGCTGGGGGCTGTGTTGTTTCCATATTCACAGAGCCAGATGAAAATAGGGTGGTCTAGAGTCGGTGGGGGAGGGACTTCAGGGCATCGGTTCTCATCGCCCACCCGACAGGGGTGGGCTCACCAAGGTCCCTGAGGGGAGCAGCTCCCCCTGCATTCGGACAGCTGTGAAAAGACACTCCTGACTTGCGTGTGACCCTGCGCGAGCCACTCCCTGTGCTGGGGGCCCAGGTTTCCCTTTGTAAGACAGAGGGAGGATGGCAGCTGCAAGAAGACAGCTAAGGACAATGGCGGAAGAGAGAGGGAAGTGGGGGAGCAGCGGGGGTGGGGGGCCTTTCTCAGACTCCAGCCTAGTGAGGAGTCCCTGCGCAGAAGAGGACACGACCACCCAGTGCGATCACGCCGCACAGTGGGGCTGCGGGAGAGCAGAGAATCCCCCTCTAGGGTGGGCTCCTAAGGGACGCGGGGTCCAGCCTCGCAGAGGACACGGCCCAGCTGGGGTACAAGGTCAGAGGGAGGGCAGTGAGCCCAGGGACCCGGGGGTCTGCTTGGCAGCAGAAGGGGCTTCTGAGGAAGGCCCAGCCTGGCGGTGGGGACCTAACAGGGGCTCACCCTGCTTCAAGCAGCAGGGTCTGAGCCCAGCTCCCAGCTAGGCTGCCGGCAAGGGAGAAACAAATGGAAAATTCAAGGTCCCTGCATTCCGAGAGGGCATTTGGTGCCTCTGCCACCCTCCTGGGCCTGTGTGTGTGCCGTATGTGCAAAATAGGGTGCGTGTGTGTGGGAACATGTCTCTGTGGGTTGTGTGTGACTTATAAACGCGTGTGAGTGCACGTCTGTGTACATGTGTGAGTATGACTGTCTCTGCGTGTACATGTACATGTGTTTGCGTGTGTGCACTTGAGTGTGGATGTTTATGAGCGTGTACGTGTGTTCATGTGTGTGCTTACGTGTGTGTGTGTGCGTGATTGTGTATGGCCAGGGCTGTGATCACAGACATCAGGGAAAAGCTCAGTACCCAAGCAGGGCCTTGGTCCCCAAACCGCCTCAGGCAGGAGAGGCGGGGGTGCCTGCCAGGGCCCCTCACCACCCTGGGCCGCTTCCTCCTGGGCAGGGCCCGCTGGGCAGGGAGCTCCAGTGGATCCCTGCCAGGTCTCCTGGCTCGCACTGCCCCCCAGTGGCCATCCTCAGTGCCCAAGGGCCTGGGGCTGGAGTGGACAGCGAACCACAGATAGGGCCCCGGAAGGACCAAGGCCATGGGCCCCCTCTGTGCAGGGGCTCTGTCCTCCAGCCCCCCTCCAAGAAAACAGCAGATTTTCTGACCTAAGACCTCCAGACCCACCAGGATGGTGCCTGTCCCTTCCAGGTGGGCCACCTCGCCCAGGCTTCTGGAGGGGAGAACCAGCCCCTTTTGACTAAACCAACTGCCAGGGATCTTAAAGAGGAAGGACCAGCCCATCCGATGCGCCCACCCGGAGATGCCTCCTGCCTGCCACCAGCTCCTGGTGGCCTCTGCCAGGTCACCCCTTGGTTCCAGACCTCAGCTGCAGCATCTGGGTTGGCAGGGCTGAGGACCCTCGCAATCAGACATCTCATGAGTTTTGGACTTTAAGACCTGATCAGCAGGGTCTGGGAGCTGCCCTGAATGTACCCTCAGAACCCCCTACAGAGGGGATCCTCAAAGCTTCTGCAGGATTGAGCTGCGTGTCCTGCTGCTGGAGCCAGCCACCCGGGCTTTCCCGTTCTTGGGAGGAAAGGAAAGAGAAGAACGAGTCCTTTCTGGGCCAATGAGGACTCAGGCCAGGAAAGCGAGGGGCTGGGCCAATACCCATCCCCCTGTCCCTGCCAGACGCATTTTCAAGAGTCTCTATTTTGGTCAAGAGAGTGGGCCTGGGAGAGAAAAGTGCTTGTGAGCGGAAGTTACAGAGGTCCTCTCAGGGCCATGGTGATGGGTGGGGGGCCCTCAGGAGGTCGGGCAGGGCTGTCCTCCCACCACAGAATCCCCCCAAACGGCAGCCTCATAGCATTGTCAGAACTCGTCTTCCTTACACAATTTCCGGATGAAATATCTGAAAAAAAAGAAAAACAATGCCCAGTTACGTTGGAATGTCTGACAAAGATGCAACATTTGAGATACGCTTATATGAAGACGTTATTTATTGTTGGTCTGAAATTCCAATGTAACAGAGTGTTCTGTGTTTTTATTTGCTGAGCCTGACAACAACAGCACTGTCTCTCCTCCAGGTTCCCGGTGGATTTTCTCTTTCCCAGGCACAGGGCTGTGCCTTGCTCCCCTGAGGGACGCCCATCTCAGGTGATGGGGTCTGTCCATCTCGGGCTGCCTCTGCCAGCTCCCCACTTCAGATGGACTCTAGCAGCTGGGCTTGCACAGCCCACTGCCCGGGGTCCCGCAGATGAAAACACCCCACTGGGGTTGTTAACTCAAAAGAATGTGCCTATCGGCTCAAAGTTCAGCTGCAGTCGCATTCATGGCCTCCGTCTACTGGACGGCCTCCCAGGGTCCTGGCACACATGCCAGGCCCACCTTCCCTCATTCAGGTGCCTCTGAGGGCCCGTTACCAGCAGGGCAGGAGGAAGTTGTGGAGTGTGCCAGATCCTTGCCTGCCTCCATCGCTGATGGTGGACCTTATCTTCTGCCTTTGTCCTCAGGCCCTCCCAGGGTGCATCCCAAAGGCATTGGTCTCAGCCCAGGCAGGTAAGCAGTGGATGTGTGACCTGTCACTGAATTCTGCAGCTCCTTCCCACTGCTGGTGGTAGGTGAGTGCCAGGCCCTGAGGACTTGATGCTGGTCTTGGGGGCTGCGGACTCAGCATGGGGTCCCCAAGAAGGGGTCCGAGTCCCCCTGTGATGGGCAGAGTCCATCCTTCTTAGAGTCTGAATTAAAACAGCCTCTCTGTTGTACAGAAACACTCGCTGCGGGGTTGGCTGAGCAGAACCTTTGCGTGGTCTCCCTCCCACCCACTCTGGCCCAGTGTGTCCTGCTCCCAAGACCTCATGGGTGCTGTGGCCTGCTCCAGATGCCCTCTCCACCGGCCAGCCCCATCCATGCCCATGGGCACACAGTGCCTAGTCTCACAAAGCAGCTGTCAGGTAAGGGGACTCCGCCTCCCCTGGCCTCCTTCCCAGGTGGTATCTGGAGGAGACACAAGTCCTAACTTCCACACTCCTCGGTTTCTTTTTAGGCAAACTTGGCTGATTTCAGAGCACTGGCCACCCCTGCCTGGACCCCTCAGCTCCGTGTCCCCAGGTCTCTGCCAGGCAGGAACACATGTCCAACGCCGCCGCCGCCTCCTGCAAGTGCTAAGGCCCCAGCCTGGACACTCAGCGCCCATCCTCCACAGGACAAAGCTCCAGCTTCCTGCAGGGCCCTCCTCTGCCTCCACATTTTTTTTTTTCCAGGCTGGAGTGCAGTGGCGCGATCTTGGCTCAATGCAAGCTCTGCCTCCCGGGTTCACACCATTCTCCTGCCTCAGCCTCCCAAGTAGCTGGGACTACAGGCACCAGCCACCACGCCCAGCTAATATTTTGTCTTTTTTTTTAGTAGAGACGGAGTTTCACCATGTTAGCCAGGGTGGTCTCGATCTCCTGACCTCGTGATCCGCCCTCCTCGGCCTCCCAAAGTGCTGGGATTACATGTCTCCACATTTTTTTTCACTGAGAAAGTCTGTTTTGAAATCTTTAAAACTAATGAATAAATTAATGATATGTTCCAGCTTCCAAAAGGACCAAGTTTCTAAATGGAGAAAATGGTGCCTTTGCAGCAAGAGCCAACCCCAAGGACCAAGTGCCCTAAAATGAATCTGCTGATGTTCAAAGGGCAGAAATGGGCTGGTCCTAAGGACCAGGCCACCCAGTGAAAGTGGGTCTCCAAGCGTGCCTCCTGCCACCCCGGTCTCAGAGGAGGCTGGCCACTCCTTCAAGGTGACCGTTCCTCAGAGGGTCTTGGTGCTCTCATCTGTAGAAAGAAACTGTCTCCAGCCCTCAGAAGTACTGTGAGGCAATGGGATGGGGGAGGCTACCAGGAGTCACTCAATTATCAAGCAAATGGGGTGGTCCCTGAAGAGGCAGAGAACTCCAGGTAGAGCCCAGAAGTCCCAGAAGAAGTCCAGGCACTTGCTGTGTGCTGATCAGGTGGGTGAGAGATGGGTCTCACGCTGGGCTCTGACCTTTCTTCTTCCCAAACCACCCACGAGCTGTTGGAAGTTGGGGCTGTGTCTCTGTCATGCCTGTACTCCTCTGGTGCCTACTGGGTGCCCAGTGAGTGATCAATGGATGCAAGAAGCAGCAAATACTGTTGGCTGCATCTGATATGTGGTTATCAAATATAAGGTTTCAAATGAACCTTTTAGGCCTAAGAGTCTTTTCTCAACAAATGATTCTTGAGGAGCTATTTTCACATTGTTCAAAAGGTTTATGTCTGCTCACCACTCAACAGGCAACGTCTGACATTTTAACTAACTGCTTCTTGTGGACTCATCCCTGGTGAGCACCCAGGTACCTACCACATAAACAGCTTGCAAGAGGTACTTGATGAATGAATGAATCCATCAATAAACAAAGGGGCTACATTGTAACAGGTGGCCTGCCAGTATGTCTCTTTCCTTAGACTGTGAGTTCCAGGAGGGCAGGAAGATTTTCGCATTTATTTTTTATTCCCTGGAGCAGGCAGGAAGGTCCCCGCATATTTCTTGAATGAACAAAGGGATGAATGAAGACACACTCGTACAAATAGATGCATTGCATCCTTCCTGTGGATCAAACCACCATGATCTCAACAAGCAGCACCTACGAAGCTCCTCTGACGATGAGAGCGGGACAGCTCCATCCTGTTGGCTGTACCAGGAAGCCCAGCCTGCTGCAGACTCATCCCATCACATACCTGTGTTTCTCAGAAACTTATCAGGAAGAAGGCAGTGTCTGTGACCTCAGCCCTTCTGCCAGGCGCTGCTGGCCCAGGTTCAGGGTCAGCTGCAATTCTCCCTCGGTGGGTGCCGACCTGCAGAGCTCTTGCCGCAGGTGTTATGCAAACAACTGGGGCCACCGCAGTGTGTGCATGGCCCTGCCTTGTACTCTGAGAGCTCGGCCCCTTGAAAGATACCCTTTGAACTATTGAAAGGGCACACTTCCAAGCAAAGGGTAGTGTTTGTGCTGACCATCCTCCCCCAGCAGTGTTAAGTCTTTCGGGGCAAGATGGTAAGATCCACAGAGGAGCCTAAGTGGAGGGAAGGACATGGTAAAGATGAAAGCTTTGGGGGGCTTGGTGTTGGGAGCTTGTGCATCTCCCCGGGAGAATATCTCGGTCCCATCTTGGATTTTGAGAAGCCGCACACTGCGTGTCTTCTCAGCTGCTTGCTGGCATCTGCGGAGCCAGCTTCAGAAAGAACACGTGGATTTAGGGACCAGGGGCCAGCCAGCCCACAGATACAGATGTTTCACCTCTAGAATCTCCAGATGTTGCACATCATTCTGCAGTTTCTCTTTCTGCAGCTCGCTCCTCCTGAGAAAAAGACTTAAAGAAGGCAAATAGCTCAACCATTACAGTCACATCAGCGGATATTCTCCACAACACCCCCTCCCCACATTTTTGCTGAGAAAGTCCATTTCAGAAACCTTTTACATTAATGACTAAATTGAGTATATATTCCAGTTTCCTAAAAGGACCAATTTCAAATATGCAAAATTCATAGGTTTTTTTAAAAAATGCTCTAAAGTGGTTGCATTTTACACAAATCACCTGTGCAAACAGCAGAGCACTCCATCTGCTTCTGTGTCTGACAGACACAGTGGGGCTCTAGGTCCCCACGCCACCCAGGGACTGCCACTCGGCCTCCCTGACGCTTGTGTCTCTCACCTCAATAGAGGAGGACAGAGCTCTCAGAGGCCACCATGAGGAGTCGGAAAAAGCATGGGTGGAAAGGTCAAATCAAGCATTTGGCCAGACAGGGCCTTGCTCCAAGGCACCTGCTTCAATGATGATCCATTGATATGTCAGAGCCGTTGTTCCTTCCTGCTCCAATGACCTGACTCCAAGAGCTGGGAAGGACCTTGGAAATTATCTGGCCTGCCTTCTCATATGGGGAAAGTAAGTCTCAGGCCAAGGGGCTTCTGTGGCTGACAGAATAATGTCCCCCCATCAAGGCATCCGTGTCCCAATCCCAAGAATCTGCGAATATGTCACCTTACATGGCAAAAGGGACTTTCCAGAGGTGATTACATTCAGGATTTTGAGCTGGGAGAGTATCCTGGGTTAGCCAAGCAGTCTCAACCATCTAATCACTGAGTCCATGTAAGCGGAGAACCTTTCCCAGCTGTGTCAGGAACAGACCTGATGATGGGTTGGAAGAGAATTGGAGGTCCTGCTGCATGGCTGGCTTTGAAGACGGAGGATGGGGCTATAAGCCAAGGAATTCAGATGGGTCTAGAAATTGGAAAAGTCAAGGAAACAGATGCTGCCCCTAGAACCCTAGAAGGAACACAGCCCTGTGGGTGCCTTCATTTTATCCCCTGGGACTCGGATCAGACTTCTGACCTCGAGAACAGCAAGGTGATACACATGTGTTGTTGTGGGCCACTGGGTGTGTGGTAATTTGTTGTGACAGTGACTGGAAACTCATTCAGCTTTCTAAGTAACAGAGCCCATGTGCGGTGAAGCCACGACCCTGTGGCCAGTTTCCTGACTCCCCATCTAGTGATTGGCACCCAGAGCCCTAGACTGGCTTTTTCTCCCAAAAGTTGGCTACAGATGGTGGTCGTAGCAGCTGGGTTCCCTCTCTTCCCTCTAGAAGATCAGAGCAAAAATGCTGTCACTGTCACTCCTGGCAACCATACCCAAGTATTCTTTCATTTGTTCATTATTCAGCAAATATTTCCTGAGCACCTACTCTGTGCCAGGTACTGTTCTAGGCACTGGGGATGCAGCTGTGAATGTCATGCTAAGTCCCCGCTTCCTGCAGGTCCCACTCAGAGATGCCTCTGGAGATGAACTGACCCCTTGAGGCACCCAGATGCTCCATCTCCTCTACAGATGAATGGATAAACAAAACGTGCTGTGTGCACACAATGGAATATTACTCAGCCATAAAAAAGGAATGATGCAATACAGGTTTCAACATGGAGGAACCTTGACAACATTATGCAAAGTGAGAGAAACCAGACACAAAAGACCACATATTGTGTGATTCCATTTATATGAAATGTCCAGAGTAGGCAGACCCATAGAGACAGAAGACAGCTTAGTAGTTACCAGGGGCTGGGAGGAGCAGGGAGATGGAGAGTGATTGCTCATGGGTTCAGGGTTTTCATCTGGGGTGATGAAAAAGTTTTGGAACCAGATGGTGGTGATGGTGAGCCAACAATGTTAATATATTTAATGCTACTGATGTGTACGCTTTAAAATGGCAAATTTTAGGTGATGTGTTGTTACCACAATACAAAAAAAAAAAAAAGGCAGTGAAGCTATGTGCACCTTTTGCTGGAGGCATTTGGCGAGTCCTGTCCTAACTGCAAGGAGGGGCCCGGGAGTCTTTGGGGCTCAGCAGAAGGTGCACACGCCTGCACGTCCAACGCCCCTGCTGAGGTCAGACCCTCTGTGCCTCACATCACATCTGCAAAGCGGGGAAACACGGCCTCCGCACGGTGGGTTGTAGAGCCCAGTAGGTGGCCTGCCAAGAGCCAGCCCCTGCCACCTTCTCGGAGGCTGCATCTTTGCAGGGCCACCTTCTAAAGGAGGCTGACCAAGCCCCTCACTCCCTGGCTTCCTGTGGCCTGCCCACTTGCACATTGTTGGGTCATGACTCACATTTGTTTATCATTTAAATTCAGCCTCTATGTGAATGTATCTCACAACAGATCCTGACCATGGAAGAATCAGAGGGGCAGCCGACATGCACAGTCACCCTGTAGGGAGAAGGAGAGAAGGAGAGACAGAGGAGAGGGGAGGGGAAGGGAGGGGAGGGAGTGTTCTGGATACCTGTCCAGATGCGTGGCTGCTCAGTCATGGGAGAAACAAGGGGAGAAGCATCTGAGATGACCCAGTGAATGCGGGGCACAGGCAGCTCTTCTCCTTTAGGGTCAAACCTCAGAGTTATTAAGACATCATTAAAACAATATACTTCACAATTTATCCAGCATCGAGCAGTGTTGGGTACAAACGCTTCCAGACTTTTTATTAACCAATTTAATCATTTGCCTGGAAGAAGGACCAAAACGTTAAAATGAAGTATAGCTTCAGTGACCAGCGAGGGGAAAATCTCCACCGACAATCTGCATGAAACCCTCTCGCTGGGGTTGGAGTGTTACCTTCACAAGGCATGAGTCCCTCCTTAGCCTGGGTTGGAGCAGACGGCTCCACCATTCAAAGAAGGGCAGGGTCACCCAACGGCGGCCGCCCAGACGGGCACCCTGGGACCACCCCGTCCAGGGTATCTGTGCAAGCTGATTGCTTTAAATAAAGTCAGCCGCTTTTCCAGCTAATGTAAGGATGGTGGGATCAATTGGGTACACAGAAACAGATTACCAAGCAGGTGGCTTCGGGCTAAAGATAAATTGTGTCCTCATGTAACTTGGGAAGAGTGGGTGCAGCAGCTCCTAGTGTGCAAAGCAAGATCGTTTAGTTACTTCTTTCTGCTGGGAAGCCCAGGCTGTGACTGTGGCTCCGAGAAGCCCCAGAAGACCCTCCCCTGATGGAAAAGGTTATTGTTGAAAAGCACTACCCAGAGCTCCAAATGGAATCAAGTTTTGGCTCCCGCAGAGCTGGTTTTCCCCAGCGGCGGGGTGGGGGACACAAGTCCCCGTGTGCCCCCTGCTTGCCTGGGCACACACCTCTGTGGGCAGAGGGCTCTCTCTGCTGGGGCTGAGAGGTCACATCCTGTTCCCAGCAGGCACCATTCCTGGGGGCCCACCCTTTCCTCCTTACCTGAGTTAACCTCCCCAGACGTCTGGCCTGGCAGGTTTGCCTAGGATGTTGGAAGCAACCTGCCCTCTGCATATTTCTGCTGCTTTCCATGTTTCTGCTATGCCTGGCCCTCGCCCACGCTGTGCACCCTCCAGGCATCCGCACTCTCCCTTACTTCTTTCTCCTTCTTTTTTTGGGGGGTTGGGGTGGGGGGAATAATTATAAATTCACAGGAAGTTGCAAAAATAGTACACAGAAGTCCCATGCACTCTTCACCCAGTTTCCCCCAAAAGTAGCATCTTGCATAACTATAGTTCAATATCAAAATCAGGAAACTGACCTCGGTGGAATCCACAGATCTTATTCAGATTTCACCAGTTTTACAAGCTGTCCTAGTCAGTGGGGGTTTCTGTAACAAATACTACAGATCATAGACATTTATTTCTCATAGATACGGAAGCTGGGGAGTCCGAGATCACAGGGCTGGCAGACTCAGTCCCTGCCCTCTCGCTGAGTCCCGGCACGCTGGAGAGAGACCATCTCTTCTTAAGTCTCTTCTCACTAATCTCATCATGAGGGCCCCACCCACAAGACCTCATCACCGCCCAAAGGCCCCACCTCCTAATACCATGCCTTGGGGGGTTAGGGCTTCAACACGAATTTTGGAAGAACGCAAACATTCGGTCCACAGCACATGTGTTCGTCATGTGCATGTGTGTATGTGTATATATTTTGTTCTATGCAATTTTCTCACATGGGTACATTTAGGAAAGCACAATCAGTTCCATCACCACAAGGATCCCTCTTGCAACCCCTTTATGTCACATCCATGCCCTTCTTCTCCCCAACCCCATCCCCATCCCCTGGTAAACAACAGTCTGTCTCCATCTCTGTAATTTTGTCATTTTGAGGCTGTGACACACAGCTTCTGGAGACGGGCCCCAAGGTCCATCCACGCTGGGCTTGTTCCCAGTTGGTTCCTTGCGGGAGCTGACCAGTATTCCCCAGCGCGGATGCACCACGGTTTAACTGTGCACCTGCCGAAGGGCCTTCCGGTTTCTGGCTTTGGGCTGTTGCAAATGAAGCCACTGTGAACATTGTGCACAGGTTTTGGTGTGAAGGAAAGTTTTCGTTTCTCTGGGAATAATTCCCAGGAATGTAATTGCTGGGTCACAAGGTAAGGCTATGCCTAGTTTCTAAAGAAACTGCCAAATTTTCCCAGAGTGGCTCTGCCATCTGACACTCCCACTGGCCATATATGAGAGACCCAGTTTCTCACCATCCTCACCGGCATTTGGTGTTATGACTGTGTTTATTGTTATGTTTTGTTTTTTGAGGAATACTAGTCAGGTATTCTGTAGAATGTCTCTCAAATTGAGGACATTTGATGATTTTCTCATGGTTGTCACTAGTTTTTATTTTCTTTTAGCCATTCTAATAGGCATATATTGATAACTCTCATGATTTTAATTTGCGTTTCCCTAACGGCTAATGCTGTCGCCCATTTTTTGTGAGCCTATTTGCCATCCGTATGTTCTCTTTAGAGAAATGTCTATGCATGCTTTTTGCCCATTTTCTAATTGGATTGTTTGTTTTATACCTTTGAGTTTTGAGAATTTGTTATTTTTCTAGCTATGAGTCCTTTGTCAGATATATGCTTTTCAGATATTTCCTCCAAGTCTGACTTGCCTTTTCATCCTCTGAACAGGGAACTTCACAGTGCAAGTGTTCTTAATGTCGATGGAGTCCAATGTCTGATTTTTTATTTTATGGATTGTGCTTTTGGTATCATGTCTAAGAACTCTCCACCAAGCCCTCAGTTTGCAAAGCTTTTCTCCTATGTTTTAAACAAAGTTGTGTAGTTTTACATTGAAATCTCTGATCTATCTTAGTGAATTTTTAGATAGGATGTGAGGTTTGCATAGGACGTGAAATTTAGATAGGACTTGAGGTTTAGATAGAATGTGAGGTTTAGATAGGATGCGAGGTTTAGATAGGATGCGAGGTTTAGGTAGGATGCGAGGTTTAGATAGGATGCGAGGTTTAGATAGGATGCGAGGTTTAGATAGGATGCATGGTTTAGATAGGATGCGAGGTTTAGGTAGGATGCGAGGTTTTGGTAGGATGCGTGGTTTAGATAGGATGCGTGGTTTAGATAGGATGCGTGGTTTAGATAGGATGCGAGGTTTAGACAGGATGCGTCGTTTAGACAGAATGCGAGGTTTAGGTAGGATGCGAGGTTTAGATAGGATGCGAGGTTTAGATAGGATGCGTGGTTTAGATAGAATGCGAGGTTTAGGTAGGATGCGAGGTTTTGGTAGGATGCGTGGTTTAGATAGGATGCGTGGTTTAGATAGAATGCGAGGTTTAGATAGGATGCGAGGTTTAGACAGGATGCGTCGTTTAGACAGAATGCGAGGTTTAGATAGAATGCGAGGTTTAGGTAGGATGCGAGGTTTAGATAGGATGCGAGGTTTAGACAGGATGGGAGGTTTAGATAGGATGCGTTGTTTAGGTAGGATGCGTGGTTTAGATAGGATGCGAGGTTTAGATAGGATGCGAGGTTTAGATAGGATGCGAGGTTTAGATAGGATGCGTTGTTTAGGTAGGATGCGAGGTTTAGGTAGGATGCGTGGTTTAGATAGGATGCGAGGTTTAGATAGGATGCGAGGTTTAGATAGGATGCGAGGTTTAGATAGGATGCATGGTTTAGATAGGATGCGAGGTTTAGACAGGATGCGTCGTTTAGACAGAATGCGAGGTTTAGGTAGGATGCGAGGTTTTGGTAGGATGCATGGTTTAGATAGGATGCGAGGTTTAGATAGGATGCGAGGTTTAGATAGGATGCGAGGTTTAGACAGGATGCGTCGTTTAGACAGAATGCGAGGTTTAGATAGAATGCGAGGTTTTGGTAGGATGCGAGGTTTAGATAGGATGCGAGGTTTAGATAGGATGCGAGGTTTAGGTAGGATGCGAGGTTTTGGTAGGATGCGTGGTTTAGATAGGATGCCTGGTTTAGATAGGATGCGAGGTTTAGATAGGATGCGTGGTTTAGATAGAATGCGAGGTTTAGGTAGGATGCGTGGTTTAGATAGGATGCGAGGTTTAGATAGGATGCGAGGTTTAGACAGGATGCGTCGTTTAGACAGAATGCGAGGTTTAGATAGAATGCGAGGTTTTGGTAGGATGCGAGGTTTAGATAGGATGCGAGGTTTAGATAGGATGCGAGGTTTAGATAGGATGCGTTGTTTAGGTAGGATGCGTCGTTTAGATAGGATGCGAGGTTTAGATAGGATGCCTGGTTTAGATAGGATGCGAGGTTTAGACAGGATGGGAGGTTTAGATAGGATTCGAGGTTTAGACAGGATGCGTCGTTTAGACAGAATGCGAGGTTTAGATAGAATGCGAGGTTTTGGTAGGATGCGTGGTTTAGATAGGATGCGAGGTTTAGATAGGATGCGAGGTTTAGACAGGATGGGAGGTTTAGATAGGATGCGTTGTTTAGGTAGGATGTGTGGTTTAGATAGGATGCGAGGTTTAGATAGGATGCGAGGTTTAGATAAACGATGCGTGGTTTAGATAGGATGCGAGGTTTAGATAGGATGCGAGGTTTAGATAGGACGTGAGGTTTGTTTTATGCCTGTGGCGTCCAATGCCCCCCACACCACTTGTAGAACTCCTCCCGTAGTTTTCATGCCTTCATCTTCTGCATCTTCCCACTCTAGGCTCAGAGACAGACCTGCATCTGTTCCCCAGAGCCCCCAGCTTTTCGCTCAGCCTGCCTCCTCAACTCCCACATGTCTCAGGAAGACACCACTGCCTCACAGGTAGCCCTCCATTCCTGGAGGCACCGTAGGCCCTTCACAAGTTGCTCTTCGTCCACTTGGTGCACCTTGAGGAGAGGACAAGGCTGTGTCTAGGAGTGCCATCCAGCCGCCCCTGCCCCTCATCCTCTGAGCCCACATCCTCAGACTCCATCTCTGACCCCAGCTTCCCATCCTCCCAGCTCTCTCACTGCAAACCTCCAGCCTCCGCAGGACCCTCCTTGGTGAACCCCTCTCCCCAGCCCCCGGCACCCCAAGGCCTTTCCTCTCCACTTCGTCCTGTGGATCCAATCATCCCTGTGGAAGGACGATGGGAAAATCTGCCTCTTGGGGCCTCAGATTTCCAGATCTAAGTTCCAGCTGCCAAGAGGACACAACACAGGGTTCTCAGAGCCGCCGCACCCTAATTTCATCTCCCCGCACTGCCCCCACCCCACAAACCCCCGGGAGCTCCATATGGTGAACGGCATGTCAGGGACGCTGCCTCCCAAGCAGCACCCTCCGGATGTCTCTGCTCCTGCCCTATGGACGGTGAGTCCATCCCAGGCGTGCTTCGAGTCCTCCACAGTCTCCCCCAACTCTACCTACTGCCCTGCATCGCTCTGTGCCCCTCTCCAGGCCTCAGCCTGTCCTGGACCTTCTGGTTCTGATGACCCTCGGCCTGCTGCCTTCCAGCCCATGCCTTGCACTGCAGCCAGAGTGCACTCCAGGTCTCCTCTCCTGCAATGAGGGTCCACCCCAGCGCCAAGTCCCAGACCCCACCTCCCACCACGCGATGCCCTGGGGGACTCGGCCTCCGCCCACCTCCCCAGCCGCCCCTCCCTCCAGTGTGTGTCCTTGCTTGCACCTGTGCCTCTCCTTTCTGGGACTCTACCCATTCCACCACCTCTTCCATTGGTCAGTCCTTATGCAGTCTCCAGGTCTCTGCTTTGAATTACATTTTCTCTGAAGCTTCTGCTCAGTGACCAGGTGTCCTGTGTCCCCACCAGGAACTGTTTCTTAACGTCTGTCTCAGGAGAAGGCTGTCAGATACATGAGGACTGGTCTCCTCCCTCTCCAGGCCTCAATTTCCCCCTCTGCTCCTCGAGGTCGGGGTCTGAGTTCTATCACACTCTGTATCTTGGTGGGTCTCAGAACCTGGTGCGGGGGTCGGGGGGTGTTGGGGAAACCTATGTTAAATGAGAGAAGATGGATAGAGAGAAAAACTCGAGACCAGAATAACGGGAGAGGGTGCAAACACAAGACAATTCCACTCAAACAGAGCCCAGCTGGAATCCTGGAGGAACCCTGGGTTCACAGGGAGGGGACAAACTAGATGGGATCCACAGCACACCCCGGGCACCCCAGATGAGGGCAAACAGGCCTCTCAGGGCCAGGAGGGATGATTCCTCTGGAGACTTCCAAGCCATGGCCCTCCCCTTCTCCCCGGGGCCAGGCACTGCTTGGGCAGGTGGCAAGGAGGTTTCCCTGTGCTCCCAGAACCTGACACAGGCCTGGCCCACGGGGAACCGTCAGGTGTAAGGAAGGGGCACTGCCCAATTGTAGAGGACAAGGGACAGGAGCAAGGCCTGCACAGAGCTGCATGGGGCTACAAATGGTCCCCTGGAAAGACGGGAGGCACTGGACTAGCAGGGGCGGCCTACGCAGGCGTTGTCATGGCCCATCTGGTGGTCCCTGGTCGGAGAAGCTGGGAAAGAGCAGCCCCTCCAGAAGGGCTTTTTTGACCTAAGGTGACATCAGTCGGCACCCTACAGATTCCCCCACTACCATCCTTCCCACCTCCAACAACCAACATCCAGCAGAAAACATCTGCCCAGACTTCTTAAGAGGGATGGAGACGAGCCATCTGTGGTAGACCACCACTCTCTGAGCTGGTCGTGTTCTCAAAATTGCCCTATCTCTAATGCTTGCCAGAGACAGTTACGGGGCCAGCCGCCCTGGGGTGGCTGTAAGCGGGAATGGCTGGGGCCTAAAACCCAGTAGCAGGAGCCCCGAGACCAGGCCACAGCAGCCAGGTGCCTGGGGAGGTGAGACAGCAACCCTGCCTGCCACGCCCTCCCCACGGGCTGCATGGGGAGCACATCCTCTGCCTCTTCTGGCACAGGGCGGTGGCTCCTGGTGAATTTCAGGGTTAGCATGGGCATAACATGCCACATGTGTGTACGTGGGTTTGGAGGTGAGGAGGGGGATTCCACCCCAGGGAACCACTGACCATCCATCTCTGTCCTGGTCAACAGGAAGGAGGCTGTTTGGGGGAGCTTCCCCGGGGGCTGTGGCCCTCACTTCCAGAACCGTGCCATGGCAGGGCTCTCCCAGGATGCAGGTGCCATGAGGGTCTCGATCCTCCTTTTAGAGAAGGGAAGGTGGGTGAGGCCAAGATCAGGAGAACATTGTTAGAACTGTCTGGTGTTGGGCGGAGGGTGGTAACCGTGGGCCCTTCACTGTCCTCTGTTCTGTGATCTGCTTTCGGAGGGCAGGACCAGCCATGTGATTCGTGGGGCTCTGTGCAAAATGGGAATGTGGGCTCCTTATCAGGAACTTCAAGATAGAGACAGCAGAACATCCAACCCCAAGAGCCGGGCCCTGTTGCACATCCAGGAAGCCGGCTCAGCTTGGGGGCCCCAAATATAAACTTGCCTCCCTGCCCAAAGAGATGGATGCCAGTTTACAAAAGTGGCCTCCTTTTGCTGTTGTATAAATTCACACATCACCCAAATGTTCTTCATCTAGAACCACCTCCTCCTGCCGACTTCAACTTGTGGGGTGCATTGAGCAGTGGATCTCCGCTCAGGGGCAATGTCAAGGGTTCTGGTCTCTCATCTCTCTCCTTTATAAAGTAGGGGTGCTGCACTCAACCAGGGCTGCTCCGCTCTGTGTGGACCAGGGCGGGGTCTGAGTCAGCATCACCCTGCCCGGTTCTGAGGGCAGGGCCTGGGGAGACCACGAGAGCCCACCCCGCCCTGACGCTGTCCTCCCATCCTTCTGGCCCTAACATTGAGTTCTGTTTCTCTTCCCTGGCATGGTGTTTTTAACAAGAATCCCACATCTTTGGACCAAACCCGGCTGTTACCCTGAAGGCCACCAATAAATTTCTTAGGCAAATAAAATTGACTGAAAATTAGCATAAGAAGTCTTAAATTAACAGGATGTAATTTTATGAGTATTTCACAAACTAGTCAAAGATGTATGTCAGCCCGGGGTGAGTCAACACTTTCAAGTGTCTTTCATTATATAATGCTGCTAATTTTTTTCAAATGTAAGCAATGTGCTTTCTTCCTAAACATCGTGTTCTTTGTTCTGCAATTTGGAAAAATAAATTCCCTTTAAAGCACTGCTTTGCTCAACCACAAAACAAGGTAGGGAGGCCAGATCAGAGGTGCCCTGGCCCCCCTCTGTCTAGATAGCCCCCAGCCACACAGTGGAGGCGCTTGCTTCCTGCAGAGGAGACTCCACACTCAGGGTCATGGGAGCTGGCACTGGAAAGCTTCCAGACGGAGGCTGCGCGCAAGGTGCTGACTCCTACGGTGACGGGCGTTAGCTGGGAAAAGGCGAGCACTCCCGCCTTCTGTCTGCAATGCAAGGCAGCACGCAGGATTCCCAGGGTCTCAGCCACAGGTGCAGGGCAGTGCATGTTCCACATCTGCTGAGCTCCTGCAGGCCCCAAGCTCTGTGCTAGGTGCTGGGGGTGCAGAGGCAGGTAAACCCCGGCCCCACCCCCAAGAGCTCACAGTCTAGGTTAGGAGACGAGCAGCTGGTAGCTGCCACATGTGATCAGGGTGGACAAGGGGGCCTGCCTGGACCACCTTGGAGCACACGAAGGAGGCCACTTCCAAGCCCACGGCCTGAGAAGGTTGCAGATGGGGCAAGCTTGAAGGACGTCTTAGAGCATGAGCCAGCACTCACTGGGGATGGAGGAGGTATGATGGAGTTGAGGGGACAAGGACCCTGCAAACAGAGCGGACCCCGGTTCACACCGATGCTTACCCTGAGCATCCCCCATGTACCAGGAAGACATGCGGTGGCAGCGTCCTTGGGCAGTGGCTGTCCTAGGTGCCCGGGTTACTGAGTGACACTCACGAAAGTGTGCTGGAAGATTCTGACTCAGCTCTGCAATGCCATATTTAGCTTGCCAAGGATGCGGGCTGGTGTGTGAAGTCTAGAGGTCAAAGGTGGTCCAAGGAGGAGACCCTCAGACGGTGGTGGGGGCTTGGGACCAGATGAAGTTCCCCAGGGCGATGCAGAGATGCAGGAAGAGCACCCAGAACAAAGCCCTTGGAAATCCAACCTCAGGGCCCAGGGGGAGGGTGGGCAGCAATGAGGCTGGAAAGGCGTGGCCAGTCTCAGGCAGGGAAGGACCAGGACCAGGACCAGAAGAAGGCAGGAGCTCAAGGAGGGAGGGAACAAGAAGCTGGGATCTGACAGCATGGAGACCATCAGGACCATGGCCACAGGACTCTGGAGTGTGGTGAGGAGGAGCCCCGTGGGTGTGGGCCAAGGAGGTGCTAGGGAACGAGGGAGTGGGCTGTTCCTTGTCTCATGTCTCCCTCCCTCTCCAACCATGATCCTGAGCCCTCATCTGTGCCCTGGGCCAAGTGCTGGGAACAGAGCAGTGAATTCAGTCCACTCAGTCTATGGCCCTTGGAGCTCCCAGGGCAGAGCAGCTAAGCCCTGTTGAATCCTGGTGTGATTGAGTAGCCATGACCAGGAGAACGTGGCCACCTTGGAGCCCACCCCACTGGCCTTGGGCCGGCCCGGGTCTGCATGTGGCTTCTACCATCTCACTGTCTTCCACTAGCAGACAGCATGAAGCGCCCACCAAAAGTGGCCAAGCTGAACAAGGAAGTCCCCTGGGCTGTGGGTTTTAGATTCGCAGAGGCCAAGCAAGAGGGAAGAACTGGGCCTCTTCCTGCCTCACCATCCACAGCTTGCCCACTCATCCCCCTGATCTGGTGCCCGTGGCACTGAGTGGAACCTCATGGCCCACTGTGAGCTGAGCTGCAGAGGACCCGCAGGGCTCCGCTCACACCACAAATCCTCTCTGTGCCTGCCCGCATAGTGTGCACAAAATGCCGGTCCATTCCAGCCCACCATTGGGCGTATCTGTACCCATCAGGTAAAGGAGCATGAGAGACATCTCCTGAGTACTGCGAAGGTCTGGGGGGACATACACTCCAATGAGAGAGGGGGGAAGTGCATCAGAAGTATCAGAGCCTCCTATGCCATGGAAACGGTCCCCCCTTCTTGTACAAACGTCCCATTAAAGGAGGGAAGTCCCTTCCCTGACAACAGGCAGCTTCCGGGGGACAGGCAGGAAGTGGGTTAGGAGCCACAGGCCTTGCATGCCGGCCGCACCTCTGCTTTTATCACACTGTGTGCTAAACAGTTTTTTCCTCCAGCCTCCTTGCCTCGGTTTCCCCTTCCGTGCAAAGCCAGGGGCATGACCTCTATGGGATTTGCCCACTCTAACCATTCCAGAGCACCCTGGAATCCACACAGGATGAGGACTGATAAATATCCGTGCCTTTGCTCTTGCCACTGAAATCTTAGCTGAACCTCTCTGCAGGACGTTCAGGTCCCATCGCCTTCACCCTAGTGGCCACTGTCACCCTCCATGAGGCCCTTTTGGGGCAGCAGACAGAGTGGAAGATCTTGTTCTGAAGTTCCGCAGCCAAGCAGGTGAGAACAGATTGGGGGACCTAAAACCCGATTCATCCCAAACCTTGCCAGCTGCAATGTCCTGTGCACCTGGCTGTGTGTGCTCAGGTGACTTCCATGTGCTTGCTGCCCAATGCCAGGGCCCTCCTGTGACAAAGACACCACCATCCACACCCAACAGAAGAGAAAGACAGGCCTTGCAGGAGCCAGCTGACCTGCTGTGGGACAGAGAAGCCTCCATCCAGACCCACTTGCTGATCTCACTCTTCAATTCTCCCTCTTAGCCCATGAGCTCAGGCCCCTGGGGGGACCTCTCAAATATGGAAATAAGGGGAACAAAACCTCCTTCTGAGAGTGTAGCATCAACCGAGTGCAGGAAGGTTTGGAGGGCAGAGATGCAGGTCACTGCATGGGTAAAGTTGGCACCCCCGTGGTTAAATGTTGACTCAAATCAGACTAGAGCAAGACTGTGTCATCGAAGCAAGCCTGGGTCACCTGGGGAGGTCCCAAGGAGGCAGACGGGAGGGACAGGCTGACAGCATCGGCCACCCCCATCTCGGGAGACCGAGCGGGTGGGTTTCTGGGGTGTGCAGTCAACATGAAACAGTCTCCAGGTGGCTCCCATCCCGTCACACCGGCAGGGCCGGACGCCGTGCTGCAGCCTGTGCAGTTCTCTCAGTCCAGGGCAAGTAAACAACAGCCTGCCTAGCTCCCCACCTTCACTCCGGCTCCATGCCAGCCCCAGGCCTGGCCCTAATGGGCCATCCCACGGACCCCCAGCTATGGAGAGTACGCGGGTCGTGCCCACACGCGTCCAGGCCACACGACAGGCTGTGCTGCCTGCTGAACATTAGCACGCTGGCACCTGGTTTTATGAACCTGGCGCTGAAGAGTCCACCTCTGAGGCACCAGGCGGGGTGCAAGCCAGGCCCTGGACATGGGAAATTCCTCAGGGCTGTGAGAGACAGCCTGGCAGCCTCCAGTCTCACCGTGGGCCGGAAACACTGGCTCCTAACCTGTTTTGTTGCAAGCTCACACAATTATGTCCTGTTCCCTTTTCCCTCTTATTCCTATTTTGGTGGTGGTCATTGTTGTTGTTGTTGTTGATTTTGTTTGAGACAGAGTCTTACTCTGTGGGCCAAGCTGGAGTGCAGTGGCATGATCTCAGCTCACTGCAACCTCTGACTTCTGGGTTCAAGTGATTCTCCTGCCTCTGCCTCCCAAGTAGCTGGGATTACAGGCGCCCGTCACCACATCCAGCTAATTTTTGTATTTTTAGTAGAGGCGGCATTTCACCATGTTGGCCAGGCTGGTCTCGAACTCCTCACCTCAGGTGATCTACCTGCCTCTGCCTCCCAAAGTGCTGGGATTACAAGCATGAGCCACCACACCCAGCCTCTTGTTCCTGTTGTGGATACTTCTGTCTTTGCAAGCCCCTATCACATTCAGCCTTCTCAGCACATGCCAGAGCAGACAGCAGCCGGGAGTGGGAGGGCACACCCTGACTTGGGTACATGAGACCTCGAATGGCCTGCCGTGCACAGAGGCTGAACAGGCTGCCTCCAGAGGAAAGGTGCTTCCCATATTTTTGAACCTGCAATTAGAAAACAGACTACAGCTATTTGAGGGGATACAGATATTGGGGTAGGAGTGGTAATAGGTGTTTCAATGGCCCCCAAAGGCCAGTATTGGTAAATCGGAGAATGTAGAGCCATTGGAGGATGCTGAACAGGGATGAATGCGTCTACTGGGGCTCCCATAACAAACTACCAGGCCGGGGGCTTAAACCACAGAGCTAGAAATCCAAGATCAGGGTATCAGTGGGCTGATTTCTTCTGAGTCCTCTCTCCTTGGCTTGTAGATACCGTCTTCTCTCTGTGTCCTCACGCGGTCTTCCCTCTGTGCCTGTGTGTGTCCTAATCTCCTCTTCTGATAAGGAAGACACCAGTCTATGGGATTAGGGTCCACCCTAAAGACCTGGTTTGAACTGATCACCTCTTAAAAACCCTGCCTCCAAACGCAATCCCATTCTGAGCCCCAAAGGTTTTAGGGATTCAACACAGGAATCTTTGGAAAGACACCATTTGGCCTGTAACAGGAGATGAAAGTTGTGTTTAAATAATTTGAAAACGAAGAAATGGAACATAAGGTTGAAAAATTGCCCTTCCCCGCAAGTCCTTTGTTCTGGGAGGGCTGGGAGCTGTGAGTGAGCTGGCTGGGAGAGCCGGCCCTGGCTGATTAAGAGGTACGAGCTCTCAGCAAGACACATCCAGTGATAAACGGGGATACACTGCATATCAAGTGCATTAATCTGCCCTGAAATCAGCCAAGTATTCATCATGATGATGCCATTTTTCCAGGAAAATGAAATAATTGCAGCCCAGGTGGGAGGACCTTAGTCATCACCTCATTATTCTGCCCTTAATACATCCTTAAGGGCCCTCGCTCAGCTTAGCACCCCCAGGCGGGATGAATTCCATGGCAATGGACACTCAAGAAGCCTCTTTTTCATGTCCAGGGACAGCGGGACTCTGACAGCTGAGAGCTGGTGGGCGGCTGTCTCAGTTCCCTTCTCTGGACAAGAGCTTCTCCAGTTTTCTGTATAACGACCCACTCCAACAGAGTGTCAGGGCAGTTGAAAAGTTGATCAGATCTTCTCACTCTCCAGCCTGTGGCCAGATCTTAGAACTTCTAAAGTTATGAAGAAGAGGATAACCAGGGCCGGGTTCCCCCGCTGAAGCTCTGCATTGGTCAGCTTGAGTGGGGCTACGCTCCAGAAACAGGCAGCCCCCAGAGTTCAGTGGTTTCCAACCACCTCTGTTGCTTTCTCACTCACCCCACAATCCATATTAGTGGCCCTGTTGTCCCTGCTCTGGATATGGGTGGTCCTCACAGTCCTCATCCCCACACTGCTGGCCTTGAGGCCGTGGAGAAGCACCCACTGGCTCTGGAAGCCGCTCCCTGAAAGTGAAACACAATGTACCCACCCACACGTCGTTGGCCGAGCCAAGTCCTGTGGCCAGCCTTGACGTCAACAGCATGGAGAATGTAATCTTCCTGCAGAGAGGAACAGCAGATAGTTGGAACAATATAACCACCTGCCACAGGCTGGAAGCTTGCCTCCCCCACCTTCCTCTCGCCCCCCAGGGAAGGTCCTTTCCGTAGAGTCCTCTGGGAGGGAACTGCACCCAGCCTGCTAGTTCCAGCATGGAGGAATGCCCACGGGGACACAGCTGAGGGTTAGGGACGCAGAGGTGGCTTTCTCAGAGCAGTCGCCCAGACCTCTGGAAGGAGCAGCGTCCGTGGAGACCAACCATCACATATCCTTTATTTATATATGTTTGAGATGTGCACTTAAGTTCAGACAGCTGAATTCACCCTACTCCTTACTCTATGGCACAACATTACCAATTGCCTATCATATTTTATGTCACCAATTCTCACCTTCTGTTCCCCATCCTCATCCCCACCATACTCGTGGGAAGGTTTCATATATGTTCTTGAATGGGTGTTTAACTTTGAAACACATGTAGCTTGTTTTTGTGTGTAAGTACTGCTTCCAATGTGAGTATGTTTTGTTGTGCCATCGAGCTCCTGCTTCTCACTTTTTTCATTCAACAATATGCCTTAAAAATCTGTCTGTGCTGCTTGTGGCTGTGTAGACTTCTAGTTCAGGGATTTTGACAATTTCACGGAATTCTGCACTGTGCATCTTCATTGTACTTACCCATGCCCCGGGGGTGGACACTTAAGTTGTCATCTCTGCAAAAGGAGCTGGGACAATGATGCCTTTGGTGTCCCCTGGCCCCTGGATCCGTGCTTGAGTTTCTCAGGGGCATGTTTTAAGGAGGGGGATTGTTGAGTCAAGAGCCACACAAAGTAACGTGTTAAGTGCAGCCAGATCACTATCAGCTGCTCCCAGCAACAATGAGTTAGGCTCCTGTTTCCTCACAGCTCGGTCAACATTAGTGTTACCCAACAATGTTTTGTTTTTTGCAAAATTGGTATCTTATTATTTTTGCATCTCCCTCCCAAATTGCTATTGAAATTGAGTATCACTTCACGTACTTGTTAGCTTTTCAGATTTCCCTTCTCCGAATTGCCCACTGTTTTCTGCAGGTCTCCCATCTCTTCCTCATTGATTTCTGACAGTCCCTTGTATGTTCTAGATAGTAATCCTTTATCAATGCCAGCGTTGTAAATAGCATATTACAGTCCGTAGCCCTCCATTAACTTTGAGTCTATTTTCTGCGGATGAAATATTTAATTCTGACTTAGTCAACCCCATTAGCATTTTATTCTATAGGCTGTGCTTTGTCAAAGACCCTATTTAAGAAGCCTCGCCTCCACCTGAAAATCACAGGGTATTCTGCACACTTCTAATTAATATTATAGTTTTATCCTCACACATAGTATTTTAATCCATTTATATTTAACCCATCCAGACTCTCTATGTGTGTGGTATGAGGTGTTAGGAAATCAATCTAATTCTCTCTCTGTACAGTGAGTCAGTTTTCCCTACATAGACAATAAAATAATGTATCCCCTCCCCTCTGGCTGGTGACTCCACCTCTATCACACACTATGTTTCCTGTGTGAAGGATACGGCTTTAAGCCCTCGATTCTGTTTTCATTACTATGATGTGGTAAGTGGAATTCTAAGATGCCCCCTAGAATGCATATGATCTCTTCTCCTTGAGCGCAAGGGCCCCCTGTGACCTCTGGAGGGGTATCCTCCTTTGATTAGGTGACTAATCGGGTGACTTGGAGTTAATAAAAAAAGGAGACAATCCCTGGAGCCTGCATCAGGTGAGCCCTGGGCCCTCCCTGAAAGACATTTGAGGTGTGAGAGGGCTCAGATGAGAGGAAGCATCCCCATGTTTGGCTTTTGGGTTTTGAAGATGAAGGGGCCACCTGGCAGGAATGCAGGCGACCTCCAGGAGCTGAGGGTCAGCAAGGAATGAGGGCCTCATCCCTACAGCCACAAGGAGCTCAATCCAGCCAGCATATGAATGGGCTGGGAAACGTGTTCTTCCCTGGGGCCATCACATAGGGTACAATAAATCCCTGGGGTCCTGAACCACCTAGGATGGAGGTGGCCAACACCTGCCGTATGAGGCATCCCTGGCCCTGCCTGACCGCAGAGAGCCAGCCGAGCTAGGCACTGGCTTTGCAAGACGTCTCCAGATCATGCAGGGTAAGTCCACTCCTCACCCCCAAAACATGTGCTCTTCTTTGTCAAAATAGACTTAGCAATTTGTGGACATTATGGCTTATATATATTTTAGAATGAGTTTGTCAAGTCCCTCAAAAAAATCCAGCTGGTATTTTGAACAAAATTACATGAAATTTATAGATTAATGTGGGAAGATTTGACATTTTTACAACTTAAAGCATCCATAAAAATGGTCTATCTCTCCATTTGTTCATGTTTTCTTTTATGTCCTTTTGATGTTTTCAATTTCATCTCTCCATTTTTATGTCTTCTTTTATGTCCTTTACGTTTTTTTAAAATTTTAATTTTTTTTTCCTCTATAAAGGTTTTCTGCATTTATTTCTGGCTTAATTTCTAGATACTTCATCATTTGGGTTCCTCTTGTGAATGTATCTCTTTTTCTATTATATTTCTAATTGGTTAATGCTGGTGTAGGGAAAGCCACTAATTTTAGTAAGTTGATCTTGTATTCAGCAATCTTGCTAAACTCTATTATTAGTTCCAATCAATTTTCTGTTCATTCTGTTGGGTTTCTATGTAGATGATATATAATCTGCGTGTGATGACAGCTGCGTCTCTTCCCTCCCTCTTCTCTTCCTATCTTTTCATTTTCTCATCTTATGGCACTAGCCAGAGCCTCTCGTGTTAGGTTGAATAGCTGCGGTGCTTCCGCTTGTCCTGTTTCCAACATTAAAGAGAATGAATTAAAGTTCATCTGCAGAGTAGTAGGTTTTCTACAAAGTTTTTAATATGCAAAGCTTTATTGCATTAAGGATATTCAGTTCCATTCAGAGTTTTCTGAGAAATTTAAAAAATCAGAAAGAGACGTTGAACTTCATCAAATCCTTTTCGGCATCTGTCAAGAGTTACTTTGCTCTGTTAGTCCGATAATATGGTAGATAAATTCATAGAATTTCTAATGTCAAATTGTTCTTACCCTCCTAGAATAAATCCAACTAGATTATTTTTAAACTACACAGTAGGGTTAATTAGCTAGTAGCTTATTTGGAATTTTGCATCTATTTTTATAAATGAAGTAGATCTATTTTTTTCTTATATTGGCCTAATCAGTATTTCGAATCAAGGTTATGTTAGCCTCATAAAATGAGTTGGGCAGATTTCCCTTACTTTCTACTTTCTAAAACAACTTCTCTGAAAGTATTTCATCTTTAAATATCTGGTAGAATCCTTATCTAAAGCTGTTTATGCCTGAAAATTTTTTGAGGGGAATATCTTTGCCATTTCCATTTCTAAAGAGCTCCAAGTCATTGTTATTCAATCTTCTCTATCTTTGCTTTATGTTTTTGATGGCTTGATCTGCCAATCTAACAGTTTCCAAGAGTTTTATTTTTAATAACAATTATAATTATTCACTTATCTAGTTTCCTCTATGGTTTCATTGGTTGCAGCTTCATGTATTTCATTGTTACTTTTTTGGGAGAACATATGTTCACGGTTATTTTTTTCCATAATACTCTTTTCATTGAGGCATAATTTACATATAACAAAATGCACAGATTATACGTGTACGGTATAATGTGTTTTGACAAATGTGTACACTCATGTGCCCAACTCCCAAATCAAGATGTAGAGCATTTTTATCAACCAAGATAGCTGCCACATGCCCACCCTGGCCACCGTTCTGACTTCACTCCCATAGCTGAGTTTGCCTGCAGCAGAACGTCATGTGAATGGAATTGTGAGGCGTGTGCTCATCTCGGCACAATGCTTAGGATATTCATTCATGTTGTTGCACATATCACTCATACATCCCTTTCTGCTGCAAAGTAGTTTCCCACTATATGAACAGAACACAATTTTATGAGCCATTTTCCTGTTGATGGACATTTGGGTTGTTTCTAGTTTTTAGCTACTATGAATAAAACTGCTATGCATAATTTTATACAAGTATTTTATGGATTCATGTTTTCATTTCTCTCAGGCAAATACCTAAGAGTGGGATTGCTTGATGATTGACTAAGTATATATTTACTTCTTTAAGATTGCCAAATAATTTTTCAAAGTGGTTGTGGCATTTGACACTTTAACAGCAAGTTATGAGAATCCCCACGGTTCCATACCCTCATCAGCACTTGGTATTTTCAGTTTTCAAGTTTAGCCATTCTGTGGGAATGAAATGGATTCTCATTGCAGTGTTAAATTGCATTTCTCTGATGACTAATAATGCTAAGTACCTTTTCATGTACTTATTGGCCATTTTATATATTCTTTTGTAAAGTATCTATGCAATTCTTTTTCTCATTTTTTATAGGACTACCTTTTTAGTTTTGATTTGTAGGAGCTCTGTACATATTCTGAATATAAGTTATTCTTCAAATATAGGTACTAAAAATATTTTCTCTTAATCAGTTGATTGTATTTTCACTTTAGTAAAAGAGCCTTTTAATGAGCAGAAATCTTTTATTTTATGAAGTCCAGTTTGTAATTTTTTTCTTTCATGCTTATCATTTTTGAATCCTCTCTGAAAAGTATATTCTCCAGTGATTTAACGTTTAATTTTAGGTCTACGATCTACATCAAAATAATTTTTATATGTCATTGGAGTCAAGATTCATTTTTTTTTCCATATGGATATCCAGTTGTTCCAGTATTGTTTGTTGAAAAGTTTCCTTTCCCGATTGAATTACACTGGAACTTTCATCACATACCAATTGACTAGATACATGTGGGTGTGTTTCTAGGCTCTGGATTCTGTCACATTGATTTAGCTGTGTAACAACATACCGCTCCCCTTTGTCCCTTCTTTTGCTTTTCCAGGTTTCAGTGACCCATGGCCTGAAAATATTAAATGGGAAATTCCAGAAATAAACAATTCATAAGTTTAAAATTGGTGGCAGGATGAAATCTCCTGCTCTCCCACCCCATCCTTTGCCCAGCCTATCCGTGGTGTCTGTACCACCGCCCATTAGTCACTTAGCGGCCATCTCAACTATCAGATCGATTGTCCCCATATCACACTGCTTGTGTTCAAATAACCCTTATTTTACCTGATAAAGGCCCTGAAGCACAAGAGTAGTGATGCTGGTATATTCTTATAATTGTTCTATTTTAGGATCAATTATTTTTGTTAATCTCTTACTGTGCCTAATTTGTAAGTTAAACTTCCTTATGGGTACGCATGTACAAGAAAAAAACAGAGTACGTATAGGGTTTGGTACCATCCATGGTTTCAGGCACCCACTGGGGGTCTTGGAACGTATTCCCTGTGGATAAAGGGGGATGATGGTCTCATACTAAAATAATTACTGTTGCTTTACAGTAATGCTTGAAGTCAAATAGTCCAAGTCAGAAACAGTATTTATCTTTAGCATGCTTGTGGTGGCTATTCTAGGTCCTTATATTTCCATGTAATTTCTTGAACAGCTTTATTAAGATATAACAATTGGCATACAATAAACATTGTTTATTGTATCTTTTTTTATTATTTATTTATTTTGAGATGGAGTCTTGCTCTGTAGCTCAGGCTGGAGTGCAGTGGTGCAATCTCGGCTCACTGCAGCCTCCACTTCCCCGGTTTGCACCATTCTCCTGCCTCAACCTCCCAAGTAGCTGGCACTACAGGCGCCCACCACCACGCCTGGCTAATTTTTTGTATTTTTAGTAGAGACGGGGTTTCACCGTGTCAGCCAGGATGGTCTTGATCTCCTGATCTCGTGATCCGCCTGCCTCAGCCTCCTAAAGTGCTGGGATTACAGGCGCGAGCCACCACGCCCAGCCTGTTTATTGTATCTTAAGTGTACAGTTTGGTAAGATCCAACATATCTATACAACTGTGAAACCATCACCCTTATCAGGATAGTGAATGTATCCATCAGCCTCAAAAGTTTTCAAGTGCCTCTTTCTAATCCCTATTTTTCTCCCTCCTGTTTTCTCTAGGCAAACACCGATCTGCTTTCTATGCTACATATTAGTTTGTCTTTTTAGAGTTTATATAAATTGAATCATACTGTCTCTCTTTTTTTGGTCTGATCTCTCTCACCCAGTTATTTTGAGATCCACACATGTTGTTGAGTGTATCAATAGTTCATTCCTTTTATTGCTGAGTAATATTCCATTATATGCCTGTAATAAAATTTACTTATTCACTGGTTGGTGGAGATTTGGGTTGTTTCCCAGGTGAGGATATTATAAATAAAACTGCTATGAGCATTGACATACTCATGCTTTTGCATTCTGTTGACATATGCTTTCTGCTATGGTTTGAATATTTATGTCCTCTCAAAATTCCTATGTTGAAATGCTATTCCCCAAGGTGATGGTATTAGGAGGTGGGGCCTGTAGAAAGTGATTATGTCATGAGGATGGGGCCCTCATCATGGGATTAGCACCCTTACGAAGGAAGCCAGAGAGAGTTCCCTCACTCCTTTCATCATGTGAGGACAGGAAGGTGGCATCTATGAGGAAGAGAGCTCTCCCCAGGCACCACATCTGCCAGCTTCTTCTTCTTGGACTTCCCAGCCTCCAGAGCAGTGAGAAATAAATGCTTGTTTATAAGTCACCCAGTTTGTGTTATTTTATTACATCAGCCCAAGTGAACTAGACACTTTCTCTTGGACAAATACCTCAGGTTGGAATGGCTGATACATAGGGTTGGTGTATGTTTAGCTTTTTAGGGAACTGGAAAACTGTTCTACAAAGTGATTACACCATTTTACATTCCCACTGGCAGTGGACAGGAGTTCCAGTGGCTCCACATTCTTGCCAACACTTGGCATGATCCATCTTTTTAGCTGTAGCCATTCTAGTGGGTATGCAGTGGTATCGCATTGTGGTTTTAATTTGTAGTTCACTAATGATTAATCATGTTGGGCATATTTTCATGTGCTTATTTGCTATCTATATGTCTTCTTTGATTGAGTATATGTTCAAATATTTTGTCCATTAAAAAATTAGGTTTTCTTATAATTGGGTTTTGAGAGCTCTTTATGTACACTAGATAAAAGTTCTTTATCAGATATATGCCTTAAAAATATTTTCTCCCTGTCTGTGGCTTGTCTTGATTTACCTAATGGCACCTTTTGAAGAACAGCAGTTTTTACTTTTAATGAAGCACAATTTATCTATTTGTCCTTTTATGGATCATGTTTTTAATGTCACATCTAAGAAATCTTTGCCTAACTCAAGGTCACAAAAATTTTCTCCTATATTTTCTTTTAGAAGCTTTATGGCCTTGGGTTTTACATTCAGGTCTAGGATCCACTTTGAGTTCACTTTTTGTATATAATGCAAGTTATGGATCAAAGTGTAATTTATGAGATATAGATACCCAATAGATCCAGCACCATTCGTTGAAAATGCCGTTTTCCATTCCCTCACTTTTGCACCTTTGTTGAAAGTCAAGTTTGTATGCCTTTGTGGCTCTAATTCTGAGCTCCTGATTCTCGTTCACTTAACCTATTTGTCTATCTTGCAGTCAATATGACATGATAGCTTTTTTTTTCACAGCTTTTTAATAAGCCTTGAAATCAGGAAGAGCCAGCCCTCCAACTATATTTTTTAAGTTGTTTTGGCTATTTTAGCTTCTCTGCATTTCCATATAGATTTTAGAATCCGCTTTTCAATTTCTAACAAAAAAGTCTGCTGGAATTTTGATTGGGATTGCATTGAATCTACAGATCAATTTGTGGCGAATTCAAATTTTAACAATTTTGAGTTTTCTGATCCATGAACAAGGGGATACTGCTCCTTCAGAGTCTCCAATTACATGTACACGAGTGCTTGAAGTTGTCCCATAGCACATGGATGCCTTTTCCATCTAAATCTTTCCTCTGTGTGTTTCATTTGGGTATTTTCTATCGCCGTATCTGAAAGTTCACTCTTCTTTTCTTCTGCAATGTCTAATATGCTGTTAATCCAATTCAGAATATTTTTCATCATGGACAGTGTAGTTTTCATCTCTGGGTGTTTCATTGGGTCTTTTTTATATTCTCCATGACTGTATTTACCTTTGGAACATAATGAATATAGTTATCATGGTGACTTCAGTGTCCTCGTCTTTTGATTTTAACATCTGTGAAATTTCTGGGTTTGTTTCAATTGATCATTCTCCTCATTATGGGACTTATTTCGCTGCTTCTTTGCATGCCTGGGAATCTTTGATTGGATTGCAGACATTGTGGATTTTACAGTTAGGTACTGGATTTCTATGCATATTCTTGTGCTGTGCCCTGAGATGCAGTTAAATCGCTTAAAAATAGTTTGATCTTTTGGGCCTTCTCTCTAGGATTTGATAGACAAGACCAGCAAAGTGTTTGATCTAGGGCCAGGGCTGGTACAAAGGTAAAGAAAGTTAGGTGCCTATGGTACAAAATTTAGGGAGACACCTGTTCTCAGAGTCATACGAGGGCAGGGTCCTCCTTAAATTTTTGTGCCAGAGAGATCTCATTTGCCTCATCCTAGTTCTGGCTCTGATTAGGCCTAATTATTTTTCATTACTGAAGCAAACCCTTTATTTGACCCAAAGCTCCCTAAATTAAGAGGTTTTCCCGCCTGGCTGTTGGAACAGGCAATATTCCTGGCCCTGTGTGAGCAGCAGGCATGGTTACTTCTAATCTGTTCAAGTCATTCTCTCCTCGGCCTTGCATAGTTTTCTCACATAAATAGGCAGATCAGCAGTCAACGGAATTTTCCAGGGGTGCCTCTGCTGATATCTGGGGCTCCTTCTCTGTACCACTTTCTCCTCCCTGGTACTCTACCCAGTGAATTCCAGCTGCCTTTGTCTCCCTGGACCCTCACCTTGAAATCCTCAATTCAGGGAGTCTTCCCTGCTCTGTCTGGGCTCCCCATTACCGCACCACAGCCTGCAAATTCTCTGCAGGCAATAACCTGGGGTAATCGGAGAGATTACCTCATGCATTTCCCATCTCTCAAGGATCACTGTCCTTCATCAAGGGTCTTGAAAAAAGTCATTTTGGGTGTTTTGTCTTCTTAAAAAATTTGTTGTTTCAGATCAAACAATCTGTTCCCTGTTACTTAATCTTAACAGGGAGGAATCTAAAGCTGGAAGTAGAAGCCTATTTCTACATACATTTACAACTCAGCTTATCCATTTCTATAAGAAAGCCTACTGGGGTATTGATTGAATTGCGATTGTGTTGACTCTGTTGATCAAAGCCTCCTGGTGCGAATTATCATCTTAATAAGACCAAGTCTCCCCATGTGTGAACATGGCTCCCTATTTCTTGGAATCTTCTATAAAGACTACATTATTTTGAATTTTCAGCTTTTTAAATCTTCCCTAAAAAGTTAATTTTTATATTGGCTTAAGTAGTATTATGTTTGGATTCCTTTTTCCAACTGTTTTTTGGCTAGTGTATAGAAAGAAATTGATTTTAGTATACTGACCTTGGATCCTGAAACCTTGCTAAATTAGCTTATTATTTCTAGCAAGGTTTTGTTTTTGTAGATTTCTTAGTTTTTCATATACACAATCATGTCCTCTGAGAATAAACAGAGTGCACTCTTCTTCTTCCTTTCCAATTTTTTTTTTTTTTTTTGAGACTGAGTCTTGCTCTGTTGCTCAGGCTCGAGTGCAATGGTGCGATCTCAGCTCACTGCAACCTCTGCCTCCGGGGTTCAAGTGATTCTCCTGCCTCAGCCTCCCAAGTCGCTGGGATTACAGGCATGCGTCACCACGCCCAGCTAATTCTTGTTTTAGTAGAGAAGGGGTTTCACCACGTTGGCCAAGCTGGCCTCAAACACCTGACTTCAGGTGATCCGCCCACCTCAGCCTCCCAAAGTGCTGGGATTACAGGTGTAAGCCACCGCAACTGGCTAATTTTGCCTTGGTCTGTTAGGACCCTCATCTTGAAATCCTCCATTCGGGGAGTGTGTCTCACTCTGCCAGGGCTCCCCAGTACTGCGCCACAGCTTGCAAACTCTCTCCAGGCAATAAACTGGGGCAATTGTAGAGATCACCTCACATGTTTCAGAACGATGAGAAATAGATGGATTGAAAGTGAAAGTTCTTGTCTTATTTATGATCTGGACTAGGCTTCCACCATTAAGGATGATGCTAACTGTAGGTTTCTGATACCATCTCTTTATTAGTGAGAGGAAATTCTCTTACATTACTAGTTTACTGAGATGTTTCTTTTTAATTTTAAATCATAGATAAGCATTAAATATCATAATTTTTTTCTGTATTTATCAAAATGATTATATGATTTTTCTCCTTAATCTGTTAATGTGACAACTTAAATTGAATTATTTTTTCAAATGTTGAACCAAACTCATATTTCTGAGATAAACTTAACCTGGTCATTATGTATTATTATTTTACATACTGTTGGATTTGATTTACTAATGTTTTCTTAAGAAATTTTGCATTGGGAGGAGCCAAGATGGCCGAATAGGAACAGCTCCGGTCTACAGCTCCCAGCGTGAGCGACGCAGAAGACGGGTGATTTCTGCATTTCCATCTGAGGTAGCGGGTTCATCTCACTAGGGAGTGCCAGACAGTGGGCACAGGTCAGTGGGTGTGTGCACCGTGCGCGAGCCAAAGCAGGGCAAGGCATTGCCTCACTCGGGAAGCGCAAGGGGTCAGGGAGTTCCCTTTCTGAGTCAAAGAAAGGGGTGACGGACGCACCTGGATAATCGGGTCACTCCCACCCGAATATTGCGCTTTTCGGACTGGCTTAAAAAACGGCGCACCACGAGATTATATCCCGCACCTGGCTCGGAGGGTCCTACGCCCACGGTGTCTCGCTGATTGCTAGCACAGCAGTCTGAGATCAAACTGCAAGGCGGCAGCGAGGCCGGGGGAGGGGCGCCCGCCATTGCCCAGGCTTGCTTAGGTAAACAAAGCAGCCTGAAGCTCGAACTGGGTGGAGCCCACCACAGCTCAAGGAGGCCTGCCTGCCTCTGTAGGCTCCACCTCTGGGGGCAGGGCACAGACAAACAAAAAGACAGCAGTAACCTCTGCAGACTTAAATGTCCCTGTCTGATAGCTTTGAAGAGAGCAGTGGTTCTCCCAGCATGCAGCTGGAGATCTGAGAACCGGCAGACTGCCTCCTCAAGTGGGTCCCTGACCCCTGACCCCCGAGCAGCCTAACTGGGAGGCACCCCCCAGCAGGGGCACACTGACACCTCACACGGCAGGGTATTCCAACAGACCTGCAGCTGAGGGTCCTGTCTGTTAGAAGGAAAACTAACAAACAGAAAGGACATCCACACCAAAAACCCATCTGTACATCACCATCATCAAAGACCAAAAGTAGATAAAACCACAAAGATGGGGAAAAAACAGAACAGAAAAACTGGAAACTCTAAAATGCAGAGCGCCTCTCCTCTTCCAAAGGAACACAGTTCCTCACCAGCAACGGAACAAAGCTGGATGGAGAATGACTTTGACGAGCTGAGAGAAGAAGGCTTCAGACGATCAAATTACTCTGAGCTACGGGAGGACATTCAAACCAAAGGCAAAGAAGTTGAAAACTTTGAAAAAAAATTAGAAGAATGTATAACTAGAATAACCAATACAGAGAAGTGCTTAAAGGAGCTGATGGAGCTGAAAACCAAGGCTCGAGAACTACGTGAAGAATGCAGAAGCCTCAGGAGCCAATGCGATCAACTGGAAGAAAAGGTATCAGCAATGGAAGATGAAATGAATGAAATGAAGTGAGAAGGGAAGTTTAGAGAAAAAAGAATAAAAAGAAATGAGCAAAGCCTCCAAGAAATATGGGACTATGTAAAAAGACCAAATCTACGTCTGATCGGTGTACCTGAAAGTGATGAGAAGAATGGAACCAAGTTGGAAACCACTCTGCAGGATATTATCCAGGAGAACTTCCCCAATCTAGCAAGGTAGGCCAACATTCAGATTCAGGAAATACAGAGAACGCCACAAAGATACTCCTCGAGAAGAGCAACTCCAAGACACATAATTGTCAGATTCACCAAAGTTGAAATGAAGGAAAAATTGTCAAGGGCAGCCAGAGAGAAAGGTCAGGTTACCCTCAAAGGGAAGCCCATCAGACTAACAGCGGATCTCTCGGCAGAAACCCTACAGGCCAGAAGAGAGTGGGGGCCAATATTCAACATTCTTAAAGAAAAGAATTTTCAACCCAGAATTTCATATCCAGCCAAACTAAGCTTCATAAGTGAAGGAGAAATAAAATACTTTACAGACAAGCAAATGCTGAGAGACTTTGTCACCACCAGGCCTGCCCTAAAAGAGCTCCTGAAGGAAGCGCTAAACATGGAAAGGAACAACCGGTACCAGCCGCTGCAAGATCATGCAAAAATGTAAAGACCATCGAGACTAGGAAGAAACTGCATCAACTAATGAGCAAAATCACCAGCTAACATCATAATGACAGGATCAAATTCACACATAACAATATTAACTTTAAATGTAAATGGACTAAATGCTCCAATTAAAAGACACAGACTGGCAAATTGGATAAAGAGTCAAGACCCATCAGTGTGCTGTATTCAGGAAACCCATCTCATGTGCAGAGACACACATAGGCTCAAAATAAAAGGATGGAGGAAGATCTACCAAGCAAATGGAAAACAAAAAAAGGCAGGGGTTGCAATCCTAGTCTCTGATAAAACAGACTTTAAACCAACAAAGAGCAAAAGAGACAAAGAAGGCCATTACATAATGGTAAAGGGATCAATTCAACAAGAAGAGCTAACTATCCTAAATATATATGCACCCAATACAGGAGCACCCAGATTCATAAAGCAAGTCCTGAGTGACCTACAAAGAGACTTAGACTCCCACACATTAATAATGGGAGACTTTAACACCCCACTGTCAACATTAGACAGATCAATGAGACAGAAAGTCAACAAGGATACCCAGGAATTGAACTCAGCTCTGCACCAAGCAGACCTAATAGACATCTACAGAACTCTCCACCCAAAATCAACAGAATATACATTTTTTTCAGCACCACACCACACCTATTCCAAAATTGACCACATACTTGGAAGTAAAGCTCTCCTCAGCAAATGTAAAAGAACAGAGATTATAACAAACTATCTCTCAGACCACAGTGCAATCAAACTAGAACTCAGGATTAAGAATCTCACTCAAAACCGCTCAACTATATGGAAACTGAACAACCTGCTCCTGAATGACTACTGGATACATAATGACATGAAGGCAGAAATAAAGATGTTCTTTGAAACCAACGAGAACAAAGACACAACATACCAGAATCTCTGGGATGCATTCAAAGCAGTGTGTAGAGGGAAATTTATAGCACTAAATGCCCACAAGAGGAAGCAGGAAAGATCCAAAATTGACACCCTGACATCACAATTAAAAGAACTAGAAAAGCAAGAGCAAACACATTCAAAAGCTAGCAGAAGGCAAGAAATAACTAAAATCAGAGCAGAACTGAAGGAAATAGAGACACAAAAAACCCTTCAAAAAATTAATGAATCCAGGAGCTGGTTTTTTGAAAGGATCAACAAAATTGATAGACCGCTAGCAAGACTAATAAAGAAAAAAAGAGAGAAGAATCAAATAGACGCAATAAAAAATGATAAAGGGGATATCACCACCGATCCCACAGAAATACAAACTAGCATCAGAGAATACTACAAACACCTCTACGCAAATAAACTAGAAAATCTAGAAGAAATGGATAAATTCCTCGACACATACACTCTCCCAAGACTAAACCAGGAAGAAGTTGAATCTCTGAATAGGCCAATAACAGGAGCTGAAATTGTGGCAATAATCAATAGTTTACCAACCAAAAAGAGTACAGGACCAGATGGATTCACAGCCGAATTCTACCAGAGGTACAAGGAGGAACTGGTACCATTCCTTCTGAAACTATTCCAATCAATAGAAAAAGAGGGAATCCTCCCTAACTCATTTTATGAGGCCAGCATCATTCTGATACCAAAGCCGGGCAGAGACACAACCAAAAAAGAGAATTTTAGACCAATATCCTTGAGGAACATTGATGCAAAAATCCTCAATAAAATACCGGCAAAACGAATCCAGCAGCACATCAAAAAGCTTATCCACCATGATCAAGTGGGCTTCATCCCTGGGATGCAAGGCTGGTTCAATATATGCAAATCAATAAATGTAATCCAGCATATAAACAGAGCCAAAGACAAAAACCACATGATTATCTCAATAGATGCAGAAAAAGCCTTTGACAAAATTCAACAACCCTTCATGCTAAAAACTCTCAATAAATTAGGTATTGATGGGACATATTTCAAAATAATAAGAGCTATCTATGACAAACCCACAGCCAATATCATACTGAATGGGCAAAAACTGGAAGCATTCCCTTTGAAAACTGAAACAAGACAGGGATGCCCTCTCTCACCACTCCTATTCAACATAGTGTTGGAAGTTCTGGCCAGGGCAATTAGGCAGGAGAAGGAAATAAAGGGTATTCAATTAGGAAAAGAGAAAGTCAAATTGTCCCTGTTTGCAGACGACATGATTGTATATCTGGAAAACCCCATTGTCTCAGCCCAAAATCTCCTTAAGCTGATAAGCAACTTCAGCAAAGTCTCAGGATACAAAATCAATGTACAAAAATCACAAGCATTCTTATACACCAACAACAGACAAACAGAGAGCCAAATCATGAGTGAACTCCCATTCACAATTGCTTCAAAGAGAATAAAATACCTAGGAATCCAACTTACAAGGGATGTGAAGGACCTCTTCAAGGAGAACTACAAACCACTGCTCAAGGAAATAAAAGAGGATACAAACAAATGGAAGAACATTCCATGCTCATGGGTAGGAAGAATCAACATCGTGAAAATGGCCATACTGCCCAAGGTAATTTACAGATTCAATGCCATCCCCATCAAGCTACCAATGACTTTCTTCACAGAATTGGAAAAAACTACTTTAAAGTTCATATGGAACCAAAAAAGAGCCTGCATTGCCAAGGCAATCCTAAGCCAAAAGAACAAAGCTGGAGGCAACACACTACCTGACTTCAAACTATACCACAAGGCTACAGTAACCAAAACAGCATGGTACTGGTACCAAAACAGAGATATAGATCAATGGAACAGAACAGAGCCCTCAGAAATAACACCTCATATCTACAACTATCTGATCTTTGACAAACCTGAGAAAAACAAGCAATGGGGAAAGGATTCCCTATTTAATAAATGGTGCTGGGAAAACTGGCTAGCCATATGTAGAAAGCTGAAACTGGATCCCTTCCTTACACTTTATACAAAAATCAATTCAAGATGGATTAAAGACTTAAACGTTAGACCTAAAACCATAAAAACCCTAGAAGAAAACCTAGGCATTACCATTCAGGACATAGGCATGGGCAAGGACTTCATGTCCAAAACACCAAAAGCAATGGCAACAAAAGACAAAATTGACAAATGGGATCTAATTAAACTAAAGAGCTTCTGCACAGCAAAAGAAACTACCATCAGAGTGAACAGGAAACCTACAAAATGGGAGAAAATTTTCGCAACCTACTCATCTGACAAAGGGCTAATATCCAGAATCTACAATGAACTCAAACAAATTTACAAGAAAAAAACAAACAACCCCATCAAAAAGTGGGCGAAGGACATGAACAGACACTTCTCAAAAGAAGACATTTATGCAGCCAAAAAACACATGAAAAAATGCTCACCATCACTGGCCATCAGAGAAATGCAAATCAAAACCACAATGAGATACCATCTCACACCAGTTAGAATGGCAATCATTAAAAAGTCAGGAAACAACAGGTGCTGGAGAGGATGTGGAGAAATAGGAACACTTTTACACTGTTGGTGGGACTGTAAACTAGTTCAACCATTGTGGAAGTCAGTGTGGCGATTCCTCAGGGATCTAGAACTAGAAATACCATTTGACCCAGCCATCCCATTACTGGGTATATATCCAAAGGACTATAAATCGTGCTGCTATAAAGACACATGCACACGTATGTTTATTGCAGCATTATTCACAATAGCAAAGACTTGGAACCAACCCAAATGTCCAACAATGATAGACTGGATTAAGAAAATGTGGCACATATACACCATGGAATACTATGCAGCCATAAAAAATGATGAGTTCATGTCCTTTGTAGGGACATGGATGAAATTGGAAATCATCATTCTCAGTAAACTATCGCAAGAACAAAAAACCAAACACCGCATATTCTCACTCACAGGTGGGAATTGAACAGTGAGATCACATGGACACAGGAAGGGGAATATCACACTCTGGAGACTGTGGTGGGGTGGGGGGAGGGGGGAGGGATAGCATTGGGAGATATACCTAATGCTAGATGACGAGTTAGTGGGTGCAGCGCACCAGCGTGGCACATGTTTAAATATGTAACTAACCTGCACAATGTGCACATGTACCCTAAAACTTAAAGTATAATAAAAAAAAAAAAGAAATTTTGCATCAATTTCCTGAGCAATATTGATCTATAATTTTCTCTTTCTTATAATCCCTTTTCAGATTTTGGTATTAGCTTTACACTGACCTCATAAAATGAGCTGAGAAATTTTCATTCCTATTTTTGAAAAAAGTTTGTATAACATTGGTATTATTTTCCCCTTAAATGTTTGATAGAAATAAAAATTGCAGCCATCTGGGCCTGGAGTTTTCTTTGTGGGCTCTAAATTATAATTCAAGCTCCATGATAGATAAAGATAGGGATTTTCATCTTTTCTGTTTCTTCTTGTCTTCATTTCAGTAAGTTGGGTTTTCCAAGGGAATTTTCCATTTCATATAAATTGTTGAATTTATTTGCATAAATTTGCTTATAATATTTCCGTATTATCCTAGTAATGTCTGTAAAACTGTAGTGATGGTCCCTCTTTCATTCTTGATATTGGAGATTTGGGTTTTTTTCTATTTTTCAAATCAGTCTTGCTGGATTTTTTCTTAAATTTTATTAATATTTTTAAAGAACGAACTTTGGGGTTTGTTAATTTTCTGTTTTGTTTGACCATATTCTATTTAGTTGACTGCCATGCTTATCTTTAGATTTCTTCATTTTATTTACTCTAGGCTTGATTTCTTCTACTTTTTCTAGCTTTGTAATATAAGATATATGGTCATTGATATAAATTTTTATTATTTTCTAGTGTAAATATTTAAAACTGTAATTTTCCCTAAAACTGATTTAGCCAAATTCTACACTTCTTTAAAAAACTTATTAATTTTAAGAATAGCTTTACATTTACAGAAAATTTACAAAGACAATACAGAGAGTTCTCATATACCCAATAGCCAGTTTCTTCTGCTATTAATATCTCTTATGTGTAAGTAAACATACATCTACATGTATGTCATAACTAATGAACCAACATTGGTATATTATTCATAACTAAGTCCATATTTTATGTGAATTTCCTTAGTTTTTACCTAATATCTTTTTATGTCCCAGGATCCTATCCAGGAGCACATTATGTCTAGTCATCAGGTCTTCTGAGGCTTCTCTAAATTGTGACAATTTTTTAAACTTTGCTTGTTTTTGATGATCTCAACAGTTTTGTAGACTACTGGTTAGGTATATTGTCAATGTCTGCACCCACCCATTTTGATATATTGTGTTTTCATTCTAATTGAGTTTGAGAGCTTTTCTAATTTCTAGTCATTTTTCTACTCATTGGTTATTTAGAAGTATGTTGCTAAATTTCCTCAAACTTGAGGATTTCTAGTTATCTTTTTGGTATTGATTTCCAGTTTAATTCCATTATAATCAAACAATGTACTCTTCTAGAATTTTTATAGTTTCAGGTCTTAGACTTCAGTCCTTCATCCATCCTGAGTTGATTTTTGTATAAGGTGAGAGATGAGGATCCAGTTTCATTCACCTACATGTGGCTTGCCAATTATCCCAACTTTCCCCACTCTATGTTTTCGTTTGCTTTGTCGAAGATCAGTACTGGTATTTGGTTTACAGCACAGCAGATTCTCTCTTCATGAAGTTCCGTGGGCACTGGAAAAGAATGTGCATTCTGCACTTTTTGGGTATAATCACCTGTAAATGCCAATTATAACAATATGGTTGATAGTGTTATTCAAATGTTCTATATCTTACAGATTTTTGATCTACTTGTTCCATTAGTTTCTTTTCTTTTTTTTTTTTTTTTTTTTTTTTTTGAGATGGAGTCTTGCTCTGCTGCCTAGGCTGGACTGCGGTGGCAGGATCTCGGCTCACTGCAAACTCCGCCTCCTGGGTTCAAGCAATTCTCCTGCCTCAGCCTCCTGAGTAGCTGGGATTACAGGTGTGCACCACCACAACTGGCTAATTTTTGTATTTTTAGTAGAGACAGGGTTTCATCATGTTGGTCAGGCTGGTCTCAAACTCCTGAACTCAGGTGATCCACCTACCTCGGTCTCCCACAGTGCTGGGATTACAGGCATGAGCCACTGCACCTCGTCTGTTCTATCAGTTTCTGAAAGAGGAATGTTACAGTCTCCAACTATGATTTTGTATGTATCTATTTCTCCTTTCGGTTTGCCGGTTTTTGCTTTATGTATTTTGAAGCTCTATTATAAGGTGCAAAGACACTTAGGGTTAGTATGTCTTCTCAATAAATTAATACTTCAAGTATAAAATGTCCCTTTTCATCTCTGTTAGAAACCATTTACATCTAACGTAACTACTAATATAGTTGGGTTTAAATAAATCATCATGCTATTTGTTTTCAATTTTCCCTTTTTGTTCTTTTTACTTTGTTCCTCCTTTCCTGCCAAATCAAGTCATCATTTTAGCAACTGATGAATCGCCTCTTTTGGATATTTAGGCATATCTCTTTGCATGATTCTTAATATTTTAATCATTATTCTTTTAGTGGTTACTTTAAGGATTACAACATGCATCAAGTTGTCACATTTACCTTGAATTAATATTATACCACTTGATATAGAAGAATCTTACGATAGTATATTTTAACTTAATGCTCTCCCATCCCCTTTGCAATTGTTGTATATATTTTATTTCTACATGTAATAAACTCCACATTACATTGTTATATAAACAACCACTTACTTTAAAGAAATTAAGGAAAAAATAGTCTATTTACTATATACTCACCATTTCAGTGCTCTTCATTTCCTCTTCTACAGGTGTGTTTCTTTCCTTTTCTTTCCTTTTCTTTCCTTTTCTTTTCTTTTCTTTTCTTAGAGACAGAATCTGGCTCTGTCGCACAGGCTGGAGTGCAATGGCACAATCTTGGCTCACTGCAACCTCTACCTCCCAGGTTCAAGCGATTCTCCAGCCTCAGCCTCCCAAGTAGCCAGGACTACAGGCACCCGCCACCACGCCTGGCTAATTTTTGTATTATCAGTAGAGATGGGGTTTCACCATGTTGGCCAGGCTGGTATTGAACTCCTGACCTCAAGTGATTCACCCGCCTCAGCCTCCCAAAGTGTTGGGATTTTAGTCATGAGCCACTGCGCCCAGCCTACAGGTGTGTTTCTATCAAGTCTTACACACCTTCATCCTAAAGAACTTTCTTTAGCATTCCTTATAATGCATATCTGCTGCCAGTTCTTTCACTTCAATTTAATGACAGTGTGTTATTTTATCTTCATCTTTAAAGGATATTCTATGTTGAATGTTTCTTTCTTTCCGTATTTTACAGATACTTTTTTGTTGCCTTCTGGCTTACCTTGTTTCTTATGAGGAGAACAGCATCATTGTAGCATTGTTTCCCTATATTTCACGTGTCTTTGTTTTTTCCTTTTTATCTTTAAGCTTCAGCAGCTGAAAGTCAAAGAGTAAACTTGTGCCACACTCCAATATGCTTACTTGTGGTTTTCTTTGTGTTTATCCTGCTTGAGTTTCTCAGAGGATTTTAGATCAGTGGCTGGATGTTTTTAATAAAATTTGGGAAAGTTTTGGCAACTATTTCTTCAATTTTTTTTCTTGCTTCTTCTCTCTTACGTACTTCTGAGCTTCTGATTCCACATATAATAGACTGTTTAATAGTGTTCCATTGGTCACTGAGGCTCTCTCTATTCCTTGTTTTTGCCTTTTAAAATTCTCTCTGTGCTTTGGTTTAGGAAATTCTTTTGACATTTCTTCATTTTTGCTGATCATTTTCTCTCCACAATATATCCAATATCAAGTTAATCCTATCCAATAAATACTTGACTTCAGATAGTGATGTACATTAATTCTTTATTTATGATTTCTATATCTCTCTTAAAATTCCTCATCTCTTCACCTATTACAGACAGTCCCCAACTTACAATGATTCAACTTATGGGTTTGTTTTTGTTTTTGTTTTACTTTATGATGGGTTTGGTTTATAAGAGTATTAAGTGCATTTTTGACTTATAGTATTTTTAACTCACTGAGTTTGTGACATAACCTCACTATAAGTTTAATAAAGCATTTGTATATTCATCTTTACCTGTGAATTACTTACATGTTATAATAGGTATTTTAAGGTGATCGCTCTCTAATTCTAAGATCTGGATTGTTAATGCAGCCTACTTTTATTAAGAACAAACTATTTTTTTCTCTTGATAGGTCAAACGTTTCTACTTTTTGCATGCCTACTAATTTTTTATTGTATGCTGAACATCATGAATGATACATTTCAGACCTTTTGATTCTGTGTCTTCCTGTGAAGAATGTTGATATAAGTAACTTGTGGATCACCTGACTCCTGCAGAGACGTGGTTTTAAGCTTTGTCAGGGCAGGTCCATTTATATTCATGCCTTAGTCCTGGAATGTAGCCATTGATTCTGGGATGTGGCCCTTGTGGGTTTCTCATGGAATTCCAAAATGCTTATAAAGAAACAAAGATAAACTCTGAAAAGCAGAAAATAAAGAACAACTGATCATGTACAGGGAGAAGTGATTAATGGCTGACTTCTTATCAGAATTAATGATAACAAGAAGACAGTCAAATGCCATTCAATGTGCAAAAGAAAAAAACTCAACCAAAAATTCTATAGCTAGTAAATCCTTCAAAATTGAATGAGCAATAAAAACATTCTCAGACAAACAAAAAGAATGAGTTTCTAGAAGGTCTGCTCTATAAGAATGAGTAAAGGAAGTGCCTCAGGCTAACAGGAAATGTATCTACAGGAAGAAAGGAAGAACGCTGGAAATGGTAAATATGTGGATACTATGAAAGACTGAGTACACACATACACAAAAGTAAACACATGCTTAATGTTTTTTAAACACCAGCAAGACTGTCTAAGGCAAAAATTATAACACTGTATCATTTGATTTATTAAATACAGTAGACGGCTTCTACTTCTGGAAGATGGAGTAGATACTTTTTCTATTCACGCTTGCTAAGTACAGCTAAATGCCTTGGACGTTATATATAAAACAAACATAAGAAATACAAAAAAGTGAAAAGAAGAAAGAAAGCTGGCTAGGGACCTCAGGATCTCAAGAACACCATGGAATTGGCGTGTACAGCTAAATGCCTTGGACGTTATATATAAAACAAACATAAGAAATACAAAAAAGTGAAAAGAAGAAAGAAAGCTGGCTAGGGACCTCAGGATCTCAAGAACATCATGGAATTGAGTTCCCTGGGTTTTCTTTTTGCCTTAAATATCCCAGACTTGGTGTTAAATAATCTGGGAACATGGAAATGCCAATGTGTGCAGACCAAAACAGCCCCAACAAAAGCCTGTTCTCTCTTGGTAAAGGATGAGTAAATGGGCAAGCTAGTAATATAGAAAATTTTTAGACAAGAACCTCTCCACACCTGTCAAATACCACACAAACAGCTGCAGCCCTAACTCCACCCTTGCCCTTTAAAACTGCAGGGGGAGCGTAGCTCTCTAGCCCTGTGGGGTTGTAAGAAGGCACATCAGCCCCTCCACTGGGGTAGCGTCAAAGAAGGCTGAATGAGGAGTAAGGACTTTCATCCATGCCAGGGGACACTACACCCCACAGAGTCAGGGGAGACCACGTGGAGAGCCTGGATTTCCATTATCACTCATCGCTAATGAGTGACCCCTCCCCATCCCTACTGAAGTGGAATCAAGACATAAAGGTCAGCAGTCGCAAGGTCACCCCAGGGTCAATGGAAGCAATGTGGGGATGAGTGATGAGGCATCCCTGGGCCTTTCAGCCAAGGTTTAATCAGTGCAGCCCTAGCAGAGGATTTTAACTCCTACCCCTGCCCAACAGTAAGGAGGAGTCTCTCCTTTCCTTGCGTCTCAGTGGAGGCTGAGAGGAAACTTTGATTTCCACCTCCACCTGGCAGCAACAAAACAGCATTCCTCTTTCTCCAGTGGGGCAGTGTCAGTGGAGGCCTGATGCAATAGGTTTAAATATATTCTAGGATCCAAAAATATAACACCCAAAATGTCAGGTTTTCAATTTAAAAATTACTAATTATACCAAGAAACAAAAAAATAACAGCTTGAATGAAGAAAGACAATCAACAGATGCTTAAACCAAGACTCCATAGATGTTGAAATTCTCAGATGAAGGCTTTAAAACAGCTATACTAAAAATGCCTCGAAAAACACGTTCAACCCAAATAAAAAATAGAAAGATTCAGCAAAGAAATAGAAAATATAAAGACAATGCAAATGAAAATTACAGAACAGAAAAAAAAATAACAAAAATGTAAAACTCAATAAATGTGCTCAATAGCAGAATATGAAGGACAGAGAAAAGAATCACTGTAGTTAAAAATAAAACAACAGGGAAAAATGGACTGAAAAAATGAAGAGAGCTTCAGGAAACTGTGGGACTATAACATGATATTTAGCATTCATGCCATTGAAGTCCAGAATGAGAGGAGAAAGAAGGTGGGGCTGGAAAAGTAATTGAAGAAGGAATGGCCGAAAATTTCCCAAATTGGCAAAAGACATAAACCCACTGTATTAGTCTGTTCTCACACTGCTAATAAAGACATACCCAAGACTGGGTAATTATAAAGGAAAGAGGGCCAGGCGCAGTGGCTCATGCCTGTAATCCCAGAACTCTGGGAGGCCGAAGTGGATGGATCACGAGGTCAGGAGTTCAAGACCAGCCTGGCCAAGATGATGAAACCCCGTCTCTACTAAAAATACAAAAATTAGCCGAGTGTGGTGGTGGGCACCTGTAATCCCAGCTACTCAGGAGGCTGAGGCAGAATTGCTTGAACCCAGGAGGCGGAAGTTGCAGTGAGCCAAGATTTTACCACTGCACTCCAGTCTGGGTGACAGAGTGAGACTCCAACTCAAAAAAAAAAAAAAAAAAAAAAAAAAAAGGTTTAATTGACTCACAGTTCCACATGGCTGGGGAGGCCTCACAATCATGGTGGAAGGCAAATGGAGAGCAAAGTCACATCTTACATGGCAGCAAGCAAGAGAGCTTGTGCAGGGGAACTCCCATTTATAAAACCATCAGATCTCGTGAGATGTGTTCACTACCACAAGGACAGTATGGGGGAAAGTGGCCCCATGATTCAGTTATCTCCACCTGGCCCTGCCCTTGACACCTGGTGATTATTACAATGCAAGGTGAGATGTGGGTGGGGAAACAGCCAAATCATACCACCTACATATTTAAAAAGCTGAGTGTATCTCAAACATGGATAAACCCAAATAAGTTCATACTAAGACACATTAAACTCCTCAATACTAAAGACAATTCAAAAAATAAATAAAATCTTTAAAGCTGGGAGAGAGAAACAGCACTTAACTTACAGAGGAAAACAATTAAAATGACAATGAATTTTATGTTCGAAACCATGGAGGCCAGAATGAGGTGACAAAGCATTTTTTCAAGTCCTGAAAGAAAAGAATTGCCAACCCAGAATTCTGTATCAAGAGAAAATATTCTTCAGTAATTAAGAAATCAGAGAATTCTGAGATGAAGAAAAACTAAGAATTTGCCACCAGCCGCCCTACCCTAAAGAATGGTTAAAGGAAGTTTTCTAAGCATAAAGGAAATGATTAAAATAAAGGAATCCTGGAACACCAGGAAAGAAGGATTCACAACAAAGAGAGAAACAATATAATTAAATACAGTATACTTTCCTCCTCCCCTTGAGTTTTTAAAGTCATGTTTGACAGTTGAAGCAAAAATTATAATGCTGTCTGATCTCAATGTATGTAGAAGAGATATTTAAGACAACTATATTATAAACTAGAAAGAGTAGAGATGTAGAGAGGGGTGATTTTTTAAAACTTCACTTGAACTAGTAAAATGGCACCAGTAGACTGTGATCAGTTATAGATGCACAGCCGGGTGCTGCTAATGATGGAAATGCATTCTGAGAAATGTGTCATTAGGTGACTTTGTCATTGTGAGAACATCCTGGAGTGCACTTACACAAACCTAGACGGTGGAGCCTGCTACAAGAAGTGATACTGTGCTGAATACTGTAGGCAACTGTAATACAATGGGATCTGTGTATCTAAACAGAGAAAAGGAACAGTAGAAATACAGTGTAAAAGATAAAAAAGAGGACACCTGTAAAGGGCGCTTGCCATAAATGGAGCTTGCAGGACTGGAAGTTCCTCTAGGTGAGCCAGTGAGAGAGTGGGGAGTGAACATGAAGGCCTAAGACATCCCTGTATGCTGCTGTGGACTTCACAAATACTGCACACTCAGGCTATGCTAATTTTACTACAATGATTTTTCTTTCTTGAATAATAAATTAACCTTAGCTTACTGTAACATTTTTCTTTATAAACGTTCCAATATTCTTGACTTTTTGACTCTTTTGTAATAACATTCGGCTTAAAACACAAGCACATCGTATAGTTGTACGAAAATATATTCTTCCTTTATATCCTTATTCTGTAAGCGTTTTGTTCTATTATTATGATTATTTGCTTTTTAAACTTTTTTCTTAAAAACTAAGACAGAAACACACACATTAGCCTAACCCTACACAGGGTCAGGATCATCAGTATTGCTATCTTCCACCTCCCATCTTACCTCACTGGAAGGTCTTCAGGGACAGTGAAACAAATGGAGGCTGGGTGCAGTGGCTCAGGCTTGTAATCCAGCACTTTGGGAGGCCGAGGTTAGCAGATCACTTGAGGTCAGGAGTTCGAGACCAGCCTAGCCAACATGGTGAAACCCTGTCTCTACTAAGAAAACAAAAATTAGCCAGGCATGGTGGTGCACACCTATAGTCCCAGCTGCTTGGGAAACTGAGGCACGAGACTCGCTTGAACCCTGGAGGCAGAGGTTGCAGTGAGCCAAAATCATGTTACTACACTCCAGCCTGGCCACAGAGCAAGACTCCATCTCAAAACAAAAAACAAATGGAGCTGTCATCTCCCATGATAACAATGCCTTCTTCTGGGTACCTCCTGAAACACCTGCCTGAGGCTATAGTTAACTGATTTTTTAATAAGTAGAAGGAGTACACTCTCAAATAACAGTAGAAGTGTAGTATATTGAATCCATAAACCAGCAACAGAGTTGTTTATTATCATGATCAGGTATTAGGAACTGTTCATAATTGTATGTACTAGACTTTTCTATGACTGGCAGCACAGTAGGTTTGTTTACATCAGCATCACCACGAATGGGTGAGTTGTGCCTTGCGCTATGACAGCTATGATGTCGCTAGGTGATAGACATTTCTCAGCTTCATTATGGGACCACCATGGTCAATGCAGTCCACTGACGGCTGAAATGTCATTTTGCAGTGCATGACTGTATATATAACACAGAAAATCTGTAAGATACGTAAGACTTGGAAAGCATTACCAAATAACCACACTTAACACATAGAGAACAATCTACCCAGTGACAGTAAAATGTGCTTTTCTTTCCAAGCACAACTGCAACATTCTCCAAGATAGGTCATGTTGTCAGGCATTAGAAAAATTCTGAATAAACTTAAAATAATTGAAATAATCTGAAGTATCTTCTCTGACCACAACAGAGTTAATTAGAAGTCGACTACTGAAGGAAATCAGAGAAGTGTTCATATATTTGGGAATTAAACATCACTTTTAAATAATGCATGGGTCAAGAAAGAAATTAATTGAAAAGTATATTGAACAAAATGAAAATGAAAACATGACATTAAATTGATGTGATAAAGCAAAGGCAATATTTACAGTGAAATTTTAGCTATGCCACTTGACTTCAATACTTATTATGAAGGTGCATAAAACAGACAATTTGGTATTGGGATAAAGGTAGGCAAATAAAGCAATGCAATGGAAGGGGAAAAATTCTTAAACAGACCCATACATATGTGTGGATTGTCTTTTAATGAAGGTCCCAAGGCAATTTAATGAAGGAATAGATAATGTCTTTAACAAATGCTGAAACAATGAGATGTTCATATGCAAAAAAAGAGAATAATGTAGCTCAAGCTTTGCCTCATACCTTATTACTTCAAATGAACCACAGACTTAAATAAAAGAGCTAAATGATAAAAATTCTAGGAGAAAATATAGAAGAAAAACTCTGTGACCTTGGATTAAGAAGAGACTTCTTACATAGGATGGAAAAAGTACAACCTATTTAGAAAAAGATAAACTGGATTTCATTAAAATTAAAACTTTTGCTTCTCAAAAGTCATTGTTAGGGAAATGAAAAGGAAAGCCACAGACTGAGAGAAAATATTTGCCAAACACATATTTGAAAACAGACTTGTAGCCAGACTAAACAATCTTTACACTGCAACTATAAGACAAACAACCTCATTAAAAATGGGCAGAACATTTAAATGAATACTTCACAAAGTAAGATATACAGATGGCCAGTGAGCACTTGAAAAGATGCTAATGCCATTTTTAATTAGGACAGGCAAATTAAAACCACAGTGAAGTTACCCCACTACACACCCACTAAAATGGCTGAAATGAAGTTTGACAACATTAAGTGTTGACAAGGATGGGGGAACAACTAGAACTTTCACATATTCCTGGTAGCAGTGCAAAATTACACAGGCACTTTGGACAACAGTCTCGTCCTTTTTTTTAAAGTTACACACTTACCATATGATCCATAAATTCTGTTCTGAGGTATTTGTCCAAGAGAACTGAAAACGTGTTTGCAAAAAGACTTATACGTGAATGTTCACAGTAGTCTTATTCATAATCAACAAAAACTGGAAACAACTCAAATGTTTGTTGAAGTGAATTAAAAAATTGAAGTGTAACCATACAATAGCTATCACTCTGCAATGAAAATGAATATATTTCTAATACATGCAACAAAATGGATGAAGCTGAAAACCAGTACACTAAATGAAAGAGGTCAGACAGAAAACACTAAAACCTATGCACTTCATGATTCCAATTATATGAAGTTCTCAAAAAAGTCAAAACTGTAGTGACTAAATTCAAATCAGCCATTGCTGGGGTTCAGGGGTTGAGAAGGGACTGATTTCCAAAGGACAAGAGACAAATTTGGGGGCCAACAGAAAGGTTCTATATCACAATCGCGATGGTGTTTACATGAATACATATTTTTCAAAATGTATATTATTGAATTAGACCCTTAAATAGGGAATTTTACTGTGTGTGAACTATATTAGGTCGGTGCACAAGTAACTGCAGTTCTTGGCGTTACTTTTAATGGCAAAACCTTCAATTACTTTTGCACCAATCTGATATTTTAAGAAAGGCAACAAAAACAGTTCCTAGCTGCTTTCAGTCTTGGTTTCTCACTCAAACCTTTCAGCCCGATAGGACTTCACTTTTTAGGTGAGCTCAATTCCTCCTGTGCCCCAAGGACTGGGAGCGCCCTCCCCAGAAAATCTGGTTGAATTGAAAAAATACAGGACTCAGACAGTAGGTTTTTTTTCCATCCCTCCGGGGTCACATGCCTTCTGATTTCTTCTTGCCTTTGGTTGCACAGCAGTGCCATAAAGCAGTTGCTTTTTCAGTTGGTCCAGAGTTTGTAATTGTTATTGGCAGAAGGCTGGTCTGATACAATCTACTCTGCCATTCCTAGAACCCAAAAGTTTGTTCTCTTATTTTTTTATTTTTATCTTTTTTATTTTTTTGAGATTTGTTGCCCAGGTTGTAGTGCAATGGTGCGATCTTGGCTCACTGCAACTTTCGCCTCCCAGGTTCAAGTGATTCTCCTGCCTCAGCCTTCCGGGTAACTCAGACTACAGGCACGCGCCACCACATCCAGCTAATTTTTGTATTTTTAGTAGAGACGGGGTTTCACCATGTCAGCCAGGCTGGTCTCAAACTCCTAACCTCGTGATCCACCCACCTTGGCTTCCCACAGTGCTGGGATTACAGGCGTGAGCCAGGGCACCTGGCCCTCTAATGTCTTTTTATATTTACTGTTCTCTTCTACTACTCTATAGTATCTCTTTTTTGACCAACATTATATTTTCCAACTTTAAATTCTATTTTGGGAGATGTTTAACAAATTGTTACCTTAGATTTATTTTGATTCCTGTATGCCTGCAATATATATTTTTGTGTCTTTATTTTCAACCTTTAGACATTCTTTTATTTTAAGCACATCTCTTGGAAACAATTTATTGTTGAAACTCTTTTTTAAAAATCCACTGCAAAAGTCTCTTTCTTTTAATTGATTCAACCAATTTACACTCACTGTAATTACTGTCATAATTAGTTTTATTTCAGCGGTTTTATTCCATTTTTTTTCTATTTAACTTTCATTTTGTATTCTCTTTTCTTTTCCCACCTTGCATTAGAAAGACGGAAAGGTTTTTCGCTGATAGAAATGTATACATTCTATTTTTGTTTCAATGCAGTTGTAGTTACATTATTATGACCTCAAATTAAGCTTAGCTCACTATCCACAGTTTCACTCCATAGCCCCTCCTGAAATCACATGGGTATCATTTAGAGTTTTAGTTTGAGAGTCTTACAGGTTTGTGTTTTGGCTTTGTTTTGGTTCGGTTCTTGCCTCGAAATGTTAATACTGAGTATCAACTTGATTGGATTGAAGGATGCAAAGTATTGTTCCTGGGTGTGTATATGAGGGTGTTGCCAAAGGAGTTAACATTTGAGTCAGTGGACTGGGGAGGTAGACCACCCTCAGTCTGGGTGGGCCCATCTAATCAGCTGCTAATGGAATGTGGAAAGGCTAGACTGGCTGAGTCTTCCAGCTTCCTCTTACTCCCATCCTGCCCTCAAACATCGGGCTCCCAAGCTCTTCGGCTTTTGGACTCTTGGACTCACCAGGGGCTCTTGGACTTTCAGCCACAGACCAAAGGCTGCACTGTTGGATTCCCTACTTTTGAGGTTTGGGGACTTGGACTGGCTTCCTTGCTCCCTACCTTGCAGACAGCCTACGGTGGGACTTCACCTTGTGATCATGTGAGTCAATTCTCCTAATAAACCCCCCTTCATATATTCATCTATCCTATGAGTCCTATCCTTCTAGAGAACCCTGACTAATCCATGCCTGTTTAGGTAACTGTACATTTTACTGAATTAAATTCCTCTCCTTTACCTCTGTGTTCTAGCATCCTACTGGCTTTAAGTCTCTTCTGCTCTGAGTGACATTTTCCCACGTAGCAGGACCCAACCACCTTCAGTTGCCTCAGAGACTTCACAAGGCTGGCCAGGCCTGTCCCCCTCCCTCCCTCCCTCTTCCTCGGCATCACCAGGTGTGGTTCAGGGCAGGGGGCCAGCAGCCGCCAATTGTTCACCATCTTGTCAGGAAGCAGAAGTCGTGCAGCCCCTTCCTGTTGGTGACGGGCAAGCGCTCCATCACCCCAATCAATGTGCATTCACTGATGCCCAGTCTATGCCAAGCTCTGAGCTGGGCTGCAGGCACATGGTCGAGAGTGACACAACTCCATTACCTTCTAGTGGGGCAGATGGGCACACAGTAATGCACGATAATAACTAAATATGACAATCGTGAGTCACGGAGGCAAGAACACAGCAGAAAAGTGCAGCTGACCTGCGGGGGAGGACACCAAGAGAGAGTGGGGTGAGGCAGTAGTTCAGCTGCACCTTCCAGGATGAGGAGCGAGTCCAGGAGAGAAGGGCGGCATCGGGAAGGTGGGAGGGCAGTGCGTCCGTGAGGATGGCCACTGGAGGATGGAGAGAAAGGGGAAGAGCAGAGGGAGGGGAGCCTGGGCAGACCGCAAAGGGCTTTCAGCAGGGGCGGCAGGAACCCTGGTGCAGTTCTCTGGAGAGCTGATCTGATGGGGGTCTATTTCTGGAAACTGGCTCTTGCTTCTGGGTGGCTGGGGAGGCCCCTGGAGGCCATGGTTTTGAGCTCTGCCACTTTGGTTTAGAACGAACATCCATGAACGTGTACTAAATGGAAGCACCGAGCGTCTCCCCATTGCCAACATAAGGGGGCTGGACAACTTCTGGTTCCTGACAAGATGGTGAACAATTGTGGGCTGCTGGCTCCCTGCCCTGAACCAAACCTAGAGATGCCACGGAAGAGAGACGGAGGTGGACGGGCCTGGCCAGCTTTGAGGGGAGCAGTGGTGAGCCCTGACGTGGGACCCTGTGATCCTGAAGTCCAGGAGGAGCCCGGCTGGTCCTGGAACCCACCCGCCCACCTCTGGGTCCTCCACACACCTCACTGCCTCCTGTGTGGGCATCCCTGGGCCCTGGTCACTCAGCTACTGGAGGCCGAGGGCAGGGGAGTGGCGGGGTGTGGGCCGGGTTAGAGCAGACAGGTCCATGTTCCTGCACGGAATTTGTTCTGGTGTGAAAGTCAGAGGGAAGCATGCTGTTGTGGCAGGGGTTCAGATCAACAAGGGGAGTGAAAACGGAGAAGGCGGCCAGGCCACGCAAAGCACAGGCTGTAAAAAGACGAGCTCCCTGCCCAGCCGACTAAACAGGGCTATGGGGAGGAGACGCCTCCAGGAGTAAACAATACAAGGTCTCCTACCTGTGCGACAGGACGAGATGGAAAACACATTCGATGATGAAAGCCTGTTTAAAAGGCACAAGGCAAAACAAATAAATTAACTTAGTATGTTCTGAAACAATTACAACAATACCCACTGCCCTCACCCCACCCCCACCCCCAGCTCTGACTAGAGGTCCTCCTTCTGGCTTGAACCCAGGGGTCTTGGCAACATTTGAAATGGCCTCAGAGTACAGTGCATGCCTTTGGACTGAACCGGACTAAGCCCGACTGGACATGGTCTCCATCAGCTCGCACATCTGGCTGCCTTCCCCGAATCCTCTCTTGTGCCTAAATACAGAATAGGGACAAGCTCTCTCTGCCCAGCAGGCTGCTGCCCCGAGGTCTGTGTGGGGTTGCGCCTGCTGGAAATGGTGCCAATGTCATGGGCATGGTAGGGACTGGGTGTTCGCTGTAACACCCCCGACTCATGCTGATCTCTACCGGGTCTTGTCTCCTTTTTCAAAAAACCAGCCCATTTCTAATGTCTCCCCGCCCCACCGCACCAGTCTTTCCAAATGTCCAAGAGGACACATAAGAGATCTGCTCTGTTAGTGGTGAGAGTCCTCTTGCTGCCTCAGCAGAACCCAGCAAGCTCATGTGCGCTCTTCCAGGATCAGTTTAGATGCCAGCCCCTCTGGGAAGCTATGGTGGGCAAAATCATGTCCCCCCAAAGATGTCTGCATCCTGATCCCTGGAACCTGTGGCTATGTTGCTTGTAGGTCAAGGGGTGGAGTTAAGGTTGCTGATGGAATTAAGGTCACTAATCAGCTGACCTTAAAATAGGGGGATTATCCTGGATTACCCTAGTGGGTCCCAGTGTCATCAGAGGGCCCCTAAATGTAAAAGAAGGAGGCAGGAGGGGATGTGAGAAGGACTCAAACCCTCAGACTCAGCAGCCACCCTGAAGATGAAGGAAGAGGCCACGAGCCAAGGGACGCAGCCCTGACTGGCTGTGTGCTCCTTGCTCAGGGCAGGGCTGGTGGCTAGTCACTGTGTCCCCAGCTCTGCGGCAGACACATACAGAATCTCCCTGCTTAATGATGAGTGAAGAAATGATAAAAAATTAGCAAAAACCAAAATGATGGTACCTGCAGACATTCTTCTGGTCCAGAGCATCCCATTTTCTTTGTGGAGGATAGCCCCAGCCTCCCAGTTTCTCTCCTAAAGGCATTGCTACCTCATAGTTCACTTCAACCCTCCCGAGCTGGCTTCTGGACTCAGCCTTCCCCCAGCCTGGACTAGGCGCCCCCTCACCAGCTCCAGGAACATCCCCGGCATGCCTGAAGCACATCTGCTCCCAGCAATGTCCACTCCGAATCCCAGCCTCCATGTCCCTGGCATCCCACATTGATGAATGGAGGCCTGTGAAGCTTTGCTGAGCAGAGTTACCTGAGGCAAGGAGATGGCCAGGAACAGTCAAGCACTCTGCTGGTGTGCGCGGGAAGTAGGGCAGGTTTGATGCTATTACATTTGCATGCTCTGTCCTTATTTTCTCTTCACTTTCCCTGCGTGTGCCTGTTTTTGCTGAATTAATGAAAAGAGTATGTTCCTGTTTCTGCTGAATTAATGAAAAGGGCGTGTGCCTGAGCTTGCCTCTCATGCAGGACACCCTACAGTGTACTGAGACTCTATTCACGTGGCTCCCTCCTTGGAGCCAGGCTGGAGCTTGGAGTGGACACGGGGTCCCCAGGAGTCAGTGGTGGGGACAAGAAGCATAATTCAGGGGCCCAGGGTGCTCCCCTGGGAAGGGCGCTGACTGGTGTGGCCCCCACTGCTGGAGGGATGCCCCACCCTGAAGCCCTCTTCTGCTCCCCTGGAGAGGAGGTGGAAGCCTCACGTATGACAGGAACAACCATTCCTGTTACTGTATCCTAGAAGAGTCAGCACCACTCTTTCACACTGCAGGAGGAGCCGCTGTGAGTCTGCGGTGGGAGACGGCAGAACAGACTCCTAAATCAAGTGCAGCAAGCTCCCCGAGGACCCTGTCGCTTGAGATCAAAGTCTGGACAATAATTACACAACATGGAGCGTCGCTTGCTTCCGGCCCCTTTCTGAGCCTCTCCTCTGTCCACAGCCACCCACAGCAGCTCTCCAGCTATGGCCACCCCCAGTAGCAGGAAGGAATGTCGGTGATTACCCAATTCTGATTTCAAGGCCAGCTCCCAATTCATTCATGCTGAAGATGGGCCTTGGCCTCTCTGCCTCTTCCCTCCCCCTGGTGGACTCGGCCTTGACTCTTCAATGATTTACTGCCAGACCCAAACAGCAGCGCAAAAATTGGACAGTGGCATTCCCCACTTTCCCTTGCTCAGACCCCAGACCCTGAAATTGACAGACCCTCCAAGGAATGGCAGGGAGGTCTCGGGACCCACAGAGTAGGTGTGGGGCAGGTGCAAGATCCTCCCAACAGCAAGTGGAGGTTCTGGCTGACACAGCAAACCCAGGCCCCCAGAGTGGCGTCAGCAGGGAGGCAGGACACATCTCTGAGCAGAGCAGTGAACTGTCCGTGAGGAACAGCCATGAAAGGACCACCTGCCCAGGATATCTTCTTCAGCAGGGCGAGAGGCAAACGTATCCTGGGAAACGCTGCAAGAACGGCCAGCGCCTTCACCAGAATTTTCTACTGGAAACTGCCGGAGGGATGGTGAAGATGAGGAGAAGGCCACAGCCAACTGCGGGCAAAAGAACAGCCAAACTCACACCGCGTCTTGTTTTTTATTTACCTATGCAGTTCCCAGGCCGAAAATTGCACAACCGCATCGCATCCCTTTACAGTTGAAACAGATTCCCTGACAGAGCGACGGTGGTAAACACACCTGCACTTTGCTCTTCGAATCACACCTAAGTTCATCAGCTGTGTCACAAAGAGGAAAGACAGCCTTGAACACTGCAGTTAATTTTTACGGAGTCACCTTGGGCAAACAGGGGACTTAGCGTAGTTTTCTTTTTTCTTTTTTTTTTTCCGGCACAGCAGCCTCAATGTGTTTGTAGTATAACAAATAAAAGTGTGTTCTTGGAACCTCCAGGAAATTAATGGCTCATTTTTCCTGGCAGGCTGATGTGAGGGGTACTAAATTGCCTTATGCTGATTAAAGACAAGCGTTGTTGCCTTTAGGCAAAGAGAATAAGAAAAGGAAAAACCGAAGCCCATTAGCAAAAGGAGGTGGTGGTATCAGAGATGTAAACAAGTGGGATGTGCTGTTCTGCTTAAGTGTTGGTTCCAGACGCCACGAAATGGAACACGATGGCGCTGAGACCACCTTGTCATCAGGCTGCCCTTGGAGAGTTCTTATGTGAGATGAAAAGGGATATTTACCAAGACCTACTATGTGTGTGACCTATTCATGTAATTATCCATTTTCAAAAAATGCCCTGCAAGGTAGGCACTATTGAGCTCATTCTGCAGCTGCAGAAACAGACTTGGAGTGCTGTGGCCACTCTCCTCCCAGGGCGCAGAGATGGAACGAGAACATGAGCTCAGGCCTGCAGCAACGTGACTGTGTTAGCGGCTCTCAGACCACCACCAGGCACAGACTGACTCTTTAGGTCACCGAAGGCTGCGGAGTTAGGTGTAGGTGTCCAAGGAGGTCACTAGCCACTTATTTTCTGTCCTTACCACTGGCAAACACATGCATGCACACACACACGCATACATAAACACACACACACACACATACACACACACACACACAGGCACAACTGTGCACAAACTGGAAATATCACGGGTCACTGCCCCCCACTCCTAGGGAAGAGAAGGGAAGCCAGGGGTATTAATGGAAAGAAGACGGGGTTTGGGAGCCCAGAGGCTGACTTCTAAGTCCTGGAGCTGCCTCTCAGCAGGTTGACCCCGTAGGCTCCATCACTCCATGCCCCCCTGTACAAAGGAAGCTGCGGGGATAATTTCCAAGGTCTTTTCTAGTTTTATGCTCTATGATTCTATGAGTGCTGAGAATGGATTTTAAATGCTAAATGGAATCTATGAAGGCTGAATATTTCTCGAGATTTAAAATGTCTCTCTGCTAATTGAAACTAATTCTCCAAACTGTGCATTAAAAGCCCCAGGCTGATTTTTCTATGTGATGGGCCCTGACAAAGTGGAGCACGGTGACAGAAGGGCCCGGAGCTGCTCTCTCTCCAGGCCCCTCAGTTGTGCCCTCCCCGGCAAGGCTTCCCATTTACATCAATCTATTTTTGCTTTCCTGGCCATCACCACTTCCCATGCTGCTTAAATGGCACAATGCATTGCCTCCCCTCTCTCTCTCTCTTCTCTTTTGCTACTTAGAGCTTGGCAGACTAATGGCCATCATCATTATGGTGAGCGTTTAACGCTGATGGGGCTGCTTGGAACACAATGCAGTTCCACCTCAAGAGAAAAGAAATTGAAATCCTATTGCCTGGATAAGTGGGGTAGAGAATGTCATTGGCCCCAATCCTGGATGTCTGGTGGAGAGGCTGGAACCAGCAGCAGGAGTGTGAAAGTAAAATTGAAGTAATAAAAAGACCGAGAGGTGGAAGAAAAGGCATGAGGGTCTGTCTTCTGTCTTCCTGAGCCCTTGCTGCCATGGAGCCTTCTAAAAATGGCTTCTTCTATCCCAGAGGGTTTTGAGTTTCCAGTTGTTTAAATCCGTGAAAAGGAAAGGTTCACGAAACAATAGTTACCCTTGCTCCACACCATGCACTCTTTTTTCATTGTGCAAAAATATCCATCACATAAATGTACTATTTTGACCTTTTTTAAGCACGCAGTTGAATGGCAGTCAGTGCACTCACATTGTTGACTATCAGCACTAGCACCCATTTCCAGAACCTGTTCGTCATCCCAAACAGAAGCTCTGTACCCATTAAACACTAACTCCCCCTTCCCCTATCTCCAGCCCACGTAGCTGATGCACTCATGTTTTCTAATGTATTCTAGTCTATTCCATTAAACAAACACTGGTGAGGACTCAGTAGCAAGATCCACTTTGAAGTACACTCCTCATGCCACAGCTGGGGACACTGATGGGCAGAGAGGGCCAGGGGTCACACAGAGAGCCAGGGACCAGCCAGGCAGCCAGGCAAATTGCCTGACACCCATCACTACCGTCCTTGGCCTCACACTGCACTTGTATGGATGGCCCAAACTGATTTCTGTCTTTCTCTCTTTCACAGGAAATTAAGAAGACAGAGAGCAAAGAGAACAGCATAGCAAACAGTTGTGTGGCCACCATCTCAAACCGACAAGTTTTCATGTTTCATCACAGTTGCTTGACATTTTTATAAAAGGAACGCAATATTACAGATAAGGCTGCCTCCCTGTTCTCGTTCTCAGGGCACTCTCCCCGCAGGTACCATGAATTTCACCCCCCTGAATCTGGCGTGGGTTTCTCCAGTCCACTGTTTTCATGTTTACACCTACAGAAAGAGATATCTATGAATAATTCATAGTGTTGTTTGCAGTATGTTTTTAAACATTTCATAAATGATATTACACAGTGAGCTTGTTTTGCACTCAACATAATGTTTTTGAGATGTAACCATGTTGATATATGTGTGTGTGTGTGTGTGTACTTAAGTTGTTTCCAATTTATTTTCCTATTATAATGCCACAATTATGTATGAGTCTCTTTAGATAATAGATCTAGAAGTGGAATAGCCGAGTCTTTGTGAATATGCATTTTCAATTCCAATTTTGCTTTGGATATTGACAAATTGCTTCCCAAAGTGGCTGAATTAATTTACACTCCTACCAGCAGTGTGTGAGAATGGCTGTTTCTCTTTATCTCCACTAACTCTTGATACTGTCAGTCTTTTAACATTTTACCAACTTGATTAGTGTGAAATGTTCTCTTGTTTACTTTAAATCATATTTTCCTGATGATTATGGAAGCTAAGTCTCTTTTCATACATGCATTAGTAATTTTCTTTTTCTTCTTCTGTGAATGGCTTATGCTATTATTCCATCGTAAGGGTTAGCAACCTATAGCCAATTGGCCAAATTCAGCCTGTGGACTGTTTTTCTATTGCCCGCGAGCTAAGAATAGTTTTTACAAAGGGTCATAAAAGAAGATGTGACAGAGATTATATGTGTCCTGCCAAGCCTAAAACATTTACTACTGGGTGTTTACAGAAATAAAGTTTAGTGATTCCGGTTCTATTGGGTATTTTCTTTTTATTGATCCATATTCTGGATAACAGTAATTTGCCTAAACTAGACCCCCTCCTCGTCTCCAATCATTCTGCTGGTGGAGTGTGGTGAGCCTCTGCTGTCCCAGGGCCATGTTCTAACACATGTTTCATTAGAAAAAAAAACGATTTTCCCACATTCTGTTAAGTTTCGATTATATCCAGAAGGTGTCATCTAACTTTGACTCACTCTGAGATTCTCTGAATAGAATCCATTGAGTTCTCTGCCCCGTGGAACGCAGGCTGCAGAGTTCTGCCTCTGGCCCTGATGGAGGCACTGGTACTGAACTTGCTCTTCTGGAATAAACAACCAGAAAACTGGACAATGACTGTGAAACAACTTCTTCCAGACATGGGAAAACAAGCAGCAAAGATTGTAATCTCCAAGAGAAGAGGGGACAGGGAGGGGGACCCAAGTGCAGGATGGGGTGTCACCGAGGTGAGGATACAGTGTGGAGTCTGGGGAGGCAAAGGCAGCCGGTACTTGAGGTTCAGAGTACCCGAGATGAGGGGGCTACCCAGAGAGGGAGGGTCCCGGAGTCTGCATGGTGATTCCCTTTAGACATTGTCTGAAGACTAGGCTGGGCAAGGTGGCTCATGCCTGTAATCCCAGCACTTTGGGAGGCTGAGGCAGGCAGATCACTTGAGGTCAGAAATTCAAGACCAGACTGGTCAATACAGTGAAACCCCGTCTCTACCAAAAATACAAAAATTAGCTGGGTCTGGTGGTGCATGCCTGTATTCCCAGATACTCAGGAGGCTGAGGCAGGAGAATCGCTTGAACCCAGGAGGTGGAGGTTGCAGTGAGCTACAATCCCCATGGCACTCCAACCTGGGAAACAAAGCAAAACTCTGTCTCAATAAACAAACAAACAAACAAACAAACAAAAAAAGACATTGACTGAAGACTAAGCCATACATGTGCAGGGTGAGACTCCATAAAGCTGGGTAAAGAACTTCAGAGCTGTAAGTTGAACAATGCCTAGAGCTCACTCAGGACAAGAATAAATTTGCATTTCAACTAACCAGAGAGGGGATACCTCAGGAACACCCAGGACATTCAGGAGATCTCAGAATGGGTATGACTAAGTAGTCAGGCTGAATTAGCTCTAGAGGGAGCCTTCTTTAAAAATGCTTTCATAAAGGTTAAAAACAAACCTCAAAAGGGTCTGATCTGCAAGCAACTTAGCTGAGTGCTAAAATGAACTTCAACATTCTTTGGAAAATAACAGAAGCTACACACTCAATATTGTGTTGATCTAGAGGAAAAAATTGAGGCAAACAATGTAAGAGTTTATTTGGGTCAAGTCTGAGAACTGCAACCTGGGAGCACTGATTTCAATTGCCCTGAATATATACTCTGATAAGCAACAGTTGCTAGCAGGTTTTTAAAGAAAAAAAAGAGGCAGTTCCTAAGTTGTTTACCAAGAATTTACATTAAAATAACATAAGCAGTTGATTGGCTGTATATTATTCTTTGTTTCACAAATTCCAGGAACATGAAGACAATGGGTGAGGCAGCTAGTCAGGAACAAAATGACTTTCAACAATTGCCCCTGGGCATGGGTGTGGAAGGTGTGACTGAAGTCCCCCCATACACTCATGTCTTGCAGGGCCTGCGAAATTTTGCATACCTCAAATAGCCCAGACTGCTCTGAGCTATTTTTCTTTTCTCAAATGTAACATGCATAAGGTCCAGCATCCAACTTAAAAATGATTAGACATATAAACAATCAGAAAAAGTTGGCCATAACCAGGAGAAAAATCAATCAAGTGAAACAGACACCAATGACAGAGATGACGGAAGAAGTAGATAATCACTTCATAGAATAGCCATTTGTGTTAGTCAATTTTCACGCTGCTGATAAAGACATACCTGAGACTGGGTAATTTATAAAGAAAAAGAGGTTTAATATAGTCACAGTTCCACATGGCTGGTGAGGCCCCACAATTATGGTGGAAGGTGAAAGGCACATCTTACATGGCAGGAGGCAAGAGAGAACTGAGAGCCAAGCAAAAGGAGTTTCCCCTTATAAAACCATCAGATCTCATGAGACTTATTCACTACCATGAGAACAGTATGGGGGAAACTGCTTCCATGATTCAATGGGGGTCCCTTCCACAACATGTGGGAATTATGGGAGCTGCAATTCAAGATGAGATTTGAGTGGGGACACAGCTAAACCATATCATTCTGCCCCGTCCCCTTCCAAATTTCATGTCCTCACATTTCAAAATCAATCATGCCTTCCCAACAATACCCCAAAGTCTAAACTCATTTCAGCATTAACTCAAAAGTCCACAGTCCAAAGTCTCATCTGAGACAAGGCAAGTGTCTTCGGCCTATGAGCCTGTAAAATCAAAAGCAAGTTAGTTACTTCCTAGATACAATCGGGGTACAGGCATTGGATAAATATACCCATTCCAAATGGGAGAAATGGACCAAAACGAAGGGGCTAAAGGCCCAACGCAAGTCCAAAATCCGGCAGGGCAGTCGAATCCTAAAGCTCCAAAATGATCTCCTTTGAATCCATGTCTCAGATCCAGGTCACACTGATGCAAGAGGTGGGTTCCCATGGTCTTGGGCAGCTCTGCACCTGTGGCTTTGCAGGGTACAGCCTCCCTTCTGGCTGCTTTCATGGCCTGGAGTTGAGTGTCTGTGGCTTTTCCAGGTGCATGGTGGAAGCTGTGGGTGGGTCTACCATTCTGGGGTCTGGAGGATGGTGGCCCTCTTCTCACAGCTACAATAGGCAGTGCCCCAGTGGGGACTCTGTGTGGGCACTTCAACTCCATATTTCTTTTTGCTCTGCCCTAGCAGAGGTTTTCCATGAGGGCCCTGCCCTTGCAGCAAACTTCTGCCTGGACATCCAGGCATTTCCATACATCCACTGAAATCTAGGCAGAGGTTCTGAAACTTCAATCCTTGACATCTGTGCACCTGCAGGCTCAACACCATGTGGAAGCTGCAAAGGCTTGGTGCTTGCACCCTGTGAAGCCACAGCCCAAGCTGTACCTTGGCCCCTTTTAGCCATGGCTAGAGTGGCTGGGACTCAGAACACCAAGTCCCTAGGCTGCACACAGCAGTGGTGCCCTGGGCCCAATAAACCATTTTTTTTCTTCTCAGCCTCCGGGCCTGTGATAGGAGGGGCTGTGCTGAAGACCTCTGACATACCCTGGAGACATTTTCCTCATTGTTTTGGCAATGAATATTTGGCTCCTCGCTACTTATCCAAATTTCTGTAGCCATCTTGAATTTCTCCTCAGAAAACGGGCTTTTCTTTTTTATTGCATCATCAGACCACACATTTTTCAAACTTTTATGCTCTGTTTTCCTTTTAAAACAGAATGTCTTTAATGGCACTCAAGTTACCTCTTGAATGTTTTGCTGCTTAGAAATTTCTTCTGCCAGATACACTAAATAATCTCCCTCAAGTTCAAAGTTCCACAATTATCTAAGGCAGGGGCAAAATGCCACCAGTCTTTTTGCTAAAACATAGAAAGAGTCACCTTCGCTCCACTTGCCAAAAAGTTCCTCATCTCCACCTGAGACCACCTCAGCCTGGATTTCATTGTCCGTATCACTATCAGCATTTTGGTCAAAGCCATTCAACAAGGGTCCAGAAAGTTCCAAACTTTCTCACATTTTCCTGTCTTCTTCTGAGCCCTCCAAACTGTTCCAACCTTTGCCCGTTACCCAGTTCCAGAGTCACTTCCACATTTTCGGGTATCTTTACAGCAGCACTCCACTCTGCTGGTACCAATTTACTGTCTTATTCCTTTTTCACACTGCTGGTAAAGACATACCTGAGACTGCATAATTTAAAAAGAGGTTTAATGGACTCACAGTTCCACATGGCTGGGCAGGCCTCACAATCACGGCAGACGGCAAAAGGCATGTCTTACATGGCAGCAGGCAAGAGAGAAATGAGAGCCAAGCTAAAGGGGTTTCCCCTTATTAAACCATTAGATCTCATGAGATTTATTCACTATCATGAGAACAGCATGAGGAAACTGCCCCCATGATTCAATGGGGATCCCTCCCACAACACATGGGAATTATGGGAGCTACAGTTCAACATGAGATTTGGGTGGGGTTACAGCTAAGCCATTTCACCATTATATGGCTATTATTAAAAAGTCAAAAAATGACAGATGCTGGCAAGGTTGCGGAGAAAAGGGAAAACTAATACACTGTTGGTGGCATTGTAAATTAGTTCAACCATTGTGAAAAGGATAGCAAGTCCTCAACGAGCTAAATATAGGAATTCCATTGGACCCAGCAATCCCATTACTGGGTATATACCCAGAGGAATATAAATCATTCTACTATAAGGACACATGCATGCAAATATTAATTTCAGCACTATTCACAATAGCAAAGAGATGGAATCAATCTAAATGCCCATCAATGACAGATTGGATAAAGAAAATGTGGTACATATACACCATGGAATACTATGTAGCCCTAAAAAAAGAACAAGATTATGTCTTTTGTGGGAACATGGATGGATACAGAGGCCATTATCCTTAGCAAATGAACACAGGAACAGAAAACCAAATACCACATATTCTCACTTATAAGTGGGAGCTAAATGATGAGAACTCATGAATGCAAGGAAAGGAACAACAGACACTGGGGTCTACTTGAGGATAGAGGGTGGAAGAAGGGAGAGGATCAGAAAATATAACTATTGGGTACTAGGCTTAGTACGTGGGTGATCAAATAACCTGTACAACAAACTCCCATTACACGAGTTTACCTATACAACCAACCTGCACATGTACCCTCAAACCTAAAATAAAAGTTAAAAATTAAAAAAAAATTAAATGACTATTATAAATATGCTCAAGGATTTAAAGGAAAACATGAACACAATGAGGAAAGATATGAAATCTATAAAAATGAGCCCAATGCAAGTAATAAAGGCAAAAATTATCTGAAATTAAAAAGTCACTGGATGAATTGACAGTCTAATAGATACTGAATAAACGATCAATGAACATAAATATATATATTTGTTATTTACCTCAGTAAAACTGAGGGAGGGGGATGGAGGAGGAAAAGCCTTAAAAGAATCTAGTAAAACAAAAAGAAACAACACATACAGCAGCATGAAGATAAAATGGCTGCTGATTTATCATCAGAAATAGTGCAAGACAAAAGATAATACAAAACATCTTTTAAATAATGTAATACAAATGGGTTCACCTTGTCAGCTGCCTAGACAGAGCCAATTTATCAAGACAAGGGAATGACAACAGAGAAAGAGTAATTCACGCAGAGCTTGCTGTACGGGAGACCACAGTTTTGTTATTATTAAAAATCAATCTCTCTGAGCATTCACAGATCAGAGTTTTTAAGAACAATTTAGTGGGTGAGGGGAAGCCAGTGAGTCAGGAGCACTGATCGGTCAGGTCAGAGATGAAATCATAGGGAGTCGAAGCTGTCTTCTTGTGCTAAGTCAGTTCCTGGGTGGGGGGGCCACAAGATCATATGAGCCAGTTTATTGATCTGGGTGGTGCCAGCTGATTCATCAAGCACAGGGTCTGCAATCTCAAGCACTGATCTTAGGAGCAGTTTAGGGAGGGTCAGACTCTTGTAGCCTCCAGCTGCATGACTTCTAAACCATAATTTCTAATTTTGTGGCTAATTTCTTAGTCATGCGAAGGCAGTCTAGTCCCCAGGCAAGGAGGTTTGCTTTGGGAAAGGGTTGTTATAGCCTTGGTTTTAAACTATAGGCTAAGTTTCTCCCAAAGTTAGTTCAACATACACCCAGGACTGAACAAAGACAGCTTGGAGGTTAGAGGTGAGATAGAGTCAGTTAAGTTAGATCTCTTTCACTGTCTCAGTCATAATTTTGCAAAGGCAGTTTCAATATCCTCATAGAACTTTACATTCATTGAAATTATCCTTCAAAAATCAAGCTGAAGCTCAGGCAAAGTGGCTCACACCTGTAATCCCAACACTTTGGGAGGCAAAGGTGGGTGGGTCACCTGAGGTCAGGAGTTTGAGACCAGCCTGGCCAACATGGTGAAACCCCGTCTCTGCTAAAACTATAGAAATTATCTGGGCATAGTGGTGTGCACCTGTAATCCCAGCTACTTGGAAGCCTGAGACAGGAGAATCGCTTGAACTCAGGAGGCAGAAGTTGTAGTGAGCTGAGATCGTGCCACTGCACTCCAGCCTGGGCAATGGAGTGAGAATCTGTATCAAAAAAAAAAAAAAAAGAGTTGAGCTGAAGTACATGCTTTTTCAAATAAACAAAAGTGAGAAAATTCACCATGAATAAATCTACACTATAAGAAATGATAAAGGAAGGTTTTTAAACTGAAAGAAAATTATATGAGATGGAGATTCAGATCAACACAAAGAAATAAGCAGCAAAAAAAAAAAAGCAAAACTGTGAATAAATCTAAAAGACATTGTTTTCTCATTTTAAAATTTCTTTTAAAAATAATGACAGTGGCTGGGCGCGGTGGCTCACACCTGTAATCCCAGCACTTTGGGAGGCTGAGGTGGGCAGATCACTTGAGGTCAGGAGTTTGAGATCAGCCTGGCCAACATGGTGAAACTCTGTCTCTACTAAAAATACAAAAATTAGCCAGGTGTGGTAGTGCATGCCTGTAATTCCAGCTACTAGGGAGGCTGAGGCAGGAGAATTGCTTGAACGCAGGGGTCGGAGTTTGCAGTGAGCCGAGATCGCGCCACTGCACTCCAGCCTGGGCAACAGAGCAAGACTCCGTCTCAGAACAAAAATTAAATAATAATAATAGTAATAATAATAATAATAATGACTGTTTAAAACAAAATTAATGATAATGTCTTAGGAGTTTGTAACATCTGTAGAATAATATATGGACAACAATGCACAGACGACAGGAGGGAGAAACAGAAATATACAGCTTATATATTTTGCAGAATACACTATGAAAGGAAATTAAATCTTGGGACCCTAAACTCATTAAGCCAAAGGGAAAAGTCAAGCTGGGAAGTGGGACATGCAAACTGCCTCCCTCTTTTGGTTCCTAAATAAGATGGCTACAAGATGAAAAGCTACATGCCTCCCTTGTATTTTGCCCACAAGGAAATTCCTAGTGAGCTGCAAGATCTTTTAAGGTGTTTCTGTTAAAATTTCACCATGGCAATGCAAACTGATAGCTTATCTTTACAGGTGCAGTCACCCCGGCCCACCAGACACGACTGCATATCTGATTGTTCCCCTGCCCCATTGTGTCTATGTTATCTCATGTAAAATCCAGATTCTCTGCATTTTTCCTCTGCCCCATTTGTCTGTGTCATCTTATGTAAAAAAAAAAAAAAAAAAAAAATGCAGATTCACTGAGCCAGACAAAGGCATGAATGATTCTTTTTCCCTACCTGCTTTTTACACGAAAATCGTGTACTTCTCAATATTTCACCCTTTCTCCTTTAAATTTAGAGCCCTCAAAATTATCTTCAAAGAAAGACATAGAACTGTCTCCCGGGCGCACATCCTTAACTTTGGCAAATAAATCTCTTAAAATGATTGAGACTTGTCTCATCATTTTTCTTGATCAACATCACACAATAGTAACTTTTCTTGAACATAAACTGCAATAAATTAAGCATGCATATCATAAATCCTAGATCAAGCTTTAAAAAGCATAAAGCAAAGGTATAACTGATAAGCCTAAAAAGCATAAAGCAAAGGTATAACTGATAAGCCTATAGATGAGAGCAAATGGAATGCTAAAATGAATCCAAAAGAATACAGGAAAAAGGAAGAACAGGAACAAAGGACGTAGAATGAGGTATAATGAGGTTGGGAAAGAGAAAACAAATAGCAAGATTATAGAATTAAATTTAAAATATAAATGGTCTAAATTAAAAAGCAAAGATTATTAGACTTAATAAAAAAGTAATACTGGAGACTTCCAATTTTAGCTCTGACATGTAAAGTATTTGAAAACAATCACTCCCATCTTTACTACAAAGAAAAAGGCTGAACAAAGTGAAAATCAGTGCCTTTGTTGGACCCATCAGAGAATTGAGGTCCCAGGGAAGACTCCACTCAGAAATGGGAGAGACAGGAGAATACAGAGGCTCACAGCTGAGATCTGCTTACCTGGAGCAAAAGCCACTGGAGTCATAAACTGGTGGGAACATATTAATGGTAATTGGGACAAATTTCCAGCAGCTGAATGTGGACTGGCATAAGAGTGAGACATTTCTGGGGGTCACATTCCTAGCTACCCCTCCTCCACTTGATTAGGTTTTATTTTTAATCCCACTGAGTTTTCACTGTGAATAGCCACAAAAAAAATCCCCTCACATCTCAATCAGGGAGAGGGGAAAATTAACCATTTTGAAATAGTCTCAGAGCATGTCCGTAACAAAGGCCTACTCAGCAGGGGAAAGAACTTTATCAGAGCCTTATTTCAGGAGCCAGGCCAATTTCCAAACTCCTACCCCCTCTGGTCTTCCTGTCTTACCTAAGCTGGGGAGAAAAGGGCAAAGCTAAGAAACACTTGTGAAAGTCACAACCCAGGGACATAAACTCATTAAAAGCCAAAAGCATAATCATAAGATGATAGAATGTTTTCCCTTCCCATACTCGACAACCACATCAACAGGGCTACAATGTAATAATGATGAATTACAGGTGAGAGAGCTAGAAAGCACAGAGTGTATTTAAGAAATAGTTCTTAGAGAAACAGAAAGACAATGAGAGAGAAAAAAACAAAAACCCTAGAGGAATTTGAAGCCTCTGGAATTTACAACTACATCAAACATTAAACACAGTTCAGCTCCTAGCCAGATTAACCTAAAACTTCACACTAAAGGCTGAATGTCTCAGTTATTATAACCAGATACATTGTGTTGGGCTTTTATTTTTTTTAATTAGAAGATATTCTAAAAGGTAAGGAAAAACAAGATCAAACTATATGCTGTCTATAAAAATCCCAGTTTAAGTATACAGGCACACATAGATGAAAATAAAAGAATGGGAAAGGAGATATCACACAGACACTAATAACAAGAAAACTGGGGTGTTTGTGTGCATAGTAGACCAAAAAAACTTCAGGACCAGGGATATTCCCAGAAAAAGATAGGGACAGTTTACAATGACAAAATGTTTAGTTCAAGATATACACAACAAAGACATGTATGCTCCTAATAACAGAGCTTTAAAATATGTATAGCAAAAAAACAGACAAAACTAAAAGAAGAAATGAAAATGAACAATTAATTTGAGATTTTCATCCACCTCTCTTAGTAACTGAGAGAAAAGTATAAAGAGAATTTCTAAAGATTAAGGTTAAGAATTACATTAGACTTTTCTTCAGAAAGTACATTAGCAAGAAGAGTTGGAGTTAAACATTTTAAGTTTGAAAGAAAAAAATCCAACAACCTAAAATTTTGTATCTAGTGAAGTTATCCTCCAAAAGTAAAGAAAAAATGTTGCAGACAAAAAAAAATTGAGGGAATTTGCCACCATTAGACTTGCCTTGAAAGAAATGTTAAAAAGAAGTTCTTTAGAGAGAAGGAAAATGAAATAGGTCAGAAACTTGAGTCAACATAAAGAAGTGTGTTAGAGAATGAATACGTAATGGTAAAGTAAAATCTTTTATTTTTCTTATTCTTAATTGATCTTGCAAACAACAATTTGTTCAAAATAATAGCAACAATATATTTACTGATTATACTTTAGAATAAGTGAAATGAACAGCAGCAATGTTTTAAGGGACAGGAGGGAGGAATTGAGAGTGGTCTATTACAAAGTACCTGCACTCCCTAGGAAACAGTATAGCGTTATTTGAAGACGAATTTGGATTAGCTGCAAATGTACATTGCAAACTCTAGAACAGCCATTTTTAAAAGTAAAAGAAAAAAAGAAAGGAAGACATGGTAGTCCCCCCTTATCCATGGGGGATGCATTGCAAGATCCCAAGTGTATGCCTGAAACCGTGGATACTACTGAACCCTATATAGACTATGGTTGTTTTTCCTATACATACATACCTAAGATGAAGTTTAGTTTATACATTACACACAGTAAGAGATTAACAACAATAACTAATAATAAAATAGAACAATTATAACAATACACTGTAATAAAAGTTATGTGAATATTGTCTGACTCTCAAAATATTTTATTGGACTGCACTCACCTACTTTTAGACTGTGGTTGAGGGTGGGTAACTGAAATCACAGAAAGCAAACCTGTGGATAAGTGGGGGAATATTTTAATTAGTATTCTAAGAGAGGAGAGAAAATAGAATCACACAAAATGCTTGGTTAAAACTAGAGAAGGCAGAAGAAGAGTGAAAGACAAAAAGAAACAGAAAACAAGGACAAGGAATAGAAAACCGTGACACATGTGATAGATATTAATCCAAACATCACTAGTCACTTCAAATGCCAGTGGTCCAAATACTTCAGTTAAAAGGCAGACTGTCTGAGTGAATTAAAAAAAAATCAATAAACTTGCTTTAAATATAAAGACTCAGATAGATTAAAAGTAACAGGATGGAGAAAGTTATACCATGCTAATACTATTCAATGGAAAGCTGGAGTTGCTATATTAGTTTTAGACAAAGCAGCCTTCAGAGCAAGGAAAATTATCAGAGGTAAAGAATGGCACTGGATAATGATAAAGGAGTCCGTTCTCTGATAAGAAATAGCAATCTCTAATGTGTAAGAACAGAGTGTCATATACTTGGAGCAAAATCTGATAGAATAGCAAGAAGATGTAGAAGACTCCACTGTCACATGTGGAGACTTGAACACCACTCAGTAATGGACATATCAAGCAGACTGAAAATCAGTAAGGACATAGTTGAACATAACAGCACTATCATTCAGCCAGTTTACTGGATATCTATAGAATATTTTGTTAAGCGACAGCAAAATACATTCTTCTCAAGTTCACGTGGAACATTCACCAAGATAGACCAAATTCTAAGCCCTGACACACCTCAACAAGTTTAAAAGAATGGAAAAATAAAATATGCTCTCTGAACACAATAAAACTAGAAATCAATAACAGAAAGACAATTGGAAAATTAAAAAATACCTGGAGATTAAACAACACACTTCTAAATAACACGTCAGTTAAAGAAAAAGGTCTCCAGAGAAATTAAGCAATATTTTGAAATAAATGAAAATGAAAATACAACTTATCAAAATTTGTGAGATGCAACAAAAGCAGTGTTTAGAAGAAAGTTTATGGCATTGAAATAAGGCATTTTAGAAAAGAAGAAAGATCTGAAACAAATCATCTAAGTTTCCACCTCAAGAAACTAGAAAAGAACTAATTAAAAACAGAGTAGACAGAAAAAATTAACTAAAGCAGACATCAATGAAACTGAAATCAGGAACCTACTAGAGAAAATCAACAAAACCAAAAGCTGGTTCTTTAAAAAAAAAAAACCTATGAAATTGATAAACCTCTAGCCAAGTTAACAAAGAAAGAAATGAGACACAAATTATTAGCATTAGAAATAAAATAGAGGCCACTGCTACTGATTCTAAAGGAATATTGTAAAGGATAATAATAGAATGTTATTACCATAACAACTCTGTGCCCACAAATATAATAACCTAGAAGAAATAGATCAATTTCTTAAAGATGCAATCTACCAAAACTTACACAAGAAAGAATAGATAATATGAATAGGTATGTATGCATTAAAGGAATTGAATCAATAAATAACTACCTTCCAAACAGAAAGAACTAGGTCTGAATGGGTTCACTGATGAACTCTACCAAACATTTAAGGAAGAAATGATAGTAATTTTCTATGATGTCTTCCAGATAATAGAAGCAAAAGGAATGTTTTGTAACTCATTCTATAAAGCCAGCATTACTCTAAAACCAAAACCAGACAAAGACACAAGGAGGGAAAGCCATAAGCCAATAGCTTTCGTAAACATAGGTGCAAAAATCTTCGATGAAAAATTAGCAAGTCAAATCCAACAATGCATAAAAAGAATTATATACCACAACCGAGTGGGATTTATCTCAGGTACACAAAACTGGTTCAGCATTTGAAAATCTAGTCATGTAATCCATCACCTCAACAGGCTTAAGAAGAAAAATCACATGATCATATCAGCAGATTCAGAAAAAGCATCTAACAAAATCCAACACCCATTCATGATAAAAGCTCTCAGCAAAGATGACTAGAGGGGAACTTGATAAGGAACCCACAGCTGTCAAAGCTCAACAAAAAGCCAACAGTGGTTGCACTTAAAGTTGAGAAACTTGAAGCTTCCCTGCTAAGATCAGGAGCAAGGTAAGAATGCCCTCCTCAACACTGCTTTCCTTTTTTTTTAATTTAAATTTTGGTTTTTAATTGATAATATGAACCTCGAAAATCTGAGACAGGTCTCAGTTAATTTAGAAAGTTTATTTTGCCAAGTTTGAGGTCACAAGGCTGTGACCCAGCCTCAGGAGGTCCTGATGACATGTGTCCAAGGTGGTCAGTTTCACGCACGTCCCTGTGAAGAGACCACCAAACAGGCTTTGTGTGAGCAACAAGGCTGTTTATTTCACCTGGGTGCAGGCGGGCTGAGTCCGAAAACAGTGTCAGGGAAGGGAGATAGGGGTGGGGCCATTTTATAGGATTTGGGTAGGTAGTGGAAAATTACAGTCAAAGGGGGTTGTTTTATGGCTGGCAGGGGTGGAGGTCACAAGGTGCTGAGTTGGGGAGCTTTTGAACCAGGATGAGCCAGGAGAAGGAATTTCACAAGGTAATGTCATCAGTTAAGGCAGGAACAGGCCATTTTCACTTCTTTTGTGATTCTTCAGTTACTTCAGGCCATCTGGATGTATATGTGCAGGTCACAGGGGATACGATGGCTTAGCTTGGGCTCAGAGGCCTGACATTCCTGCCTTCTTATATTAATAAGAAAAATAACATAAAATAGTATTGAAGTGTTGGGGCAGTGAAAATTTTGGGGGGGTGGCATGGAGAGATAATGGGCGATGTTTCTCAGGGCTGCTTCAAGCGGGATTAGGGGTGGCGTGGGAACCCAGAGTGGGAGAGATTCAGCTGAAGGAAGATTTCGTGGTAAGGGGTGATATTGCAGGGTTGTTAGAAGGAGCATTTGTCATATAGAATAATTGGTGATGGCCTGGATGTTGTTTTGTATGAATTGAAAAACTAAGCGGAAGACACAAGGTCCGAATAAGAGAAGGAGAAAAACTGGTATTAAAGGACTACGAATTGGGAGGACACAGGACATCCAATTAGAGAGTGCCCAAGGAGGTTCAGCATAGCCCTGCCAGCAAAGATTATTGATTTACTTTAAGAGGGAGTTAAGAGTGGTGGTTTGGGGATAGCACCAGGAGATATCAGCTGTGATGGCCTGGAGAAACAGTGTAAACCGGCAGTGTAAACAAGAGCAGGGCATTTATGAGTAGTTGAGAACAGTGAATAAGAGTATGACTAGGCAGAAGATAGTACAGATAACAAGTTTTTGGGGCACAGTCCAAGTTGGGCTGCTGTCTGGAATAAGACTGGGGCCTAATAAAAAGGAGTGTCTATATAGGAGCTCAAATGGGCTGTACCCTGTAGCATTCCAAGGACACGCCCGAATTTTGAGAAGGGAAAGTGGTAAAAGTATTGTCTAGTCCTTTTTAAGTTGGTGGCTGAGCTCGGGGAGGTGTGTTTTTAAAAGACCATTAGTCTGTTCCATTCTACCTTTCCTGAAGATTGAGGATGGTAAGGGGTATGAAGGTTCCACTGAATACCAAGAGCCTGAGAAACTGCTTGGGTGATTTGACTAATAAAGGCCGGTCCGTTATTGGACGGTATAGAGGTAGGAAGGCCAAACTGAGGAATTATGTCTGACAGAAGGGAAGAAATGACTGCGGTGGCCTTCTCAGACCCTGTGGGAAAGGCCTCTACCCATCCAGTGAAAGTGTCTATCTAGACCGAGACGTATTTTAGTTTCCTGACTCAGGGCATGTGAGTAAAGTCAATTTGCCAGTCCTGGGCAAGGGCAAATCCCCGAGCTTGATGTGTAGGGAAGGGAGGGGCCCTGAACAATCCCTGAGGAGTAGTAGAACAGCAGATGGAACACTGAGAAGTGATTTCCTTGAGGATAGATTTCCACGATGGAAAGGAAATGAGAGGTTCTAAGAGGCAGACTAGCAGCTTATAACCTACATGGAAGAGGTTATGAAATGACGACAGAATAGAATGGGCCTGTGAGGCTGGAAGGAGATATGTTCCTTGGTCCAAGAACCATTTGCCTTGTGTGGGAAGAGATTGATAGGTGGAAGTTTCAGTAGGGGAGTAAGTGGGAGTGACCGATGAGAAGGAGAAAAACTGCCATGAGGGAGAGAAGTTGGAACGCTAGCTGCTTCTTTAGCTACCTTATCAGCATAAGCGTTGCCCTGAGCAATGGGATCTGATGCCTTTTGATGGCCCTTGCAGTGAATGACTCCAGCTTCCTTTGGAAGTAAAGCGGCTTTGAGAAGAGTTTTTATTAAAGAGGCATTAATGATGGAGGACCCTTGTGTAGTGAAGAAATTTCTTTCTGCCCATATAACAGCATGGTGGGGCAGGATATGGAAGGCATAGTTAGAGTCAGTATAAATATTGACAAGTAGTCCTTTTGCAAGAGTAGGGCTTGAGTTAAGGAAATGAGTTTGGCTTGCTGAGAGGTAGTGGAGGGGAGCAGAAAGTATATGTGTCAGGTGTGAGGAAGAAAATAGATTTTGGAAGTTATGAGAACTGTAGAGAGTGACTGTAGAGAGTTGAGCATAGTTTGTGATTTTTAGGACCTCTAAAAGTATTAAGGCAGCGGCAGCCACCGCACACAGACATGAGGACTAGGCTAAAACAGTAAAGTCAAGTTGTTTGGATAAAGAGGCCACAGGGCATGGTCCCAGTCCTTGTGTAAGAATTTTGACTGCACAGCCCTGCACTTCAGCTGTGTTAATGAAAAAGGGTTGGGATGAGTTAGGGAGAGCTAGTGTGGGAGCAGCTTCTAGGGCTGTTTTTAAGGAATGGAAAGGAGTGGCGAAAGGATTTGGGATCTGTGGGGTCAGCCAGGTTTGCTTTTGTGAGTTTATATAATGGTTTAGTCAGGATGGAAAAACGAGGTATCCAAAGGTGGAAGTACCTAACCATGCCTAGGAAGGAAAGGAGTTGTCATTTTGTAGAAGGGGTCAGGGTTTGGGAGATTAGCTGGACACGATCAGCAGGGAGAGCACGTGTGTTTTTATGAGAACTATGTCGAGATAGGTAACACATGAGGAAGAAATTTGGGCTTGACTGAAGTAATGGGGGCTGTCTGTGAAGCCTTGCGGGAGTACAGCCCAGGTAATTTGCTGAGCCTGATGGGTGTCAGGGTCAGTCCAAGTGAAAGCGAAGAAAGACTGGGATGAAGGGTGCAAAGGAATAGTAAAGAAAGCATGTTTGAGATCCAGAACAGAATAACGGGTTGTGGAGGGAGGTATTGAGGATAGGAGAGTATATGGGTTTGGCACCATGGGGGGGATAGGCAAAACAATTTGGTTGATAAGGTGCGGATCCTGAACTAACCTGTAAGGCTTGTCTGGTTTTTGGACAGGTAAAATGGGGGAATTGTAAGGAGAGTTTATAGGTTTTAGAAGCCCATGCTGTAGCAGGTGAGTCATCACAGGCTTCAGTCCCTTTAAAGCCTGTTGTGGGATGGGATACTAGTGTTGAGCAGGGTAAGGTTGATTAGGTTTTAATGGGATAATGGGCTGGTGATCAGTTGCCAGGGAGGGAGTAGAGGTGTCCCATACTTGTGGGTTAAGGTGGGGGGATATGAGAAGAAGGCATGAAGGAGGCTTTGGGTTGGGAAGAAGGGTGGCAATGAGATGTGGCTGTAGTCCAGGAATAGTCAGGGAAGCAGATAATTCAGTTAAAATGTCTCAGCCTAATAAGAGAACTGGGCAGGTAGGGATAACTAAAAAAGAATGCATAAAAGAATGTTGTCCAAGTTAGCACCAGAGTGGGGGAGTCTTAAGGGGTTTAGAAGCCTGGCTGCCAATACCCACAACAGTTATGGAGGCAAGGGAAACGGGCCCTTGAAAAGAAGGTAATGTGGAGTACGTAGCCTCTGTATTGATTAAGAAGGGGACAGACTTACCCTCCACTGTAAGAGTTACCTAGAGCTTCTGTGATGGTCCAGGAAGCTTCTAAGGTGATTGGGCAGCGTCAGTCTTCAGCCGCTAAGCCAAGAAGATCTGGGAAGGAGCTAGTCAGAGCCTTAGGCCAGTTGGACAGTCCAGTTTCCACTGGGGTCCCACACAGATGGGACACGGCTTAGGAGGAATCCTGGGCTGCGGGCATTCCTTGGCCCGGTGGCCAGATTTCCAGCACTTGAAGCAAGATCCTGGGGGAGGAAGTCCTGAAGGAATGCCTGGCCGCTGTGGCTTAGGCGTTTTGAAGTCCTTGTGTGCTGGAGATGTGGCTGGGGTTTCTCTCACAGCAGAGGCAAGTAATTGCAACTCTTCTCTATTATTGTACACCCTGAAGGCAAGGTTAATTAAGTCATGTTGTGGGGTTTGAGGGCTGGAATTTAATTTTTGGAGTTTTATTTAATGTCGGGAGCAGATTGGGTAATAAAATGTATTTTGAGGATAAGATGGGCTTTTGACCTTTTAGGGTCTAGGGCTGTAAAGCGTCTCAGGATTGCTGCCAAACAAGCCATGAACTGGGCTGGGTATTTATATTTGATAAAAAGAGCCTAAGCGCTAACTGATTTGGGAGAGGCCGGATAAAGAAAAAGGAGCATTCACCTTGACTATGCCTTCAGCTCCAGCCACCTTTTTAAGAGGAAATTGCTGGGCAGGTAGGGGAGGGCTAGTGGCAGAACAAAACTATAAGCGGGACTGGGTGTGAGGAGGGGAGGTGATAAAAGGATTATAGGGTTGGGGAGCGGAGGCCGAGGAAGAATTGGGACCTGGCTTGGCCTGGCGAGGAGCAGCCTGGGGAGGAGGGGAGAGGTCAGATGGGTCCATAAAAAAGGAAGATTGGAAAGACTCAGCAACACTTGGGGTCGGGACTGAGGGGACAGGTGGGAGGGAAAGAAGGAAGATTTGGGACAAGTTGCATTGGGAACAGAGACCAGGGAGGGACCAATGTGTAAAACAATGCCTGGACATCAGGCACCTCAGACCATTTGCCCATTTTACACCAAGAATTATCCAGATCTTATAGGATGGAGAGATAGAAAGTGCTGTTTTCCGGCTATTTGGAACCATTGTCGATTTTGTATTGGGGTCAAGCGGTGTTGCAGAAGAAAATAAGGCATTTAGGTTTTAGGTCAGGTGTGAGTCGAAGAGGTTTTAAGTTCTTGAGAACACAGGCTAAGGGAGAAGAAGGAGGAATGGAGGGTGGAAGGTTGCCTATAGTGAAGGAGGCGAGTTCAGAGAAAAGAGAGGGTAGAGACACAGAGAGAAGGGGTGGGAGGTGCTTGTCCCCCAGGAAAGTGGAAAAGGGGTGGGAGGTGCTTGCCCCCCAGGAAAGTGGAGAGAAAAGAGAGAGTAGAGGCATGGAGAGAATGGGTGGGGTGAGCAGCCCTGGGCTGCAATGTGGGTGAGCAGCCAAAGCAGGCGTCCCTGCAATTGACTTGCCACCAAGGGAATGTGAGTGAATGACCAAGGCAGGCGTCCCTGCGGTGATCAGATACCAATGAAATGTGGGTGAATAATCAGGCAGGCGTCCCTGCAGTGATTAAACACCAAGGGAAGACTGTCTTCCCGAGTCTGTGACCGGTGCTGGAGTTTTGCGTCCACGGATAAAATGCATCTCCTTTGTCTCTACCAGGAAAGGAAAGGAACTGAAATTAACAGAAGGGAGAGATTGAAGTGTGGCACCAAGATTGAAAGGAGAAAGAGGTTGAGGGATAGTGAGAGAAGTTAGAGAAGAGAGTAAAGAGAGGTCACTTACCGGATTTAAAATTGGTGAGATGTTCCTTGGGCTGGTTGGTCTGAGGATCCGAGGTCATAGGTGGATCTTTCTCATGGAGCAAAGAGCAGGAGGACAGGGGATTGATCTCCCAAGGGTGGTCCCCCAATCCGAGTCACGGCACCAAATTTCACTCGCGTCTGTATGAAGAGACCACCAAACAGGCTTTGTGTGAGCAACAAGGCTGTTTATTTCACCTGGGTGCAGGCGGGCTGAATCCGAAAAGAGAGTCAGGGAAGGGAGATAGGGGTGGGGCCGTTTTATAGGATTTAGGTAGGTAGTGGAAAATTACAGTCAAAGGGGGTTGTTTTATGGCTGGCAGGGGTGGGGGTCACAAGGTGCTCAGTGGGGGAGCTTTTGAGCCAGGATGAGCCAGGAGAAGGAATTTCACAAGGTAATATCATCAGTTAAGGCAGGACCAGACTATTTTCACTTCTTTTGTGATTCTTCAGTTACTTTAGGCCATCTGGATATATACTTCCAGGTCACATGGGATACGATGGCTTAGCTTGTGCTCAGAGCCCTGACAGTCAGAACACAGCTTGGTTTTATACATTTTAGGGAGACATGAGACATCAATCAACATATGTAAAATGAACATTGGTTTGGTCCAGAATCTAAGCAAAAGTGGGACAACTCTAAGCGGGGAGGCTACTTCCAGGTCACAAGTAGGTGAGAGACAAACGGTTGCATTCTTCTGGGTTTCTGATGAGCCTCTCCGAAGGAGGCAATCAGATATGCATTTATTTCAGTGAGCAGAGGGATGACTTTGAATAGAATGGGAGGCAGGTTTGCCGTAAGCAGTTCCCAGTTTGACTTTTCCCTTTCGCTTAGTGATTTTGGGGGCCCAAGATATTTTTCTTTCGCAATAAATAATAATTATTTACATTTATACAACTGATTTTTAACATTGTACTGAAAGTCCTAGCTAATGCAATAAGACAAGGAAAGAAAATAAAAGGCATACAGATTAGAAAGGAAGAAATTAAAGTGCCTTTTTTTTACGATGACGTGATTGTGTCCGTAGAAAATCCCCCACATCAAAAAACCCTCCTGAGACTAATAAATGATTGTAACAAGGTTGCAAGATGCAAGATTAATACATACAAGTCATTGCTTTTCTATATATCAATAATGAATAGTTGAAATTTGATATTAAAAAGATAATAATTAGCACCAAGAAAAATGAAATACTTAGGTACAAATCTAACAACACATGTTCAAAATCTATGTGAGAAGAACTACAAAACTCTAATGAAATAAATAAAAGATCTAAATAAATGGAAAGATATTCCATGTTTATGGATAGAAAGACATGATATTGTTATCAGTTCTTCCCAATTTGATCTATAGATTCAGTGCAATCCCAATAAAAATCTCAGCAAGTTACTTGGTGAATATTGACAATCACATTCTTCAACTTAGACTGAAAGGCAAGGCTCAGAATAGTTAATATAACATCCAGGAGGAAAACTTAGAGGACCTGAAGACTTGCTACAAAGCTGCAGTAACAGACAGTGTGGTATTGGCAAAATAATAGACAAACAGAGCAATGGAACAGATCAGAGAGCCCAGGAATAGGCTCTATAAATATAATCGACTGATCTTTGACAAAAGAGCAAAGGCAACCTAATGGAGAAAGATAGTCTTTTCAATAAGTGGTGCTGTGATGACCAGACACACATGCCAACAAATGCATATAGACACAGACTTACACCCTTCACAAAAAATAAGTCAAAATGGGATCATAAACCTAAGTGTAAACCACAAAACTATTAAACTTGTAAGGATAACATAAGAGAAAGCCTAAGTGTTTGGTGATGACTTTTTAGATACGACACCAAAAGCATGATCCATGAAAGAAAAAATTGGTAAGTTTGGCTTCATTAAAATTCATCACATCTGGTTGTGAGAGTTACTGCTAAGGGATGAAAAGACAAGCCACGTACTGGGGTAAAAAGATGTTCAAACCACACGTCTGATAAAGGACTCGTGTCTAAAACACAAAAAACTAAAACTCAACGATAAGAAAACAACCCAATTAAAAATGGTCAAGAGATCTGGACAGACACCTCGTCAAAGAAGATATACAAAGCAGAGATGGATTAATAAACTATGGTACATGCATACAGTGGAATATTATTTAGCAATGAAAAGAATTGAGCTAATTAAGCCATGAAAAGACATATTAAAAGCATATTAGTAAGGGAAATAAATCAATCTGAAAAGGCTACCTACTGCGTGATTTCAACTGAATGACATTCTAGAAAAGGCAAAACTATGGAGACAGTAAAAAGATCTGTGGTTGCCAGGGATTTGGAGGAACGAAAGGAGGGATGAAGAAGTGAGCTTACTGTAATGATGGATACTTGACATTATCACTGGTCAAAACCCACAGAATGCACACCACCAAGAGTGAACCCTAATGTAAACTGTGCATTTTGATTAATAATAATGTATCAATTGGCTCATCAATTACAACAAAGGTACCATGCTAATGCAAGATAGAAATCATTGAGGAAATTGTGCTTGGGCATATTTGGGAACTTTATATACTTTCTGGTCAATTTTTCTGTAAAATCAAAACTACTCTTAAAAAAAAAAGTCTACTAATTAAAGAGAAAAAAAGTCTCTAAGATTAATCTCCAGTCCCCGGACCTGCATTTAGAGCCCTGCACAGCAATGGGACACCAGCTGTGACCTCCTGTGGCCTTCTGTTGTGGAGAGAGGCCCCTGTGTGAGTGGCTCTGTGTCTGACGCCCCTACAGGGTGGTCTGCACACTGCATCCCTGGCCTGCGGTGTCCATGGAGGGCCACTGGGTATCAAGCCAAGACACCTGCCCCGACCTGCTTCTCCCTGGGCTCTCTCTCCTGTGGAGCCCCCTCCATCTGCCCCCAAGTTGGTTTCATCCCCAACAACAGGCGACATGGTGGGGGAGGCTTCCCGTGGGCTGCTCTCTCAGGCAGCTCCTTGAAGCTGGTGTTTTGCTGCCTTCATGGCTCTTCCTTCATTGTTCTTATCTATTACTTCTTCCTGCTGCCCATTGCAGGCACGCAGAACGCTCTCCAGGGCTGATAGTTTGCGGACTGGAGGGCAAGGAACCTTGCCCTGTCCTCTACCACCTTTCACATCCCTCCCCGATACAAACCTTCCCAGTTTGTTGGGGGCACAGGAGCAGCACTGGACTGTGTGACTGGGCATCTTCCACCATGTCTGCATGCATGTGCATGCATGTGTATGTGAGGACATGTTGTCAGACTTGAAGTGCACCCCCTTCTGCCCTCCTGCATGGGTCTGCGTGTGCACACGTCTCCCCGAGAGGACTGGTGTGCCCATGTGGGTGTCCCTCCTTCTGTGTGTCCCATGTCCCTGGGTGCGCCTGTCCGTGGCTCTCTATGTGGGTGGCTTCCTGAGCCTTGTTTTACCTGTTTAAAAAGTTACAGAGACAAATAGCCTAGATTTAAAACTGAATAAAAGATTTTAACAGCCCCTTCACCAAAGAAGTCATACACATGGCTGGTAAGCATGTGAGACTCAGCACCATGAGTCACGTGTGAAATGCAAGTGGGAAGCCTCAGTGAGATACCACCGCAGAATACCAGGTGCTGGGGAGGATTTGCAGAACCTGGAACCGTCATATATTGTTTGTGGACAAGCAAAATGGTCCACACAGTTCAGAAAACCGTTTGATACTTTCTTTTTCTTTTCTTTCTTTTTTTTTTTCTTGAGAGGGAGTTTCGCTCTTCTTGCCCATTCTGAAGTGCAATGGCGCGATCTCAGCTCACCACAACCTCCGCCTCCCGGGTTCAAGCGATTCTCCTGTCTCAGCCTCCCGAGTAGCTGGGATTACAGATGCCTGCCACCATGCCCAGCTAATTTTTGTATTTTTAGTAGAGACAGGGTTTCATCATATTGGTCAGGCTGGTCTCAAACTCCTGACCTCAGGTGATCCACCCGCCTTGGCCTCTCAAAGTGTTGGGATTACAGGCACCACACCCAGCCGACACTTTCTTAGTAGTTAAACATACACGTACTTATCCATGACCCAAAAATCCTACTTGTAAATATTTACCCAAGAGGGATGAAAAATGCACGTCTACAAAATAACTTATATACAGATGTTCAAAGCACATTCATTCCTAATAGCCCCAAACTGGAAACAATGCAAATGCCTACTTGCTGGTGATTAGAGCATATCTCTGCAATAGAACACTACTCAGCAATAAACAAGAACAAACTACTGATACACACAGTAACATGGATAAACATCCCAAAATATTATGCTGAACGAAATCAGCCAGACACAAACAATGCCTAAGGCATGAGCCCATCTTTTCACAGAAAGCAGTGCAGTGGCTGCCTGTGGCCACGGGATAGGGAGAGTTGACTATGAGGTCACATGGCAGAACTTTTGGTGACAAATATTTCACTAAGATTAGTCAAACCTCATGAAATCACACCTCAATCAAGTCAATTAAAAAATATTTTAATGTATACTAGAATAGGTGGTTATTTTGGGAAGAGATAGAGTATCTTCAAAGTAAGTGAATAAACCCTGTTCCTTATTGTTTATTAATAATTATGGTTTGCAACTATATCTTTCACAATGGAATGGGCTGCAAGAAGGCCAAATTAGAGAAGCAACCAAAAGCATAGAAATTCAACATAAAAGTTCCAAACTGATCATAAAATTTAGTCAACAAATGAGAAGTGCCTATCTAAAAAGATGATCATTTGAACCAGTATTGGCATTCTTTGTCCTGGTGCCCCTGGCCAGTGTACATTGGTGTAAATCAGCACCCCAGGATGAGTGAGCTTGAAAATCTACGTCCGAACCTTGCCTAGTTACAAACCAGATGTGTAGCCTCAGGCAAGTCAGTTAATGCTGGCTCATAATAATTCTAGACTTCTTGGTCTGAAATATGTAATGCTATCGTAGGATATAATAAATTCCTCTTCAAAGGTTTTAGCCTGTAAATTGTTAAGTACAATGAGTTCTGAGATCCTCTCCAAAGAACCAACGTATCAGTATATTCAGCTCCCCTGTTCTTTGTTCTTCATTTTAAACGTTAACTTCCTTGTTCTTTATATCTCCTTGGCCCTAGTCTCAGTAAACAACCCACCAGTTCTAATCAGTAGTTCACATCTGTTCCCCTGGTCACCTGATCCATCCTGAGTCACCCTTGGTCACCTGCTCTGTCCTGAGTCACCCTTGGTCACCTGCTCTGACCTCAGTCATCCTTGGTCACCTGCTTCATTCTTAGTCATCCTGAGTCACCTGTTCTGTAACTGTCTTTCCCGCCAAACTACTCTCCCCGCCACTCCAGCTCTCTTTAAAATAGCCAATCAGAATTAGCCTAGACTGTGTGGTCCAACCCTAGCCAATAGGGGAAAAACACAGCAGTAGGGGCTACCTACATCAGGGATAAGAACCCCTTTCCCTCCCTTATCCAGGTGTGCTCTTGCCATTGCTCCATCCACGAGGTGCACCCTTCTATAGAAACAAAATTGCCTTGCTGAGAAAATTAAATTTATGTCTGGGTGTTATTTCTTTGGTGGCACTGAAAATTTATTTCTAACAAATTTGCGGGTCTGCCCAGGATTCCCATTCTTCTCTGGGGAAGGGTCCCATCCTCTCCTGTGAGGAGGCACACCCTGCTGCCACGTTGTGGTGGCCTCAGAGGTAAGGAATTGGGACCCACCCAGTGCAATGAATAAAGCCAGAATCTCAGCAATGCAGGAAGAAAAGGCCTACAAATACATACCATGGTGACCAGGTAACTCTGTGTACAGACCAAGGTAAGAAATGCCGCGGGGATGGTGAAGTATTTCCTTGGTGGTTGGGACCAATATAAGAAAAGCTGCAGGGCAGTGAAGTATTTCTTTTTTGGGACATATCAAGGTAAGAAAAGCCATGGGGGGCAGTGAAGTATTCCTTGGTGGTCAGGACATCCTGGAGGTTGAAAGTGTGCGAGTGAAACACACAGTTGAGGGCGGAGCAAGTACAGAGTCCGGATCTGGTTCTGCAATCACCTCATACAGCTTATCCTAAGAAGGACCTGAAAATCCCCACAATGGAAGCAGACGCAGAAGGATGACACAAAAGCTGGAGGGTGAGAGGTTAAGCCCTACAGACTCACTAGGGTGCAAGAAATTTCTAATAAGAGAGATTGAGCCCCATGGACTCAGGGAAAAACACTTTCTCCAGGATGGGAAATATAGCAAGTAAAGATAGGAAAGATCATGATCATGATAATATCCCCTCTAACAGTCCCCTAGGCCTAATGTTAGAATGAATATTAGAAAGATGATGGAAGGACCAAATACAAGAAAAAGCAGCAAATGATAAAATACTGCTGTTTTATTTGGACTAAAGAACCTTCTTCTCCCCCAAGCAGCTGCCACCCCAGACCCTTCCGCTAAACCTAAAAAAAAGGAGCTTAAACCACTCTTAGATGCCCCTTATAGAGTGGCAGATCAAACTGATCAGTTTTAGGGCCCCAGTTGTATACTTGGAACAAGTTAATGTCTGTCTTAGGCATCTCATTCTCAGGAGAAGAGAGGAGCATGATACGCAGGGCCGCTATGACATTTTGGGAACATAAACACCCTCCTGGTCAGAACGTCCCAGCAGCTGAACAAAAATTCCCAGCCCAGAATCTTCAATGGGATAACAACAATATAGCCCATTGAGGAAATATGAAAGACCGTAGGGAGATGGTAATAAAAGGAATTTGAAAATTGGTGCTCTGCACCCAGAGTCTTACCAAGGGCTTTAATATAAAACAGGGAAAAGATGAGGGACAGACAGAATTTTTAGAAAGGCTTAAAGAGCAAAAGAGAAAATACGCTGACCTAGAATCAGAAGACCTCCTTGGACAAAGAATGTTAAAGCTCCACTTTGTCACCAATAGCTGGCCAGACATTACTAAGAAATTACACGGCAAATGTTTCAAAAGTGGAAAAATAGATCACTTTTAAAGACAATGTCCCAAATGGGAAAAGGAAGAAAATGTCATCCCACTTATGGCTTTTGAAGAAGATTAGGGAAGTCAGGGGTGCTAGCTTTTTATCTTGAGTCCCACCAAGAACCCTTGTTAAATTTAGAAGTGGGACCTAAACCTAAGCTTATTACCTTTTTAATCAATTCAGGAGTAACTCGCTTCTCAGTTTATCTTCCATCTAGTGTAACTTGTTCACAAGGATAACTTTTTATCTCCAGGGTAAAAGGAGAGGGGTTTAGAGCAAAAATCTTAGAGCAGACAGAAGTGAAATTTAAAAACTGATCAGCTAGTATTAAATTTCTGTTAATTCTGGAAGCAGGGACAAATCTATTAGGAAGAGATTTAATGCTAAAATTAGGCTTAGGCCTCCAAATCAATCATGGAAAATTTCTCCCCTCCCTAAATTTGCTCACCACCACAGACAAAGAACACATTCATCCCGAGGTATGGTCAAAAGACGGGAATCGAAGAAAGTTACAGATTCCTCCGATTCACGTTAAATTAGAAACCCCTGGGGAAGTAGTAGAGAAAGCAATATCCTATTCCTTTAAAAGCCAATGTAAATTTAAAACCTATAATTGATAATTGAAGGTCTTCTACGTGATGGGCTTCTTAAACTCTATATGTCTCCCTGTAACACTCCAATACTGCCTATAAAGAAGCCAGACGGGTCCTACCGGTTAGTGCAAGACCTTAGCGCTGTTAATCAGATAGTCCAAACCACCAACCCTGTTGTTACTAGTAATTGCCCTTGTCCTAGCTTTTCTCTCCCTAGAACTGCCCTTTCATCTCTCTGTCAGTGTAAACAAGGGTGTAGTCTTAGAAGTACTTACCCCAAACACAGAAGCCACTGGCAACCTGTAGCCTTCCTATCAAAAATCCCTAACCTCATAACCCGCGGATGGCCCAAATGCATTCAATCTGTAGTGGTAACTGCTTTGCTAACAGAAGAATGTAGAAAAATAACTTTTGGAGGAAACCTCATTGTGAGCACACCTCACCAGGTCAAAACTATCCTAAGTCAGAAAACAAAAAGGTAGCTTACTGATTCAAGAATCTTAAAGCATGATGCTATTCTGTTAGAAAAAACATGATTTAACATTAACCACTGACAATTTGTTTAACCCAGCAGGTTTCCTAATAGGAGATCCAAATCTAAAGAAAGAGCATACATGTTTAGATTTAACTGATTACCATACAAAGGTATGACCAGACCTAGGAGAAACTCCTTCAGGACAGGACGACACTTATTTATAGACAGTTCCTCCCAGGTGGTTGAGGGAAAAAGACACAATTGGCATTCAGTAATCGATAGAGAAACTCTTATAGAAATAGTGTTAGGAAAATTGCCTAATAATTGGTCTGCTCAAATGTGTGAGCTGTTTGCACTCAGCCAAGCCTTAAAGTACTTACAGAACCAGGAAGGAACCATCTATACCAATTCTAAGTACGCCTTTGGAGTGGCTCACACACTTGGAAACATTTGGACTGAATGAGGCCTTATTAATAGCAAATGGCAAGACCTGGTCCACAAGGAATTAATCACCCAAGTATTAAATAACCTTCAGTGCCAAAAGAAATAGGTACTGTCCACGTCCCTGGACACCAAAAACGCCTTTCTTTTGAAAGCTGAGGAAATAACCTAGCAAATCAGATAGCCAAACAGGCTACCGTTCCTTAGCTGTACAATTGGCCTGCTTTGCAGCTAGGTAAAACCCAGGACACATGGAGTTAAATGCTAGAATGGGCCAGACCTTATCTACACTTCTGTCTAGGTCCTAAGCTCTAAACCCAGCACATAATTAAAATCCCAAACTTCCAAGGTTTTCAACAAAAGTAAAGTTTGCTAAAAGTTAACAGTGTAACATGTATCATTCTAACTTCTAACCTTGTGGCCTTAGGCAGTCTAGTCCACAGACATGAAGGAAGTTTGCTTTGGAAAAGAATGGTTATCATCTTTGACATTAAAAAAAGAAGAGTTTATGTAGAAAGAATCTTATATGGTAAATTCTTATCCTAAAATAAATTGACTGGTTGTTTAAAGAAAGGGATGTTTACAACAAGTCAGAAAGTTAAGGCATGTCAAAGATTGTCTGTGGAAGTCATGAAAAATGTTATTAAAGAGAATTTATGCAAGAAATGTTGCATAATTTAAAAGTAGGCCTCCTCGCTGTAAAACTTTTGAAGAAACAGTTTATGTGCAAGGTGTGTAAGGAAAGTAAAATATACTTTTGGTAAAAGAATTATAAGGAGGCATAAGAATGTGGATTTTTACCTACATTAAAAGGTTAAAATTGTTTTGAAGGTTTAAGCAAGTTTTGAAACGTTAATTGTAGAGGAAGTTCTGTGTGTAAACATATTGGCTAAAGTTAAAGGGGTATCATCCAGTTTTTCTGTAAACAGGACATTTAAATAAAAGCACAATGGGTTTTTCTTAAAGCACTAACTTGTTCTTTAACAAAAATTATAAAGGGTTAAAAAGAGTCGCTAAAAATCTTACCTTATGGTTAGACATTACAATTGGATAAATATGTCTACAAGATTTTATTAAAATCGAGTTTAACATTAATAGCACACTAATAGAAAGGTGAAGTTTAGCTGATCTGGTATAAAACCATACAGGAAGCATTGTCGAATATAAAATGCTGTTTGGCTTTCTTTGGTCAAAAAACTAATAAGAAATAGGTGCTAAAGAGAATTCAGAAGGAAAATGGATATTGCCAGACCAGAAAGAAGTGTTATCCAAACCCCTCATGAGGGAAATCTTGTTCCAACTGCATTAAGGGACCCACTGGGGGCCCCAAGCCATGTGTGATGCAGTCCTCAGGGTTTATGGGTGCATAGGAATTTATAACCTGGCCAAACAGGTTGCAGACATTTGCTCAGTATAAAAGAAAACCAATAAACAAACTATAAGATTACCCCTTGGGGTAGGAGTCCAGGCTTAAGGCCATTTCAAAGGATCCAGATTGATTATGCAGAGATGCCTCCAATTGGTCGTCTAAAGTATTTATTAGTAATAGTAGATCATCTTACTCATTGGGTAGAAGCTACTCTCTTTTCAAGTACAACTGCTAATAATGCAGTCAAGGCATTAGTTGAAAATATTATACCCAAGTTTAGATTAACAGAAAACATTGATTCAGATAATAGGACTCATTTCACTGCACATGCCATTAAGAAATTAGCCCAGGTACTAGATATAACATGGGAATATCATACTCCCTGGCACCCACCTTCATCAGGAAGAGTGGAAAGAATGAACGAAACTGTTAAAAAGCCGCCTAGCTATAGTCTTAGAGACTCGGGTGCCATGGACTAGATGCCTTCCCATTGCCCTGTTGAGAATCCAAACTGCTCCTTGGAAAGATGTTGGCTTAGCCCCTTATGAAGTGTCATATAGGTTGCCCTGTTTGTACTCCACTGTTGACCTTCCCACTTTCAAAACAAAAGATCGATTTCTCAGAAGTTATGTACTTGGTTTATCTTCCACTTTCTCTTTCCTCAGAACTAAAGGTCTTTTAGCACATGTACCACCCCTAGAGTTTCCAATACACCAGCATCAGCCTGAGGACCACATCCTCATCAAAAGTTGGAGGGAAAGAAAACTCGAACCGGCTTGGGAAGGACCCTACCTAGTGCTTCTAAACACCGAGACGGCGGTTCGAACAGCAGAGAGAGGATGGACTCATCCCACCTGGGTCAAAAGAGCACCACCCCCTCCAGAATCTTGGGCAGCTGTTTCAGGGCCAAACCCAACCAAGCTAAAGTGAAAACAGGCTTGATCCTCTTATATTGCATCTCTTTCTTTTCCCCTTCTATTGCTAGTCCTCTTGTTATTAATGTAACTAGGTCAAGTTCACCCCAAACCATTACTTTTGATGCTTGCCTTGTGATGACCTGTGGAGATTTTCCAAACCAGAGAAAACTCTCCACTTCAAAAAAGCTCCTTTATCCTTCCTAGCTCTCCTCAGACTGGAAATCTGTTAACTGGGATAAGTTAGTTTGGGAGGAGTTTGACGAAGATTCCAGTATGAACTGGGAATCTTGTCCTCCTAGAACACAGCTTCTCTGATGAAGTTGGTCCAATGCTCTATAAAATACTAAAGAAGAAGGTTGGACCACCCCAACTAGTATTTGCAGTTTCCTAAAACCATATATTCATTTTACTAAAGGAGTTTACCCTCCCCTTTGCCAGCTGAGCCAGTGTAATCCAGCACAGATGACCATCTCTGCTCCCCAGAGTTCTTCCCCTTTATTAGGCCATTTCTGTGGTGTAGGAGCAGAAGTCTCAGGGAAGGACCCCATAGGATCTTTTGAAATGTGCTTCATTGCCTTGTCACCTCCTGCACCCCCTTCTCCCTCTCCTAAGTTCTCTGCTAACCAAACCTTCTCTTGTTATATACCCAATGATAAAACCAAAGTAGCTGTTGTAGAGGTTAAAGATTTAGAACAAACTATAGCAATTGAAACAGGGTATCAGGATGCAAATACTTGGCTGGAATGGATTAAATATTCTGTTTGCATGCTAAACAAAACCGTCTGTTATGCTTGTGTGACAGGCAGGCCAGAGACCCAAACTGTCCCCTTTCCACTTGTGTGGTCCTCTCATGGACCAGGCATGAGCTGTATGGTAGCTCTCTTCCAGAACCCCACAGCCTGGGGCAATGAGTCATGCAAGACTCTTTCACTGCTGCTCCCTGAGGTCAAGAGCCCTGCGGGTCAGCCCCCGAGGGCCATCCGGCCTCCAGCCCCTGATGTTAACTTCACCTCATGCCTTTCACGGAGGGAGGAAAAGTTAGCATTCCTTGGAGACTTAACAGGGTACAGCAAAACCAAGCCTTTTCAAGAGCTTACCAATCAGTTTGCCCTTGTTCATCCTGGAGCAGGTGCATGGTGGTATTGCAGGGGACTATTGCTGGGTACTCTGCAAGTAATTAGAGCAGCACTTGTGCTGTAGTCCAAGTGGCCATCCCTTTCACCCTAGCATTCCGTCAATATGATTAAGAAAATCGTAAAAGAAGAAGTGTTCCACATGGGTCCTTTGACCCCCATGTTTATGTAAATGCTATTGGAGTTCCTCAAGGAGTACCAGACAAATTTAAAGCTCAAGATCAAATAGCTGCAGGATTTGGCTCAATATTTTCGTGGGTGACAATAAAAACGTAGATTGGATGAATTACACCTATTATAATCATCAGTGGTTTGTTAAATACACCAGGGATGCTGTCAAAGGAATAGCAGAACAATTGGGGCCCACTAGCCAGATGGCCTGGGAAAACAGAATGGCCCTAGATATGATATTAGCTGAAAAAGGTGGTGTGTGTATTATGATTAAAACTCAGTGTTATACCTTTATCCCAAACAACACTGCCCCCACTGGGAGCATAACAAGGGCCTTACAAAGACTTACCGCTTTATCCAACTTGTTAGCTAAAAATTCTGAAGTCAATAACCCTTTCTCAGGATGGCTAGAAAAGTAGTTCGGTAAATGGAAAGAAATCATAGCCTCAATTCTTACTTCTCTTGCAGCTGTAATAGGTGCACTCATTCTTGTTAGGTGTTGTGTCATACCCTGCATCCGTGGGCTGGTGCAAAGACTTATAAAAGCAGCACTTACTAAAACCTTCCTTAACTCTCCTCCACCTTATTCAGATCAGCTTTTTTCTTTTAGAGGATTCAGTCGAGCAGCAAAGCCAAGACATGTTAAAAAGATTTGAAGAGGAAGGACTATGAAAATTGGAAGGGGGGAAATTGTAGGATATAATAACTTCCTCTTCAGAGGTTTTAGCCTGTAAATTGTTAAGTACAATGAGTTCTGAGATCCTCTCCAAAGAACCAACGTATCAGTACGTTCAGCTCCCCTGTTCTTTGCTCTTCATTTTCAAGGTTAACTTCTTCGTTCTCCTCGTCTCCTTGCCCCTAGTCTCAGTAAACAATCCGCCAGTTCTAATCAGTAGTTCACATCTGTTCCCCTGGTCACCTGCTCCATCCTGAGGCACTCCTGGTCACCTGCTCCGTCCTGAGTCACCCCTGGTCACCTGCTCTGACCTTAGTCATCCTTGGTCACCTGCTCTGTTCTTAGTCATCCTGAGTCACCTGTTCTGTAACTGTCCTTCCTGCAAACCACTCACCCCACCACTCTGACTCTCTTTAAAATAGCCAATAGGAATTAGCTTAGACCGTGTGGTCCAGCCCTAGCCAATAGGGGAACAACACAGCAGTAGGCGCTACCTGCATCAGGGATAAGAACCCCTTCCTCTCCCTTGTTCAGGTGTGCTCTCACCATTGCTCCATCTATGAGTCACACCCTTCTATAGAAGTAAAATTGCCTTGCTGAGAAAATTAAATTTATGTTCGAGTGCTATTTCTTTTACAGCACTGAAAATTTATTTCTAACACTATTTTTTTAAGAACAAGGATAAAATTAGCAACTTCCATAGTATCACAATAGCAGATTTTATTTATGAGGGTTAATGACAGGTACCAAAATCAAATAAGCAAGCAGGTTTGCTGGGGAGAATTTCTCCTGGTTTTCCTTCCTCTGCAAATGTCTTTATTTCATCTTCATTCCTGAAGGAAATTTTCAGTGGATAAAGAATTCTGTGTTGACGGTTTTCTTTCAGCAGTTAACAAACGCCATCCCACTGCCACTGACTCATGGGCCTGTGAAAGAAATCTGCAGTTGTCAGAGTTATTGTTTCCATAAAGGACAAGAAAGGACAACCACTAACACACGAGAGGGAAAAGAATTTTCTCCATTCTTTCTGACCTGTAGGGCCCCTGTTTCCTGTCTTTCAGACTAGAAACAGAGGGCTTGCCTTGGGATTTTTCTGTGCATAGTCAATATGTAATTCCAGGTTTTCAGCTGCCTTTGAGGTCAAATTGGAAGATACTGGAGGGAAAAGAAGAAAGATGGGTGTCGAATGAGACTCGCTGCTGATACAATAATTCTTTCAGTTCCAGCTTCCTCCTCCAGTCAGCCTGTTACCATCCACTTCCAGGAATCCTGAGGGCTGCCCCCTGTCTCCTGTCCAGGGCTTCCGTTTCACTCACTTCTTGGAGCCCCAGAGGAATGTACTTACCTAGTCTTGACCCCAGTCATGTTTTATTTTATTTATTTATTTATTTTTTAATTAATTTATTTATTTATTTTGAGATGGAGTCCTGCTCTGTCACCCACGCTGGAGTGCAGTGGCGTGATCTTGGCTCACTGCAACCTCCACCTCCTGGGTTTAAGCAATTCTCTGCCTCAGCCTCCCAAGTAGCTGGGATTACAGGTGTGCACCACCACGCCCAGCTAATTTTTGTATTTTTTAGTAAAGACAGGGTTTCACCATCTTGGCCAGGCTGGTCTTGAATTCCTGACCTTGTGATCCACTTGCTTTAGCCTCCCAAAGTGCTGGGATTACAGGCGTGAGCCACGGCACCCAGCCCCCAATTGTATTTCCATAGATTCTTCTCTGACACATTGTAAGTTCCATGAGGGCAGAGACCGCATTTGGCTTATTATCATTCTTATTATTCATCTTCTGGCCTTAGTTCAGTGTTTTTTGCACAGGAGTTACCCCTTAAAAATTCACTGAATCAATCAATCAATAGCAAACCTTAAATTAGATGACATTTTAAAGCAACTTACACAATGCTTGCCCATAAAGATGTTCGATATCAATAACTGATAACGTCTATTATTGCCTGCAGAGACTTGAAGCCTGCCAGGTCTAACTTGTTTAGTTTCTAACCAGTTAACACAGAGGCATTTGACACAGAGCGAAGAACTCCTGCAAGTCAATAATCTATGTAAACAAGTGAGACACCGCTCCAGAAATGTTATCCACAGCCCCAAGAAAATCAGCATTTATTGTGCCAAATCTTGTACATAAAAATACAAGAACTGTTTTGCATACACACACAAATACAAACAGTATCTAAATTGAAATTCTTGAAAGTGTACTTTTTCCATTTCTTATATTATTTCAGCCAACAGAAGGAAACTTACATCTTTCAGGGGGAACCCTTAGTACCGAATACTTTGAAAAGATGATGCCCATTCTTTTCTGCAAAAATTATATTGCAGAACCCCTCCCTGCCCCAAGGCAGGGCGTGCACGTTGCACAGCTCCAAGAGGATTCCCATGATAGTCTTCTGTGAATGGTGTGGAACCAGGCTCAGGCAGTCTGTGACCTGTGCAACAGCAATCACATCTCCAGTCCAGCCTTCTTCACCTTTTGCCAAACTAATGAGTACCTCTCAGTGGTAGAAACTAAACTGGAACCATTGCCAGAGAGCCTGGGAAATGGAGCTTCCAGACTTCTAATCCCTGCAAGAAGACCTCAGAAGGTCAGGTAGAGGATGGAGCAGCAACACACTATCTGCTATGTTTACTGAGACGGTCATATCGTCGGTCTCTTTTAACTGTTATTGCAGGAAATTACACTGATAGGTTCCCTAACCTCGAACCATCTTTTCATTCCTAGGAAAAATGTGATCTTCTAGTACATCGCATTCTTGTATTTGCTCATGTTTTAGTTGGAATTTTTTTGTATCATTTGCACAAGTGGGGTGGCGTATATATTTTCTGCACTAGTTATGTCTGGATTTGGTGTCAGGGTAATACTAGCTTTATTGAATGAGTTGGAGATCATCTTTTTATATTCTGTGGAATAGCTTTTATAAGTATAATATTAATATGAATGTCATTATTCCTTAGAAATGCAGAATATGCCTGCACAGCAGTGTGGGCCTGTAGTCCTCTGATTACCCTTCCATTTTTTTCTATGGGTTATCCTTCTCTTTAGACTTTTCCCCTTCTTTAGATTTTTTCTCCTCTTCTGAATTTTAGTTAATCTATTCCCAATTATTTCTAAATAGATTTTCATTTTCTTTCTTTCTTTTTTTTTTTTTTTTGAGACGGAGTCTTGCTCTTTCACCCAGGCTGGAGTGCAGTGGTGCTATCTTGGCTCACTGCAAGCTCTGCCTCCCGGGTTCACGCCATTCTCCTGCCTCAGCCTCCCGAGTAGCTGGGACTACAGCCACCCGCCACTGTGCCCAGCTAATTTTTTGTATTTTTAGTAGAGACGGGATTTCACCTTGTTAGCCAGGATGGTCTCGATCTCCTGACCTCGTGATCTGCCCGCCTCAACCTCCCAAAGTGTTCATTTTCTTTTTAACCCAAGTTATCTAGAATTTTTTCAAATTTGCAAGTAGATAGATTATTTTTTAATATGGCAGAGATATCATTTGTCAATCCCGACTGCGATCCTTGACTCCTTCCTGCTTTAGGGACCAGGCCCTCTGTTCAGCATGGCAGTGCGTCCTGCTCTCAGGCCTGGCTCCTGCTTCATTTAAGGTGGAACTCCTGCTCTTTTTCGTCAGATACTTAATTTCCCGGCCTCCCTTGAGATTGTTGTGGCTACGTGGCCTCATGTGGCCTCTTTCTTCCTGCTTTGGCTGTGAAAATACAACACCTGGAGTTAAAATAAAACTTAGAAAGTAAGCACAGACTATGGGCTATGCCTGAGCTTAACTCCTGGCTGTACCAATTATTAGCTGTATGACTTTGGACAAGTTACTGAATCGCTCTATGCCTCTATTTTCCCATCTGCAAATGAGGAAAAATTACACCTAGCTCATGGACAGATGTGAGCATGTAATGTATAACAATACGTCAGGGGCTCAGAACAACAATTGGCACAAAGCAAGTCATACGAACTATCATTATCTTTATAATAATAATAGTTATTAATACTAGTATAATCATCATCGTCATCTTGGGACCATGAGGCCAAGACAATGAGAATACAGAGCAGAAGGAACGGGCTTGGATTCTTCATGAGGATGTTACACAGAGCCTGGAAAATGTACCTCTAGACATTCAATAAACAATACATATCGTTACTTTAGCTCCTCTGTTAATTTTTATTGGATGTGTTCTAATCAGTATGCCTCATTACGTTTTTCACTAATTCAGAAATTGATGCCAGGCACTATTCTAGGCTTTGGGGCTATAGCCACGGACAACAACAACGAAAACCCTCCGCCTCTTAGCGCCGACATTCTTTGGATACTAATTTCTAATTGTCTTCCGTTGAAGTCAGAGAAATTAGCCTAGTGAATTCTGCCTTGGGGACTTGGCTGAGATTTTGTTCCTAACAGGATTTTTGTAAATATTCCACAGGTGTTTGAAAAGAACACATACACACGCTCTTAGTATATGAGGAGTGAAGTCTAGGTTCAGGTTTTTTTTTTTTTTTTTTTTTTTTTTTTGAGACGGAATCTCACTCTGTTACCAGGCTGGAGTGCAGTGGCGCCATCTCGGCTCACTGCAACCTCCCACTCCCGGGTTCAAGCAATTCTCCTGCCTCAGCCTCCCAGTAGCTGGGACTACAGGCATGTACCACCACGCCCAGCTAATTTTTGTATTTTTAGTAGAGATGGGGATTCACCATATTGGCCAGGATGGTCTCGATCTCTTGACCTTGTGACCCACCTGCGTCAGTCTCCCAAAGTGCTGGGATTACAGGCATGAGCCACTGCGCCCGGCCCAGGTTCATTTTTTCACATATGGATGTCCCATTTTTCCAATACCATTGGTTAAACCGACTACTGACTATTCCGCCATTGAATTGCTGTTGCATCTTTGTCAATCCAAATGGCTGTATTTCTGGAGGAGAGGGGAGGAAAAAGAAAAGGCAAATAACGAAAATGTGCACCAGAAAAATACCAAGTGTTGACCAAAATGTATGGCCAAGATGTACCCAAGCAGGACTCTCCCTCCTGGCCGTTGCAAACTGTCATGGCCTTGGTTGCATCTGTCTGTTAAAGATTAACGAGCCCTTGGCCTTAGCATGTCATTCCCAGGTATGCCCTCCAGTAGACACGCTCACAGACATGCAACAAAAAGTGTAAACTACAATATTCCCAGCAGCACTGTTTGTAATAGCCCCAAACTGGAAGCTAACTACGTGTTCCTCATCAGTAGAGTAGATAAACTGTAGTACATTCATGCATTGGATTACCATATAACAACCAGAATGAAGGATTGAAAACCACAGGCAAGACTGTGGCTAAATCTGACTAAATGACTAAATGTTGCAACAAAAGAAACAGGCGCGAAGAAGGCACATACTGTGTAGCTCCGTTTATGTAAAGTACAAGAACAGGCAAAACTGCTCTGTATCATTGGAGGGCAGGCTAGTGATTTACCGTGGTGGGGAGCAGGGGAGTGGGGCAATTTCAGAGGTTATGGGATATTCTGTCTCTTGATCTGGATGCCAGTTACACAGGTGTGTTCCGTCAATGAAAAGGCATCAAGCTGTACACTCCTATGCACTTTTCTGCCTATGTATTATATTTCAAAGAAACGTTTAGAAAAGAGAGAGAACAGGAAAGGTAGTACTTCTCTGGAAGAAAATAGCTAAAGACCTTCACAGTAAGAATAAAATCAGCCCCATTTTTGCAAACAGGGGTGCAACACGCCTGCCTGCTCCATAAACAAGTGTCAAAGCCAAGCCCTCTGGCAGGCCCTCCCCACACAGTTATCATTAAGTTTCAGGTTCTAGAGGGTTACAGAGGTTGCTGGCAATGAGGCACAGGGCAGGACGTGCCTCTCATGAGCTTAAAATCTTGCTAAAAGAGAGGCCCCCCCACCCCATCGCACCCTCCAAAGCTGAAAGCACAAGGTTCCAAGTAATTCAGGGTCCCCGTGGTAAGTCTCAGCTCAGAGTCACGGGAATTCTGCTTGAAGACCCACATGTTTCCTGCCTAACACATTGTCGTCATGAGATTGTCTGCACCAGGAGGACACAGCTCTTTTTAAAACCAGTCATCTTGGACCGCACCACTAAGGCAGTGTGTCGTTAAGGCAGGCTGTGGACACCAGAGTGGTTGTTAAGGAGCCAGGCTAAGAAGAGCTTAATGTATATGTCTGTCTATAGTATTGACATTTCGTGCAATTTCCAGAGCAGCACAGGGCCCCTGCAAACTCCTATTGGGAGGAAGGAAATTGTCTTTTTTCTTTATGAGAGTGGAAAATTGTTCATTCTCTCCAGGAGAAGCCACAGGAATTAATATTCTCAAAGGCACGGAAATGGCCTATAGATAGGAGTTTTGCCTGCCTCCTCTCTCAATCTCTCTCTCATTCTTTTTCTCTCTCTCCACTGCCCCCTTCTCTTTCTCTCTCCTTCCTCCCTAGTTCAGAATAGGGATGGTGAAAAACTAGGCCTGTATCCTTCAATATTATTAGCAGAGATCAGGGACAGAGAAAACTCCCACTCACCACCCTAGACCCACACGTATGCATCAGGAACATTCTAGCTTCAGAGGTGGAAAGCAGGCATTAAAGAGTGAGGTGAGACTAGGGCTATAAAGCTTTCAATCATCAAGAATTAGTTAACTGGGCTGGGTGTCATGGCTCGCACTTGTAATCCCAGCACTTTAGGAGGCCAAAGTGGGAGGATTGCTTGAGCCAGGAGTTTGAGACCAGCCTGGGCAATATAGCAAGACCCCATGTCTCAAAAATAAATAAATAAATTTTTAAAAAAAGATTTAGTAAACTGTCAAAGCACCTAGATATCAACTTTCTTAATAAGCCATGCCATATAGCTGTCACTTTGGAATCAGGATGTTAAATAATAATACATAGTTGTTTTAATAAAGATTCTCATTTTTGCTATAAAGGAAAATATCTAGTATTGCCACTAGAAATACACCACAGAGTCAACTTAGAACCACTGTTCGAGATGAGGAACGATGCTTAGGCACTGTCTGCATTTCCTGGTATCTTGCCCTTTCTGTAGCGAAGTCTGATTGAATTGACAGAGGCTTAAATACCGAAAATGCCAAACAAAGCATATGAAATAGGGACAGTGTCCTGACCCCTAGCTACACTGTAAACAACGTGGGAGATGAAGGGGAGGAAGCTACGGAGTTCACTGGAGGGTGCCGCCCCTGGGGCCTTCCACCTCACCCCCACCAGGACTCTGAGACGGGAGCTGCCCACCTCCACTCACAGACAGGGCAGCCCGAGCTGCGAAGGGTTTTGCCAGAGAGCAGAACTGAGTTAGTGGCTGAGAGAGTCCACACTTTTGGCCTCTAATTCTGAAGCCAGTGTGCCTGCCTATGATATCCCCACCCGGCTGTCCCCTTAGAAAATCAGCTGGTATCAAATAACTCTTCAGGTGATCCAGACGGTTCTGGATCCAACAGGATCCGCAGAGGCATGCCGAGAGGCCCAGAGCCTTGGCCGCCCCCGTGGGAGCCGGCCTCCGGGAAGACCCGCTCCACCTTCTCCTTCTGCCCGACGGCTCCAGACCCTCCCAGGCATCCAGAGTCCAAGGGTAGCTCTTGTTGACTTCGTTCTAGTAAGAGATCAGTTTGCTGAAAATAAATGAATAAATAATAAATAAATAAATAAAAGCTCATTATCCAAAAGTGAACATTTTCAAAAGCCTCACAAGTGGGTCTCACCTCCATGACTTCTTCAGCACTGCGCACCCTCTGCATGGCCGCTGGGCCACTCTGATCCCTCCCACGGCCGCAGATGGCGGCACCAAGGGAGTTCCCTCTTGAGGAGTCTCAGCCCAAGAGCGAGTGCAGAAACGGGAAAAGTGGCTTGACAGAGAGGAGGAGGGAACAGCCACCAGCAGGCACCAAGAGTCCTCTCCCAGAGCCCTGGGACCCTGGAGCCCAGGCCTGCTTCCTTTCCGTCCTCACCCTGTAGAGGACTCAAGGGGGCCTTCAAAGTCTTCTCGTTGCTCCGTTAAAGCTCAAGGAAATACAGTGGAAAGGGGACAGGTTTGGTTTGATGTCTGTGTCAGTCTCCCAGGGATGCCGTAATTCACAAAGCACCACAGACCGTGTGCCTTACACAGCCGAAGTGTACTCGCTCACAGTTCCGGAGGCTGCAAGATCCAGACTGCAGTGTCAGCAGGACTGCTTCTTTCTAAGACTGTGAGGGAGGATCTGTCCCTGGCCTCTCCCGGCTTCTCCTAACTCACTGGTCATCCTTGGCCTTCCTTGGCTTGTAGAAGCACCACGCTGACCTCTGCCTCCATCCTCAGGTGGCATCCACCCTGAGTGCGGGTCTGTCTCCAAATTTCCCCTTTTGATAAGGACCTGTCCTATTGGACGAGGGCCTACCCCATTCCAGCATGACTTCATCGTAACTAATTACCTCTGCAACTACATTACTTCTAAGTAAAGTGACACTCCAAGGTCCTGGGAGGTAGGACCATAACATAAATCTGGGGGGAGGAACACAGTTCAACCCATAATAATATGGACCGAAGTCCAGCCTGCAACTCAGCCACTTACAACTCAGCCACTTTCCTTCCTTGGAGACAAACTGCAACTGCATCTGCCCACACCATGCTTCCTTTGGCTGTGAAATGGGAAGGCAGTGGCTGCTTGTCATGATTGTCATAAACAATCCAGGAGACACAGAAGCGCCTCTCAGGTGTACCACATGCCTGAGGCTTACCGTGTGCTCACAATGGTGTGGATGGCATTGTTCTCATTATCAGGCAGCTCTGCCAGTCTCTCCCAGCCTGAGAGAGGCCATCTCCCGGCCCCAGGTATAAACATCCTTTTTCCACACTTCCTGCCAGCATCAGTGACCTTCAGAAAACCCTTAGGGGACAAGCGGAGTGTTGAAGTGCTGAGAGTTGAAGAGCTCAATCCACTGCTCCAATGCAACCCGGGGCCAGAGCCGGCTTTTCTCTTTGACACTTTCCTAGTGGCACTGGCTGGGCACATGCTTGAAAGGAAGAAGTCATCTGCAAGGAGCTCTGGGCTGGGCTGCACACGCTGAAAATGCATTTATTTGATTTATTTTTACATCCAATCTTGTTCCAGAAAGGATTTGAGGGGCCACGTGGTGAATCAAATCCATTGCAACTTAATGGCTCTCCGCTTCGCACTTAGTGGGAGGGGGCTGAACAATTGGAAAATAGAAATAATCCCAAACTCCCATCTGATCCCAAAGGTGGCATCTTAGACCTGTTGCACATTGTTAAAGGCATTTTGTTTTTAAGCTACAAAGCTCAGCGTGTCAAGGTGATGAGGACGATGATCATGGCAATGATGGTGATGACGGAGGTGTTGGCTAACACGTGAAAGCTCGTCCTCTGATGGACCAGGTACTGTTCAAAGGAAGGAAAGGAAAGAAAATGAGGGGGACAAGGGGAAGAGGGAGGGGAGAAAATGGAACAAAGGGTTGGAGACCGTGTTAGAGACCCACAGTGTGGCCAAAGCAGTGTGCTCCTTACCCTCTAACCAAATCAAATCCCAGGAGAAAGCTCACTCATTCTTTCAAAGTTGTGACTTATTTCAGAGAACAATCTGTGGTCATAGGTGGATCATGTTAGTCGTTCACTTCCAGAAAGCCAAATCTGGACCTGGCTCTCACCACGAGGCTCTGATGACCTCTCCATTTGGCCCCTGGGAAGCCTTTGCCATATTAAATGCTGTCACCTCTGCAGCGAGCAGATAGGGAGGCGCTGCTCCAGGGCCATCCCCAAGGATGCCTTGGCCAGCTTAGGGTGTGAGACGGCACCTGGAAAACTGTACCAGTGAGGCCAGAGGGCATGCAGCTGCTTCCTCAGTGCCTGGCATCCGTCACACCTGCAGTGCCCCTTCCACATCAGCCACGTGTGGCATCCTACACGGCCACAAGTGCCACGTCTGCAACCAGTCACACTTAAGCCCTCTGGTGACCCAGAAGAAAAAGGGAGAAAAGTGGATGCTAAGCTGCTATTTGGTAAAGAGTGAATACGACTGCACTCACCACATGGGGTTGGGGAGGGGCTCCGATAAGGTGCCTGAGTCACCCAATGGGCACTTGTCCATAGCCGCAAGGATGTCCTAGCAGGGTGATCACCGGGTGCTCTGTTGAGCAGGTTCCAGGGTGACAACTCCTTTGGTTTGCTCACACATCGGTAGCCACTGCTCCTAGCAAGGCCCCCCAGCCCCACTTCCCATCCAGCACACACTGCTGGCACCCCCACTCAGCCCCCGGCACTGCCCCTGAATTTCTCTCATAGCTAGCTAGCTCTCCATTGGCAACGCTGGTGCCTGTCCCTGCCAGCAGCCCCAAGTCAGCACCATGCCCGGCTGTTCATTATTAAATTGAAAAAAGGAGGAGGGTCCTGCCTTGATTCCCTTCCAACAAAGAGGCTCCTTGGTGGCTATGCAAATGTGCCCACCTTCTCCTGGAACTTGCTGTGCAAACCGGCTTTGAAATTTCAGAGGGGCCCTGTGTCCCTTCCCCCAGGGGCTTGGCTAGCATTCCGTATCACTGAGGACTTGGCAGGAACCATGGAGGAAGGTCAGGAGCACCTGCTCCCAGTGCACATCCTGCCGAGATGGCCCACGAACCAGTCAGCGGCTCTTCTTCAGAAGCAATCTCAGGTCTGCCTGGCAGTCACAGCCCCACAGTGAAATACGCACCACGTCCCAACTGTGCATTCACATGTAATTCTCATCTCATTCTAAGTCTTATCTGATTCTCACCAAAAGGCTGAGTCCTGCTTGCCATCTGGGGAAACCGAGGCATGGTGAATCCAAGTGACTTGTCTTCTCATACATGGAGAAGGTGAGGTTGAAACCAGATCCAGGACACTGCAGAGACCCCTCTCATCCCTTTGACCTTTCCAGAAAAGGACCTGCAAGAGATAAAGTAGTTTCCGAAAGGCCTCCAGGCAGGGGAGGGGCCTCTGATAATACTCACAGCTCAAAGTTGGTTTGGAACAAAGCCCTCCTGGTGCCATGGCACTGGGGCAGCAAAGCGGGGCAGAAAATGATGGGAGGGGAGCCGCCTCCCAAAGGGCTGCAAACTGGGGTGAATTGAGGCTACTTAATACATTCAATCCATCAGAGTAATGCCTTGTAATTAAGATTCCTGGAAATGAAGTAGTACCGGGGCACTCCATGGAAGATCTGCCTTCAAACGGTTCAGGTCAGCCTTAGGCTCAAGCACGGCTCTAATTGACGGCTCCCCTTGGGTCTGAAAGAAAAGATGTAATCAGACCACACAAAGCACGTCCTGTCCAATTACAAGGATCGGCATGGATGGGCTGACCTGTGACCTATAAAACAAAATTAAGATTTCCAAACATCACCAGGAGGTAGGGGGAGAGATGGCTCGTCCGTGCTCCAGCCTTCCAACTCCCCAGAGTGGAGACAGAACAAAATCGTAGCCCTGGAAAGAAATGTGGTGGACTTTGATCAGCCATTGTGCAACCTTTCAGTTGGAGTCTTTCTGGGGGGTGGGAGGGTCAGGGGGACTAATGCTCAGTTTCTTGCACTGGATGTCCAGATGCGTTATCACAAAAGAGCATTTCTTTGCAGTTGAGCCCTAGAGTGCCAGGAAGCTAGTTCTCGAAACAAGCCAGAATCTCCAACAGCCATAGGACATGCTAATTACGTTTGGGGGCAGTGTGGGGATGCACTTGATGTCATGGTGGAAAACACCCCCATACTCACGCCTTATGGGACCTGCACTCTGGAGCATGAGGCCGACTGCCTGGGTTCTGGGGTGAGAACCTATCAACAGCAATTGAGGAATGTTTATCCATTCTTCTGTCTCCTGACTCAGGGAGCTGTGTTTCATCTTCCAGGAAAGAACTGGGCGGGCACATTGCACTTAGCTTATTCAACTATCAGGGACCTCCAGCGGTCGGGAGGTTGAGGAAGAGTCATGGGGCCTCACAAAGTCTTTGCAGAAACAGGCCTTTGCCTCCGCGCCGCCGAGCCAGGAGAACCTGCAGCGAGCAACTAGCTCTTCTTTCCTTCTCTTTTAAAATCAACACCCGTCCCCAGATTTGCTTTTGGCAAACATTGCTTAACTGCTGCTGTTTTCCCTGAAGTCACTGAAGAGAGAGTTAGATAATGAGCTGGCATGCTCTTTTGAAATGTTTACTGTGTTCCTTAAAGCAAGGGACATGCTGGTTCCTAAACTAATTTGGGGTTGCTAGATCTTTTCTACTCTTTTTGGAGATCTCCGAAGTAAACACATGGACTTAAGTATAATTATCCGAGAGTCAAATAAACAGTCATGGGGCTTTCTAAAGGATGAACCTTTGCAGATTTGTCGATAGAAATTTTTTCTCAATTCTCCCAACAGAAAGGACAGAGAATGCATGAGTATTAAGATAATGCACCATAGCACGCCCCAAAGATTTGAGGATAAAAGATCAGGTTGTCTTATTTTCAGTTCAAGGAAACCAAAGGTGATGACAGGACCTCAATGGCCATGGCATATGGGATAGACCCAGATAGTTAAAGAAAACTTCCTCAATGCAAACTGTTCTTCATAACGGAATTCACATTTGAAAAATTTCTGAGTTTCAACCTGGCAGGTTGCAAAGTCTTGTTAAAAAAAAAAAATTAAAGCTCAAGGCATCCAGTCATGTGTAATTTCGGTGAGAACTGTAATAAATGCATCCACGTAAGCCCTAAATTCCCACTGTCAAAATGAAGATCTAGGGTTAGCATGACATTTATATAAATCCCACTTGGTATTTTGGTTGCATGTTTTTCCAAAGGAGTTCAAAGGCATTTATAGACATTCTGATTAGTGCTTGTGATATCCCAGTGGGGTGGCAAATTCTATTAGCTCAGTTTTACATTTGGGAATAGAAAATCTTAAAGCAGCCAAATGGTTTGGCAAAAACCATATGGCATGTCACTGATAGTGCTTTGAGAAGAAAACAGGTTTTCCCAGCATCTCTCCCTGCTTCAGTCCTCTGTCCAATTTGCTTGCAGGATTTTTTTTTAATGTTAGATAATGTCATGGTGATTTTTAGAGTCTATGTAAAATCTCATCTACATTTGCAGCCTGCTGGGCCAATGTCCACCTGTGCAGGACAGAGTAACCTTGAGCCCCTCCCTTCCATTTGTTGGGAAGGACAGACCTCTCTGAATTGCTCCAGCCAGCTGGAAAGCTGAGCCCCCAAGCAAATAATGTCAAGAAGAGACGATAGGAGCCCAGAAAGTAATTCCCCAAGCCCCTTTTCCTCTGCAGAATGTTTGCAGGCTCCCCGAGCGTGAGGCATAATGACTTCCTCCACTCCCAGAGTCCAAACAAGAAGTGGAGAAGGAAGAACAAGAAGAAAGACGTGGGCTTGTTGTCTAGGGCAGATGGTGTATCAGGAACAGATGTCAGGGATGAAGAAGACACTCCTCAGCTCCTCGTTGGTTGCCATCATCTCTTCAAGAAGTACCTCAGACTGCAAGGAACAGAGTGAGCAGTGGCCAGGGGAAGAGGTGAGCAGTCCAGGACTGCCGCCCAGGGGAGGAGGGTGCTATGCTCCCAGGCCACGTGATTCCATTCCAAGGCATTTCAAGACCTTGAAGACAAAATTGCTCGACTCAGCCAGTAGTAACATTTGAGGAGTTGCTGTGGCCGGAAGAAGGTGCCAAAATATTGCCACCATGAGGCAACATTATTACTTGTGGGCCCAGAAGTGCCCTCCCCTGCAGGCTGGCTCCATGAACTGCTCTCCTTTCACCTGGTTACACCCACACTGTCTGTCTGTCTTTTCTTTCCTCATTCTGCCCTTCCTGCTCGGGGGCCTTTACATGCTATGCCGTCTGCCAGAAACGCCCTTCCCCACCTTGTGTGCACCTGCCTGTATCCTTCGAATGTTCAAACATGGCTTCCTCAAGGAAGCCTTCTTTCCCGAGCCTCAATCTGGGGTCAAGCCCACTCATTCCAGGCTTTGCAGCCTCTCCTGCAAGTCACCGGTGGCAAATGAGATGAAATCATTGGTTGTTATTTAGTTGTGAGTTGGGCGTCTCTACCAGTGGCAGATAAACCCCATCGAGGCAGCAGGCTGAGCTTTCTCTTATTCATCGCTGTCAGCCCAGCATCCATCTATATTTAACAAATTAATAAAATAAATAGCTCATCAGTCTGGTTTGAAGAAACAGCCACATGAGCAGTGTAGAGGAAGGTGCTGTAGGGTGAACTTATGGGTTTATTTCCCACAGCCATGAAAACATTTAACACCAAGTCATATGATTTTGCCTCCTTTTCTCCATGGCCCAAATTTCCCATTCTAGGACCTCAGTCTTCTGACCTCCACTAGCCAGCCTCTGCTCCAAGAGGAAAAGGGAATGACAAGGCTCAGCTCACGTTTTCTGAATAGGAATGGTCTGCTCCCCCTTAGTGTCATTCCTGGAGATCAAGGAGGGTCCCTTCTCTAAAGGGCTAGCTCTTTTTCTGCTGGGAAATAGTGAATTTGTGTGGACTTTATAATATTTATTTTTAAAGGTAAATTTTTTCCATGGATTTTTGTAGGCTTTGCTTGTTTGGAAGAAATCAATTAGGATTTATTATATTTTAGCCATGCTTCAAAATACACAGGAGATTAAAAATCTAAACTCCTGATAATTGTATTTTATAAAATTAGGACTGCTTATTTAATTATGAGGAAAAGTCTCCATCATCATTAATATCATTGTTTATAAGCTTTTGGGTTTTGTTTTCCTCTCAAACACAGTTCCACGTTTCCCAATGGGAACATCTTTAAAATATCATTAGAAACAAAGGTGTCAGCCACTCTTCACAGCTTCCGCAGCTGCTTTTATCAAATATCCAGGGGCCTGTTTTAAAAGCAGAGAAATTCTCCAAGGAAGAAATGGCTTGGAGATCTGTCATTGCTACTAGAACATAACAACCAATCTTCATAAGCAGTAAAAATAATTCCAAGAGAAGTAAGCGACAGGTAAACTGGGTCTTAAAAAGAGACAGAATAAGAGGAAAGGTAGGAGGCAGGGGAAGGATGGAAGACGGAGGCTGGAAAGGAGCCGCAGAACGGCACACAGGTTGCTGAGACGCGATTGCACTGACCAGGGTCTGGGGAGTCTCAGGTGGTGTAATGTGTCATGGAGCTTCTTCTTCTTTTTTTTTGAGACAGAGTCTTGCTGTGTTGCCCAGGATGGAGTGCGATGGTGCAATCTCAGCTCACTGCAACCTCCGCCTCCCGGGTTCAAGGGGTTCTCCACCCTCAACCTCCCCAGTAGCTGGGATTACAGGCATGTACCACCATGCTCAGCTAATTTTGTTGTTGTTGTATTTTTGGTAGAGATGGGGTTTCACCATGTTGGCCAGACTAGTATCAGACTCCTGGGCTGAAGTAATTTGTCCGCTTCGGCCTCCCAAAGTGCTAGGATAATAGGCATGAGCCACTGCACCCAGCCACAGAGCTTCTTATTAATTATAGAAATTGTCCTGAAACTTTGAAACCAATGGGAGTGGGGAGTTGGGGGACAGGTAACAAATTTTGCCATGATACCATTGACTTAAAATCACGAGATCTATACATTTAGAAAAGAGGAGTTTTATTTTTTATAAACGATTACAACCTGTAGGCTGTTCTGTTTAACAACTTGTTAAATCAGGAACAGGCACTTTGAAGAAGGAACAGTAAAAGAGGAAACTATGCTGAAGGAGCTGGCTAAGCGTACAGATTTAGCAGGTTATAGGAGGAGCTGGGAAGATTCATGAAGAGGGGCTGTGTGCACGTGTAGTAAGCAAACATCTTTGTTACATCCATCAACACACACATGTTCACCTGGGAGTGAAGACTTCACATTTAAATGTTTTACAGTTGGGCCCTATATGTCGCAAGGTGCAGCTGGGACTCCAAGGCACTCAGTGCACAGTCCCCATGGACCAGCCAGAACCAGTCCCTGGAGGGTGGTCTCCCATCAGGGGAAAGTTACTGAAATCAGTCTCTTGTTCACTCGAAGCTGTAGTTATGGCTTGCGGGACAGGGATCAGTTAGTCAGCATCTGGTGGAGCTGCCATTGTTTTAATATTGCTTATCTTGAGGTCAATGCTTATTTAGCTGTTAGAAAAAAGACAAAACCTCGTGGCAGTGAGAGCCTCGTTTATTCTTGAAGCACAGAGGTGCGTGATTTAACCCTTGCCTGCCACGGCCTCCGGTCTTACTTGCAATTTGGCATCCTATCGTCAGTCTGATTATCTCTAGCGTTCATGCTGGTCAGTTGTTGTGTCTAAACTGCAAAAGGCAGGGGGTCTGGCTGTAACGTCAGGTGACTGGTTGAAATCAGCAGTGGAGCAAATCTTTCAAAAGGGCTGGTTTCTGTTTATCTCTTTAAAAAGAAACTCTAATGGCGGTTAGCGAGGGAGGGGCTGTCTTGAGGTGTGCCTGACCTCTCATCCATCCCATGGCCGGGAACTCAGTTTTTAAGGTTCTCTGGGGGTCTCTTTGGCCAAGAGGAGGTCCATTCAGTCAGCTGGGGGGCTTAGGATTTTATTTGTATTTCTCAATACAATCAGATCTTTTTCAATTCCCTTCCTTAAGCTTGAATATCCTTTGAAAACTCCACAAACCTAAAATAATATGTGCACTGAATTCACGTATCCAAAATTATGAGCTTATGAAATTTAAAGATGCATTTCGATAATGGTCACACACTTATAATTCCCATTTGCTTCAAATGGTTTTAATTTCATGACAAAAGGCACTGGCCATTTACCCAGAGGCAGACACAAATCTGAGAAGAGGCCATTAGCACTCCTATAAAAAACAAATGGAAGCCTTCTGTTTTCTTGACTTCATAGTTCTACAGTGTCAAGCAAATGTGGAGCTGTCATTTTCATACCAGAAGCCAAGGGGGAAAAGGACAAAGGGAAACCCAAAACTCATGCAACAGATTTTCAGCAGCAGGGAAATTAATCTCATTGGACTCCTTTGCTCAGCTACCAAGATGAGCAACTTATGCTTCTTCAGTAAGTTCTTTTATCACTTTCTCAGATTCTAGAAGTGGAAGATATCTGCCCAGATTGAGACAAACTCCTCTCCCCTTTCCCATGTTAGTCTCTTTTCGTATCATCTGTGAGTTCCCAAACAAGGACTGAATTTCTGCCACCTGCTGCCAAAGATGGTGGCCTGTGACATGCGTGAGGAGGCAGGGTCTCCTGGGCTAGAGCTTAGCCATCGTCGTAAGAGGAAGGTGGGAACTGACTCTCCCATCCTCTGTGCGATGGCTAATTGTATGTGTCAACTTGAGCAGGCCAAGGGCTGCCCGGATTAAACATCATTATTGGGTGTGCCTATGAGAGTGTTTCAGGATGAGGTGAGCATTTGAGTGGATTCCGCCAAGCAAATCACCCTCCCCAGTGTGAGTGGACAGCATCTCACCCCTTGAGGCCCTGAATGTAACGAAAGGTGGAGGAAGAAGGAATTCACCTTTCTTTCTTTCTTCCTACCTGCCTGCTTGAGCTGGAAAAAAAAAGATCATCTCATGTTCTTCTGCCCTTGGCCTGGGACTTAACACCATCGTCTACCCTGGTTCTCAGGACTTTGGCTCCAACTGAACTATAGCACCTGGGGCTTTCCTGGGGCTCCAGCTTGCAGAGGCAGATCATGGGGTTTCTCACCTCCATAATCGTGCAAGCCAATTCCTCATAATAAGGCTCCCACACACACACACACACACACACACACACACACACACGCACGCACATGAGTCATGCACTGAATAATGTCATTTCAATCAATGATAGACCGCATGTACTACAGTGGTCTCACGAGATTATGATACCATATTTTTACCGTATCTTTTCTATGTTCAGATATGTGTAGATACACAAATACTTACCACTGGATTACAGCTGCCTGCAGTATTCAGTACAGTCACATGCCGTATGTCTTTCTAGCCTAGGAGCAAAAGGTGCTACCCTCTAGGCCTGTATGAATACACTCTTTAATGTTTGCACAACAAAATCACCTAATGACACATACCTCAGAAGGTATTCCATCATCAAGCCAGGCATGACTGGATATATCCCCTGGTGGTTCTGTTTCTCTGGAGAACCCTAAGGCACTCTGCCTCGGCCTCATCCCCACTTTGCCAACCGGATCCTCCATTCCTTATGTCTTCACTGATTTCGTAAAATCACTTCTCCGCAGGTGATGAACAATCTCCTATGGTCAGTGTGATCTTTGAAACAGGCAATTCTGTCCATATTGGCCCCTACTGAAGATCCTCCCATAGCTCCCAGGATAGAGATTGCATCCTGAGTGTGACCTTCCCCCACACCTTCCAGCCTCATCCCGTGTCTCCCCCTTCCACCTCCTTTGCTGCAGCCACACTGAATCAGTTTCCAAAGCCGTCGGCTGTCTACACTGCCATGTCTGCCAACCAAGCAAGCACTCAGGGCTTGCTGGGCATTGTGATGGGCACTGGGTACAGCAATGGCTGCAGGGAGTTCACAGTTGAGTAAATTTAAAGCAATGTTGCAGAGTGCTGGACTCAGCTCCAATCACCCCAACCCTGGGAAAGTGCCCTGCCCACCATCCCCCAGCCCTGCTTGACCGGGAGCCCATTCTTTTGTGTTCTCAGAACAAAGTTTAAAGATTGCAGTGCAGATACTTCACACCCATTAGAATGGCTACGATCAAAAAACATAAAAGAAGTATTGAAGAGGGCATGGAGAAACTGGAATCTTTGTGCATTGCTAGTGGGAATGTAAAATGGTACAGCCACTGTGGAGAGCAGTATGGCACTTCCTCAAAATAGTTGACATATAATATAATTATTATATGATCTAGCAATTCCACTTCTGGATAGATAGCAAAAAGAACAGAAAAGAACTCACATAGATATATGTACACCTGTGTTCATAGCAGCTTTCTTCACAACAAAAAGGTAGAAACAACCAAGTGCCCATCAACAGATGAAAGGGTAAACAAAACGTGGTACATCCATACAGTGGAATATTATTCAGCCAGAAGATTTTGAATGCTCCCAATACAAAGAAATGGTAAATGTTTGAGGTGATAGATATACTAGTTACCTCGCTTTTCATTACACATTGTATACACATATCGAAATATCACATCTACCCCATAAATATGTACAATTCTTATGTGTCAATTAAACATTTGAAGAAGGAAGGAAAATTTGACACAATATTACAACATGAGTGAATCTTAAAGATGTTATTCTAAATAAAATAAGCCACACACAAGAGGACAAATACTGTACTATTCCAAGATTAAGAAAGTAGAATGGTGGTTATCAGGAGCTGGGTGGAAGGTAGAAATTGGGTGTTCTTGTTTAATGGGGACATAGTTTTAACTTGGAAGGATAAACATGTTCTAGAGTGGATGATGGTGATGGTTGCACCACAATGTGAATGTACATAATGCCACACAACTGTACACATAAAAATGGCTAAGATAGTAACTTTCATGTTCTGTATATTTTACCACAATAAAAAAATATATAGGTAAAATTTCTTTCTTTTCTTTTTTTTTTTTTTGAGACAGAGTCACCCAGGCTGGAGTGCAGTGGTGCAATCTCGACTCACTGCCACCTCTGCCTCCTGGGTTTAAGTGATTCTCCCGCCTCAGCCTCCCGAGTAGCTTGGACTACAGGTGCCCACCATCAGGCCTGGCTAGTTTTTGTATTTTTATTACAGATGGGATTTCACCATGTTGGCCAGCCTGGTCTCAAACTCCTGGCCTCAAGTGATCCACCTGCCTTGGCCTCCCGAAGAGCTGGAATTACAGGTGTGAGCCACCATGCTCTGTCCATAGGCAGAATTTCTGTTTCTGACCATGATGCAGTCACAGGAACTAGCTTTGCCCTCCCACACTAAACAACCAAACAACCAGACAAAACAACTATAAAAAAAAAAAAGACAATGATTTTTGGACACAGAACAACAGGCCACACAGAGCAGAGATCCTTTAAAGAAGGGAAACAAATGGGCAAGCCTTACCACGGTCCTCACTTACCACCTAGAAATCCTTTCCAGGCTACGTTCCAGGGAAAGCTGACCCAAACAGAGCCTGCTGTTCCCTCAAAGGAGGAGACAGAGCTGAGAACCCAGGGAGGCCCAGGCAGCTAGAATTGTAGGGCAGAGTTCAACGAGGCTTCCCCTGGAGACTTCCATGGAGTACTGATGGATGTATGCCTGCAAGACAACTACCAAGGCCAGGAAACTCCCACCAGAAAGGAACAGGCAGAAAAATGTGTGAGTCTCAGTGGGCCAGGAACAGATTGTGTTCTCACCAGTCCAAGTAGAGAAACTTTGTAATACCCAAGGCATCAGGTAGAGTACTCAGAAGGCTATTGCCACAAGAGCAAAGTAAAATCATCCCTACACCAATGGCCATCCTGGTTTCCCCTGACAACGCTTTAAAGTAAACCTCAAAAAGGATCAGGCTGTTTCCAAGTAACACAATGGCTTCCAAGGATAACACTCAAGAACATGTAAAGGAATATAAAGTTATCCGGCACCTACAAAATAAAATGTACAATGCTGGCATCCAATGGAAAAGAATGCAAAGTAATAGAAAAATATGACCCAGAATCAGGAATATCAATCAATAGAAACAGACCCAGAAATGACACAGATGATAGAGTTAGTGGACAAAGATGTTAAAAAGTTATCATATTTTGTATGTAGAGTTAGTCGACAAAGATGTTAAAAAGTTATATTTTGTATGTAAAGAAGGTAGAGGAGAACATAAGAATATTGAAAAAGAGGCATTGGAAGTTGTAGAAAAGAAGACACAAATTGAATTGATAGAGTTTTTTTTAAAGCTTAGGATGAAGTGTAGATTACACTATAGAAAAAAAAATGTAGTGTACCTGAAGACACAGAAATGCAAGCCACACAAAATAAAATAAAGAAAGTAAAAAGATGGGGGAAGGGGAGACTGACCAGAGAATTAGCATTGCTGGGACAAATTCAAATGTCCCAATCTACATGTAATTGGAGTCCCTGAAGGAGAGGCAGATGGGAAAAAATTGAAGAAATTATGATTGAAATGTTTCCAAATTCTATAAAAACTATAAACCCACAGATACAAGAAGTTTGAAGAACCTCAACCACTGTACATCATAGTAAAATTGCCCAAAAGCAGTGATATAGAGAAAACTTTAAAAGCATTCAGCATAAGGGAGGGAGAAATGCTTTATGTACAGAAGAACAAATGTAAGAATGAGAGCCAAATTCTTATCAGAAACAAAGTATGCCAAAAGATAATACAGCAACATCTGAAAGTGAAAACAACTGTCCATCTAGAATTATTTACCCACCAAGAAAAATTATCTTTCAAAAATAAAGGCAAAAAGGAAGACCTTTTCAGATACACAAAAGCTGAAGAAGTCCATTGCCAGCAGACCTTCACTTGCAAGAAATGGTCAAGTAAGCCCTTTGAGCAGAAGACAAATGTTAACAGATAGAAATCTAGATGTATGCAAAGAAACGAAGAGCACCAGCAATGGTCCATATTGAATAAATATAAAAGGCATTTTCTCTTATTTAAAAAAAAATCTCTTTAAAAGATAATTGACTATTTCAAGTAAGCTTAATAATGAGGCTTAAAGTATATGAAGAAATGAAAGGCATAACAGCAATAGCACAAAGGCTGGAAAGGGAGAAACAGGAGTACAGCTTGGTAAGATGGTTGTGCTGTATGGGAGGTAGTCTAATATTACTCAAAGACAGACTGTTATAAATTTAAGATTTATACTGAAAGTCCTAAAGCAACCTCTATTTAAAAAATATATGTAGCAAAAGGCTGGGCATGGTGACTTACGCTTGTCATCCTAGCATTTTGGGAGGCCAGGGCAGGAGGATTACTTGAGCTCAGGAGCTCGAGACCAGCCTGGGAAAAATAGTGAGACCTCATCTCTTTAAAAAAAAAAAAAAGGATCAAATTGATAAACCACTCTCCAGACAGATCTGGAAAAAGAAAGAGAAAAAAGCAAATTGCCAATATCAGAAATAAGAGAGAAAAAGGATATCACTGAAAATACTGCAGACAATAAAATGACTATGAGAGAATATTATGAGCAACTTTCTATAAATAAACTCAATAATTTCAATAAAATGGAAAAAGTCCTTGAAAGACATGAACTGCCAGATCTCACTCAAGAACAGGTTATCCAAATAGCCCAGCTTCATATCTATTAAAGAAATGTAATTTGCTGTTTAAAATCTTCTCACAGAGAAAATCCCAGGGCCACTTGGCTTAACTAGAGAATTCCACCAAGCATTTAGGAAAGAAACAAAATCAAGTTTACACAAATTCTTTCAATAACCTAAAGAAGAGGAACATTTTACAACTTATTCCATGGGGAAGTATTACTCTGATACCAAAATGAGAAGACAGTATTACAAAAAAACTACAGAGTAATATATATTATGAACACAGATGCAAATATTCTTAAAGAAATCGGAGTATATTGAATCAAACAATATGCAAAAAGAATAATATGCCATGACCAAGTGGAGTTATAAAGCAATGCAAAATTGACTTAACATTTGAAAATCAAATAATGTAATTCACCATATTGGCAAATATAGGAGAAAACCATATAGGGTCATCTCAATAAATGCAGGAGATTCATCTGTCAAGATCTAATATCTCATCCTTATAACTACTCTCAGCAAATTTATATTAGAGGGCATTTCCTCAACCTGATAAAGGGCATCAACAAAAATATCTACAAATTAACATCACATCTAATTTTGAAAGACTGGATGCCTTCCTCCCTAAGTTCTGAAACAAGACAAGGATGTCTGCTCTTAACACTTTTATTCTATGTTTATTGGAGGTTCCAGCTAATGCAATAGAGCAAAGAGAAGAAATAAAAAAATATAGATTTGAAAAGCAGAAGTCAACTGTCATATTTACTGATGAAATGACTCCCTAAATTTAAAATCCTAAGGAATTTACCAAAAAAGCCACTAGAACTAAGAAGTGAGTTTGGCAAGCTTGCAAGATATGGGTCAGTACAAATGTATTACATTTCTATATATTAAAAACAAACAAAAAGACATTGAAACTTAAAATCATTTACAATGTCTTCAAAAAAGATAAAATACTTGGGATTAGATTTGACAAAAGATGTACAAACAACACCAAAAACAACCAAACAGTGCTGAAAGAAATAAAGAAGACCTATGTAAATGGAGAGATATACTATATTCATGGATTAGAAGACTCAATGTTGCTAAGATGTCAATTCTCCCCAAATTAGTGTACAGATTCAATATTATCCCAATCAAAATTTCTATAGGTCTATTATAAAATTTGATGAACGAGTTACTAAATTTATATTAAAATGCACCTAGAATAGCCACGCAGCGAAACCTTTTTTAAAAAGGATAAAATCAGACAACTTAAACCATCTGATTTTAAGACTTATTACAAAGCCACAATAGTTAAGACAACTATAGTATTGATGTAAATATAGACATACAGGTCAATGCAACAGAACAGAGGCCCAAAAGGGACCCAGACATATATAGCCAATTGATTTCCACCAAAAGTTTCAAGGTAAACCAATGAGGAAAGAATAATACTTTAAATAAATAAAGCTAGGAAAATTGAATAACCATATACAAAGTTAAAAAAATGAGCTTCAATATTTCACACCACATGAAAAATTAACTCAAGGTGGAGCATAGTCCTAAGTGTAAAAACTAAAACTACAAAACTTCTAGAGGAAATTCTAGTGATCTTGTTTGGCAAATATTTCTTAAATACCACACAAGGCATGAAATGTAAAAGAAAAAAATAAACAAATTGGAGCCTTTTTGCATTAAAAAAATGCTCTTCAAAATAGACCTATAAAGTTTAAAAGATACGCCAAATATAGGGGGAAAATATCCAAAAAGCATATATCCAGGAATGAACTTGAATCTAGAATGTAAAAAGAACTCCTACAGTTCAATGATCCAATTAAAAATGAGCAAAATATTTAGTTACATACTTTATCAAAAAAGATGGCAAGCAAGCACATTAAAATATATTCAGCATTATTAGTTATTATGGAAATGCAAAAGAAAACCATAATGAGATACCATGATATATCCACTAGATTGGCTAAATTAGACGGATTATATTAAGGGTTTCTTTTCTTTCTTTCTTTCTTTCTTTCTTTCTTTTTTTTTTTTTTTTTTTTTTGAGATGAAGTCTCACTCTGTTGCCCAGGCTGGAGTGCAATGGCGTGATTTCAGCTCACTGCAACCTCCACCTGCCAGGTTCAAGCATTTCTCCTGCCTCAGTCTCCTGAGTTGCAGAGATTACAGGCACCCACCACTACACCTGGCTAATTTTTGTATTTTTAGTAGAGATGGGATTTCACCATTTTGGCAAGACTGGTCTCAAACTTCTGACCTCAAGTGATCTGCCCGCCTTGGCCTCCCAAAGTGCTGGGATTACAGACATGAGCCACTGTGCCCAGCCTATTAAGTGGTGAAGAGGATGTGGAGCTTCTAAAACTTTCATATGCTACTGGTGGGATTATAAAATGAATAAGCCACTTTGGAAAATGGTTTGGCAGTTACTTAAAAATGTAAACAAACACCTATCATATGATATAGCCATTTCACTTCTAGGTATTTACTCAAGAAAAATGAAAGCATATGGCCACATAAAGATTTGCTCACAAATATAACTTTATTCATAATAGTGAGACTCTGGAACCAATAAATGTCCATCAACGGGTGAACAGATAAACAAATTGCAGTATACCCATACGATGGAAGACTACTTAACAATGGAAAGAAAAGGAATGAACATATGCATGAGAGTGTCACAGGATCCTCAGGGTATCACTTTTCCAGCCAGAAGCCTCTGTAGTCGGGAGCACCTTGGTCTGGGTTTTGCTCAGGCCCTCTGGGCTCATTCTGCCCACTCGGCCTGGCATGCTACACTCAGCTTGTGCTGACAGACTGGATCCCATGCCTGCCAAGGGGTAGCCAGGTGTGGAGCGGCAAGTGGTGTGTGAGTGAGCATGTGCAGGATCTAGCCACTGCACACAGCCAGACGTGTTAGATGCTGCAGCAGGGCAGGCAGCTCCAGGCTCTGGCACAGGCACTGGCTCCATGCAAGCCTGCAGCTGGACCAGTGCACCACAAGCAGCTTCCACTATGGACACCCACATCTGGATGAGGGGAACAGGGTGGTGCCCAGAAGCTTGGAGACGCCAGAAACCACAGAGCCCCAAAGAGCATGTCACAACCCCTAGGTCTGGGCTCCCTGAAGAGTCCTATCTCTTCATTCCTCATTGCTCACAATGTGGCAAGAGGAGAGGGTGTGTTTTAGCCCTGTTTGTGTTACAGCTCTTTCAGTCCCACCATTCAGCAGGCCCCAGGGTCCTGTCTCATGTCTGGGAAGAATGAGATATGCAGACAACTGGAGGGTGAGCAAGGTAAAGAGGTGCTTTATTGAGTGACAGTACAGCTCCCAGGAGACCTAAAGTGGGTAGCTCCTTTCTGCAGTCAGGTTGTCCCAACGTCTGCTCGAGTCTGGCTGAGTCTGAGGTTTTTATGGGCTTCAGAAGGGAGGAAGTGTGTGCTGATTGGTTCATGGGCAGCCATGGGTGGGTGTGGAAAAAGCACCATAAGTTCTCACTCCAGACTGTGGACTCCACCTGGAACTGACAGCCCAGCCCCCATGCTTCAGGTCTTCCCTGGCTTTAAGGTGGGGCTTCACCAGGGACCCACCCCTTTCCACCCAGAAGCCCATCTGCCTCCTGCCGCCATCTACATGTCATCCATGGCACCCAGGCTATTTGTGCCAAGGGGCATCTGCAGGCCCAGGCCAAGCCACCCTCAGGCCCCCACTGGCCTCCCTCCCATGCTCATCAGTGCCCAAAGTCCAGAAGGGGCTGAGGTCACAGGAGGCTGGCGTGTCAGTGCCACCCCAAGCATGCGTGCTCCAGGCTGGGTTGTGGCTGTGCCTGGGCTTGGCTTCAACTTTGCTCTGAAATCAGAGCAAGTGCTGGGAGCAGGGACAGGCTAGCTGCCATCAATAGCATAGATGAATATCAAAATAAATATGCCATGTGAAAGAAGTCACACAAAAAATATTTACTATATAATTCCATTTGCATACAATTCTGGAAAATAAGAACTATAATGACAGGATGCAGATCAGTGTTTATCTGAGGATGGGGGTGGATGGAGGGATAGATTTCAAAGGAGCTCAAGGAAGCTTTGAAGGGAGTTGGTTATGTTCATCATTTGATCCTGGTGATGGTTTCATGGACATTGTTAAAACTTACCCAATTATACACTTTAAATATGTACAGCTTATTGTTAAAGCCAATTATACCACAGTAAAGCTACAAAACATGAATTATAAAACTTCATGTATAACCCTATCGACTAGGTGATACCATGGTCATTTTCATATTAAAAAATAGTCTTGGAGCAGAAAACCAGCTTTTTAGGCCTGTTGCTGGGGCCAGCTTGGCATATTTGTGGGTCTTAAAGGATCCAGCCTTTGCCTACTCTACAGGCAGCTAAAAAGGACTTGGGCTAATACAAGCTTCCCCACCCACCCTGCCTGCCCTGCCTGGCTGCCCCTGTTTGCTCAGCTAACTGCTGTTGATTTGAAGAAACTTAGCCCAAAAGTCAGCTCCCCCTGGACATCTTTCTGGGATCCTGCGGCTGGGTCTGAGACACCTGCCTGCCTGGCACTCACTATCGGCCTGGTCTGAGATGAGTGACTCTTCATCCCTGGGTCACTCCTGGGATGCTTTGGGAAGCCTGATCTTTTAGGCCTAGTGCACAGTGCCACGCCTGGCCCCAGAAAGATGTTCGGTAAATACAGGACTCAGTAAATAGAGAGATAGGGAGAGGTCTCCAACAAGGGCTTGAACAAGGCTTCCTTTGGGAAGATGCAGAAACAGCTAAGATGATAGAGAGCCAGGAGCCAGGAAGCATGACCTCCATCCATCCCAGATGCCACCCTCCTGCTGCTCAGAAAAAAGGGACAGAGAAGTGAACCATTTGCATCTCTAAAGGAGCCCTGTGTGCATTCCCTCTGTCCAGTTCAGGTGTGCACTGGAATCTTTGGCCTTCCCAAGAATTGCAAGGGGAAGCTGTGGAAGAGACTAGGCCAGCACCAGCCTTCATAAGCAGAGGCAATGAGTTAGAGCTGTAATAATCCCTTGTTTATTCCCCAAGATGCCAGAAAATAGATAAAAATCCAGATCAATGGGCTCCAGCTTTTGACCAGAGCTGAGCTGACTCATGTAGCATCTTCCCCTTTGGATGGAGGCCCCTCTGTGGGTTCCAGAAAGGAAGAGTGTAGCTCTTTCTGACTCTGCCCCCAAAAGCCACAATTCATTCTTCATTGAACATTCCTTTCTCTCCCCCACATTCCCATGAATCCCCAGAACAGCACCGCCAAGAGGACCTTTATGGGAATCCACTTGCACCTCCGGCCAACGCCCTTCCCAATGCCAGTAACTCGGGTGTCCCGAGCCTGACAAGTTCCAGAACACACTCCTCTCTGCATTCCATGTTTTGCTTTTACAGGCAGTTGTTTCAGAAGCACCAGAAAGCATCTTAGATGGCTAAGACTGAAAAGGAATGGGGGGCCCTGAAGTTACCCCACATTCATTCATCTCTCCCAACAAAATGTGTGTCCTCCCTTGGCTGGGTCCTGCACCACCTGGAGAAGGTAAGGGGAAGGTGTTGCTCAGCCCAGACACAGTAGCTCCCAAGTACTGGAGGAAACAGAGGAGGAGACAGAAGTCCCAGCCTGGAGACACTCGGAGGGCAGGGCCAGTGAGGGCAAGGCATGGGGGCAGAAGGACAGGCTGCAGGAGGACGTGAGTTAAGCTATGGTTTTATGGAGTGGGCAGCCCCAGACAAGGCAGGGACCAGGAAAAAGTCTATTCTAGGAAAAGGAATCAATGTGAGTAAAGGGACGGAAGAAAATGGCGAGGTCGCTGCATAAAACGTGTAGTGTGATGGGTGGGGGCGGGGGCTGGGGGCACAGAATGGCCAGCCAGGAGCCTGCTCAGAGTCAGAGCCAAAAGTATCGCTTAGTGTTCTGTGTGCTGACTCGTGTGTGCCGTTGCTATAATTCACCATGTGACTAGTGCGTTTTAGTTTCTCATCTGATAGGATGGCTAATACAGAACCATGGTACAAGTTTCAAAAGGTACCCATGGATTTAAAGTAAAAACAAAGCTTTCTCCTTCATTTCTATAAGACTCTGAGAGACAACCAGGTCCTGGATTGACAAGAAGAAAACACATTGCTGGACTCACAGGAAGCAAGGAAATTCCTAAAGATCAACTCTCTACCCCTCACCCCAACTCCAAAACACACACCCAATTAGAAGACAATTGGACTGAACCGGACCAGAACCAGCCTAGAGCTACAGGCAAGTGGGAAGGGTGAGGCCTCCCTGAAGACGCGAGCCACCGGAGCATGCACTGACAGGGAGCTGGCCAGCAGCAGGTGGGGGCTGGCCCTGGGGCCCCTGCAGCATCAGGACCCTCGAAGACAGGCAGTTGGCTTCTCTTAGAGAAAAAACCTTCCCAGTCTGAGCCATCAGAATTCTCACACACCCAAAAGAAGCAGACACTGGTTTATGAAGGTCACCAAGCACAGAAGAGGTGGCCACACAGGTGAGAATCAAGTAGAAACGGCAAAAAGATTCAGCCCCTAAGGACTTAAGACACCAGAAGTAGCAGAAACAGAAGATGGGATAGCGGCGTTTAAAGAAAACATGGCTGGACTTCTAAAGGCAGGCCAAGAGCCCATATAAATAACTAGCATGCAGAGCTGAAAATGTACCAAGAAAGCATGGTGCAGTGGCTCACGCCTGTGATCCCAACACCTTGGAAGGCCGAGCTGGGAGGATCACTGGAGCCCAGGAGTTCAAGACCAACCTGGGCAGCATAGTGAGACCTCATCTCTAAAAAAAAAAAAAAAAAAAAAAGAGAGAGAGAAAGAAAGAAAACTTACCAAGAGAAACTTGGGAACTTGGAGAAAGGAAGGATATAATTTCGGAAATAATTACCTCAATAGATGATCAAACAGTAAATAAGACATCACTACACAAATGGCCATTTCATATCTTCCCCTTTCTCCTCCAATGCCCCAAGCCCTCTTCTCCCATCCTCACTCTCAGCTGAGACTTTACTGAGAAATAGCAGCAGCCAGAAGAGAACTCCCCCAAATGTCTATCCTCACATCCAGCCGCATGCCGGCATCTGCACCCACACACTCAGCCTCCATTCCCACGGCTAGTGAGAAATGTTTCATGCCCAACCTGAAGGCAGTTCCACCTGTGCTCCAGAGCCATCCCACATCCCCCGCACGGTGTTCTCCAGCCATTCGCTCTTCTCCCCCTCACTATTCACGCTCCCTCTCTCCTGGAACATTTTCATCGCCTTATGTCTGTTTTTTTTTTTTTTTTTTTTTTTTTTTTTTTTTTGACACAGTCTCACTCTGTCACCCAGGCTGGAGTGCGGTGGTGCAATCATGACTCATGGCATTTTTGATCATCGAAACTTTGATCACCAAACCCTCCTGGGTTCAGGTGATCCTCCCACCTCATGCTCCCACCTCAGCCTCCCAAGTAGCTGGGATTACAGGCACCAGCCACCACACCTGGCTAATTTCTGTATTTTTTGTTGACATGAGGTTTCCTCATGTTCCCCAGGCTGGTCTTAAACTCCTGGGCTCAACCAATCCACATGCCTCAGCCTCCCAGAGTGCTGAGATTATGGTGTGAGCCACCACGCCTGGCTCACCTTATATCTGAACCCTAGAGTTACATAGATTCAATGCTCCAAGCTAATTCTCCTCTTTCATTGGTTGGTTGGTTAAAATTCTTTGGCTAGTAGTCTCTTCAAGACAGGCTCCAATAAACCATATTTCCTGAATTCTTACATATTCAAAGGTGTCTGTTGCCTTTACATTTGCATGTCAGTTTGGTTAGTGACATTGCTTGGATATTTGTCCCCACCCAAATCTCATGTTGGAATGTCATCCCCAGTGTTGGGGGTGGAGCTTGGTGGGAGGTACTTGGGCCACAGGGACAGATCTCTCATGAATGGTTTGTACCCTCCCCTTGGTGATGAGTGAGTTCTGGCTCTGGGTTCACATGAGATCTGGTCGTTTAAATGTGTATGGCACCTTTCCCCAATCCTCTCTCTTGCTCTGTTCTTGCTGTGATGTGCCTGCTCCCTCTTTGCCTTCTGCTATAAATGGAAGCTTCCTGAGGCCTCCCCAGAAGCAGATGCTACTATGCTTCCTGTAAAGCCTGCGTAACAGTGAGCCAGTTAAACCCTTTTTCTTCATAAATTACTTTATAAAGTATTTCTTTACAGCAATGTATGAATGGCCTAATACAGTTAGGTACAAAACAACTTTCTTAAGTACATCATAGGCCAGCTCCTCTCTCTTCTAGCTGGGAAAAAGACTCAAGTCAGATTTCAAAGATAAAAAGAGAGTCAAGGGAAAGGGATCAGGTTTTAGTTATTTTCATCAGAAATGCTTTAGTGTTGACCTCCGTATGCAGTTTCTAGGTGGCACAATATTTTCTTTCAATCTATATGTTCAAGTCTTCTTTTTTTTCCAGAAATGTTTCTTAAGTTTTAATTTTAATTTAAAAATTTTTCATTCATGATCTTAGTTCTTTTATCCTTCAGACTCATCAAATACAAATATTTGGGATCCTTTTTACTGACTTCCCATACTCAAGTCCCTTTCAATGTCTCTTTACTTCCATTTTCTTTTGTTCACTTTCTTCACAATCCTGTCCTCTATGTACCTGCTGTGTTATTGATAGTGTCCGTTCTTCTTTACATCTGCAAACGATTGTATGTTTCCCTTTCACATCTTCCCAAGTTCTGCCAGTTTGAGCATGCCTCATTTCCTTCTCTCTTGCCATACCTTCCCTGAGCAGCATCTCTGCTTTATGTTCTTGTTTTATAAAGGCAATTATTTTATTTTTAGAAAATGCATGGCAATATGTTTGGCTGTAAACTCTGTCTGCTCTATGATAATACTTTTTTATTAAAAAAGGAAAAAGAGAGATATTAAAAACATACACATAAGTCATCCATTTTCAAGGAAACCCAATGGGCTCCATGTTTGATGGGTGCACTGATGGCTGCACAAGACATGGTTCCCCTCTCCAGGGCTTTCTCTAGGCCTTCTTCCTGTACCTTCCACCATCCCCCAGATGAAGGGCCTTTCCCCACTTCCACCCCTAATTCTCTTGGCTTCTTTGGTGCTCTGTGAATTGCTGCAACCTTGCAGAGAGCCCTGGCTGTGTCCTGTGATATGAAGCAATCATTTAGAGACACCCCCCCACAACCACAACCATGTGTGTGTACTTCAGCATGACCTGTGTGGCCTGGATCCACCCCAGCCTTCCTGGTCAGTGGCTTAGAAAAGAAACCTCAGTGCCAGCAGAGTACAAATAAAGGAAAACCCATGACCGTCCTGTGAGTGGACACAGTCCTCTTTGGGCTCAGGGTGTTCAGCACTCACTCTGGCAGCTGTGAGGCCCAGGCAGCTCTTCTCCCTGTGCTCAGACATCTCCTGGGCTCCTTGGGAAGCACCCTTCCCTCCGTGTATCTTGCTTTCTTGATCTATTCTTGTGTTCACGTGTGCATAGATTTCATGAGCCCATCCTAATCATTGGGGAGCAAAGGAGAAGTAGTAATAAATAGACAGCAACCAGAGCGTGAGCTGGTTAGGAAGGCATTTCACGGGGTTGGACAAGGGAACGTTGTTTCAAAAGCAACAAGAAGGTGGAGATAAGATGCTGACGTTCATTGACCTGCAAGTAATGTGAATGTGGAGGAGATTATGAGTAGAATGTGATCTTTGAGCTGTTTTGGATTTCTCATGAGAGGTGAGGACCGATCCGTACTCAGCCTTTTTCCCAGCCCAGCAGGGACATAAGGGGTTTACTGTTTCACCCGAGAGGAAGCCACCAAGCTGCAGGAAGAGCAGAAGGCTGGAGAGCCAGGGATGGGTGCAGACCCGTGCCTCCAAGACACTGGGGAGGGCATTGCACCATGGACCCATGCCTATGTGCTGGAGGTGCCAACACCAACCTAGAGAGAGGGTGGGGAGAGTTCATAGGCTATTACCTGTAAAAGCATTGAGCAAGTTGCCTGGGATTCAGACTCCTGACATATCATTTGGTACAATTTTCCTCTTTTCGAGCCCTGCAGAAGTTGAAAGACAGCTCCCATTAATATTACCCTCTTTCTTTGGGCATCCAGTGTGACCATTTTAACCCAGTGACTCTTAACAAGGCTGTTCTGGTACCAGAAAGTTTTTGATGCTTCTATGTCAAAATGGCCTTGTCAATTTTTTTTAAATTGCTATTCTTTTACCAGTTAATGTTCATCCAGGTCTCCTGGACATTTCAACCCATTCCCCACAGTTATGTTACCACAGATATTGCCCTGTATTTTCTATATTTCTTTCATTTTTCCAATTCCATTTTCTACATCTTTTCTTATTTTTTTTTTATCAGTAGCTGTCTCTTTTCTTAACATGTGATTTGTCTAGATTCTTATAAGTGGGCATTATTTTTATCATCAAAAGATGGTAAATATCTTACAATAAATAACACAACTGTGCTGTGGTCCATGCTTAATGGACTGCTACCAGTTCAATAGCTTTTTTCCCAGGCGGCGTGAAGCTGAGAATGAGAGGGTCCGGAGAGAGAGTCTCCTCATGTCCTCCACGATCCAGGAACCAGCAGGACAGCTCTGCGCCAGAAGGAAACTCCTCAATTGGAATCTTTGAGCTACCTTGTGCCAGCTGCATGGCATTGGATCAAGTATTGAAACTCTGCTCCTCAGTTCCCTCACCTGTCAAATGCGAATGAGAATGACAGTGAGCTCATCAGTGACTGTGAGGAGTGAAAGAGGTGAACCAGGTGAGACACCCAGAGTGGCACCTAGCACGTCACAGCCATCAGCACACACACAACCCAATACGGCTGACAGATCCAAGCAGCCAGGAAGGCACAGGGGCCCTAGGAAGGTACAGCCATAAAAAGGAGTGAGGCACTGCTGCACATGCCGGGAGGGAGCCTTGATGAATGTTGGTAAATGAAAGAAGCCAGGCACAAAAGACCACATTTCATATGATTCCCTTTATAAGAAACATCCAGGCCAGGTGCAGTGGCTCACACCTGTAACCCCAGAACTTTGGGAGGCTGAAGCGGGTGGATAACTTGAGGCCAGGAGTTCAACATGGTGAACTCTGCCTCTATCAAAAATACAAAAATTAGCTGGGTGTGGTGGTGCACACATGTAATCCCACCTACTTGGGAGGCTGAGGCGGGAGAATCACTTGAACCCAAGAGGTGGAGGCTGCAGTGAACTGAGATTGTGCCACCACATTCCAGTCTGGGTGACGGAGTGAGACTGTCTCAAAAAAAGGAAAAAAAAAAAAAAGAAAGAAAGAAACATCCAGAATAGGCAAATCTATAGAGATTGAAAGTAGATTTCTAGTTGCCAGGGGCTGGGATGGGGATGGGGGGCTGTAGAGAGTAATGGGAGTGGCTGCTTAATGGCTATGGGGTTTCCTTTCCAGTTTCATGAGAGGTGAGGACCAATCCATAGTCAGCCTTTTGCCCAACCCTGTAAGGGGCTTTTCTGCTTCATCCGGAGAGGAAACCAGGAAGCTGCAGGAGAAGCCCCAGGCTGGAGAGCCAGGGAACGGTGCAGACCACTCTCCCCACCCCCACCGCCTTCGGGGCATCGTGGAGGGCGTCCTACCGTGGACTCGCGCCTATGAACAGGAGGTTTGATGAAACATTTGATTTGATGAAAATGTTCTGGAACTAAATAGTGGCAGTGATTGTGTGGCATCATGAATGTACCTCATGCCACCGAATTGTGCGTTTTAAAACAGTTAAAACGGTAAAAATATGTCATTGGTACTTTATCGCCAAAAAAGGGCAGAGATCAAATGGACACCATAATAATTTCCATTATTAAGCAGCCAATTCTATATCTTGATTATAAATCCATGGACAAGATCCCTGGAATACAACAGGAGAGGTCAGACCATCCTCAACACAGATTACACCACCGCAGGCCAATTCACACAGAATGAGCACAGGCCTTCCTTCAGATGACCAGTGGCGGTGCTATCGTTAGCTTTGCTGCTTAACAAACCTCTTCAACATCCAGCAGCTTAAAATGATGTCCACTTTAAGAAGCCCACAATTGTGTGGGTCAGCTGGACTGTTCTGGTCTGGGCCAGCTTGGCTGATCTCCACTGGGTGCTCTCAAATGTCTGTGGTCAGTTGGTGGGCTGATGGCTGCTGAATGATAGATTAGACCCTCCCTCTTATGCTGGCATTTGGCTGGGGAGCCTCAGCTGGGAGGTCTGGTATCTGCTCCACATGTTCTGTCATCCCTCAGTGAAGCTAGCCTGCATCCACAGAGCAGCTGGGAGGGCTGGTCTCTGCTCCACGTGGTCTCTCATCCCCCGGTGAAGCTAGCCTGCATCCACAGAGCAGCTGGGAGGGCTGGTCTCTGCTCCACGTGGTCTCTCATCCCCCGGTGAAGCTAGCCTGCATCCACCGAGCAGCTGGGAGGGCTGGTCTCTGCTCCACGTGGTCTCTCATCCCCCGGTGAAGCTAGCCTGCATCCACAGAGCAGCTGGATGGAGAACCTGAAAGGCACCTGGAGACCTGGGCTCAAAATACCCCAGCCTCATTCTGTTGATCAGAACAAGTCACAGACCCATCAGAGTCAAGGGTGGAGGAAATAGACTCCACTTCCTGAAGGGAGGGGCTGCAGAGAAGTTGTGGCCGTGCTCCAGTGCATGCTAAGCCCCAGGTGCCCGGTTCTCTGAAGCCTGATTAACCCCCACTTTATCCCTATGTCCTACCACCCTTCTCACCTCTGGGGTGAGCTCGAAAGGGGGTGAGACGCAGGGAGGTCAGGGTGTCCATGTCACATGACACTTAGTAGAGCAATATAGCTGAATATATCATGGCTTGCCAAAATATCCCCATGTCTAAACAGCTGCATTAAAGGAACCACATCAAAATATCTTCCCTGGTTTTTGGTGTGGTTCCAGATTTCTTTTTGTTTCAGAACTAAATAGGCCTCCCACACTTTCTTCTATCTGGGTCTGGTAACTCCTCCTCTTGGTAGCTAACGGCAAGGCCTCTGGACATTCAACTGGGTTGGGAGTGGCAGGGGGCTCCATGCAGGTAGGAGAAATCAAGTAGGCAAAGAAAGATACAGGAGCAGCAAGAGCCTCTATCCAGAGTGGTCAGAAGGTGCAGACTTCTTGCCCAGAAAGGTGAGTCGGGGCTTCATGGTGAAGGGCCTGAGCCTGTGAGGGTAGACAGAGGGACTGGACACCAGTGGAACAGGGATTCCTGGAAGAACGCAGCATGCCACGGCCAGGGCTGAGCTTGGGAAGAGTCAGCAGCAGCACATGCAGGCAGAGGCAGTTCAGAGAGATCAGAGGCAGAAACGAGCCGTTAGGAGGCTGTGGACGTGGCCCAGGTAACGGAGACTTGAGCAGGGATGGTGATGAGACGTCACAGAAGTAGAACTGACACAGTTCGAAGACTGATTAGACGTGAGAGGGAAGAAGGCAGTGAATGAGGAGGGAAAGGGAAGGATGACAGAGAAGGCAATGGCCCCAAGCCCATTCGAGGGGGCCAGGAAAAGACAGTTCCGCAGAGAAGAGAACAAGAGATGGGACGTTCCGCTCAAAGTTCTAAGACATCGGAGCATGGGACGCTGCAGCAGTGGGGTAGGGTTGGGGCCATGGAGGGAGGCCCCTCAGGCAGAGGGATCAGGAGGAGCAGCAGGGCCCTGCCCCATCTGTAACCTGGCCAGCCCTGTGGTCAGCTGTGACACTGAGGGTCTAAAGCCCAATTTTCAAGATTAAGCAATAACTGTTCTTCCTCCTAGGACATGAAAACCTGTCCAAGAACCAGGCCCGGTTCCTTGCCTGCTCTCCCCAGCACTTGGAGGGCTCCACGGTTGGCCGCAGCTGTATCACTCACAGCAGATTTTACAAGCCTGTCCTTCTGCCAGGGCCCTTTCAGAAGTGAAAATAGCTGGAATCAGCCTGCTTTCCCTAAACCATGAAAACATCTCACTGTACCTCAAGCTGCGACTTAGTGCTGTGTCAGCCCACACCCCAGCACACTTCCTGGAGGAACCCGTCCGAGCAACCTCAGGAGGGTGCACTGAGGACCCGTTCTGCACACGTTTAAACGCAGGGTCGGATTTTAAACAGGATATCCAGCCGGAGACGAAGGTAACTGTTGTCTTGGTCACTGCTAAGAAGCACCTGATCGTGCAAGACATACCGCTCATGAGAAAGAAATGTTTTCAACTCTTTGTGGCACCCTGCTGGGACAGGCTCTGCCTGGTCATTCCATCCCAGGGGTGATTAACCATCCCAGTGTTAGGGCCTGGGACTTTGCTAATGTGCTTTCAGGTCAACCACAAACATATTTCTAAGATTTCTTAGCTAATGGTGCATTTGCGAGGTCATTCCAGGCTAAGACCAGGAGGATTAAAAGATCTGATTCCTTCCTGAGGCTCTTAGTTGTAAAGGACCAAAGAAGCCGTAAAACAAAGATTTATTCAGTTTCAGCCGGCCAGTTCAATGGCGCAGCCCCGTAAGACCAGGAAAAAAGAAACATCTGGCCAGAAAAGTACACTTGTTTACAAAAAAAAAAAAAAAAAAAAAAGGCTTTAAGACTCTTCTCCAGCCTCACCAAGTTCTTGGACTAAAATTAGGCTGAAAATTAAAAACAATGTCGAATCTGAAGAGTACAAGGCAAATACAGGCAGGAGAAAGAACATCTTGTTTCTTCCTTATCCAGCTGCCTCTGGCTGGGGGTCCCCCGAGCACCCCGGGGAGCCGCCCTGCCCTGGTAGGTAGCCCCCTCGGGGACCGCACAGCTGTGGTGCTCCCTGAACAGGTGACGGATGTGGCCTCTGCTCCAAGACCAAACCCTTTTGTGGGGGAGGGTGTTTTCTGCAGAGGATACTCAGAGAAGGGAGAGGGCCGTGTTTGGCTGCTCCTGATGATAAAACGCCACTCTCCAGAGCTCAATGTAAACAGCGGTAGTGCTGCTGGCACTAAGATACTGAGGCGGCCCGTGCTGGGGGATGGGGTGTTGAGGGACGGGTACATCTTGAGAGGCGTGGATGACAACTGTTTTGTAAGGAAGGAAGCCTGTGCTGGCAGTGAGGCTCTTGGCCTCAGTCGGGAAACTCAACTTCTTTTCCAGGCCTGCTATTGACTCACGGAGGACATGCAGGCCAAGCTCTCCTTGCTCAAGTTCCCCCTCCATCCCCCACCATGTATGCAATGGCAGGCGATGGGAATCACAGGACTCAGCCAGTGCCTTCCGATCTCCCTGGGATGCTAAAGGGATTAATGGGTCAAGGTTGGAAGATGCTTTGAACTTCTTGGCACGGAGCTGCCTCCAGTACAGTAATTAATAAACCTCCCCAAAGAGGTGGATTAGGGTCACAAGTCACCCAGAGGCTCAGGGAATAGAGCCGGCCAGGCTTCGTGGCTGGGTCGCAGGAGCGGATGGGGAAGGACACGGCATCTGAAGTCTGCACCCTGTGTGCAGGCAGCCGTGGTGCCAACAGATGTCCTTGGGTTCCTGGGCTGTGCCTGTTAACAGCCCAGACTTACACCTGTGAAAAAAGCAGAAATGAAATCCTGACCCCAGAGCAGAGCAGAGGCAGCCGCCCGACGTCACCCCAGTTAACGGTGAAGCAACATTCGTGGGAGTTGGAGATGACATTTCTAATGGCAAAGAAGGTGCTGACCAGACGTTTAACCACGAGTAACACTGTCCCTCTGCCGTCTTCAGCGTGGGCCTGGAAATCTTTGACAAACCTTGAGCAATCGGGACCTGGGGGTTCCCACATCCCATCAGAAGGATGACATTTCTGGAAACCTTGTACCGGGGGATACCAAGTGGAGAAGATCATTAACTGGGGCATAAACAAGTCCCTGAAAGTCTCCTCAGCATGTTTTCCTCCTCTGTAGGGTGGTGGGGCTGGACTAAGCGTGGTGCTCCTGAACCACCCAGGCATATGTCGCTTACCCCTCTCCATGGTGGCAGCGCCTGCTTGTGGACGGTGACCTTTCTGCTGTCCTCCAGAGCCTGCAAAGCTGTTGGGAACTTGTAAGTCCTGATACCTTGCTGGCCTTGAGGAGGTCAGCCATCACAGATAAGCAGAATGAGGCATGACGTGAGCCGGGCTTGTCTGTGACTAGGTCCACACGGTGCTCCAAGACTGTTCCTGCCCACACATTTCCAGCGCTTCCACGTTTTTCCCAGGGCATCTCAAAATTCCACTCCTGTGCCACCGTTCATTCAGGCAGGGACACAGAAGCTGTACTCCCTCCACCTGAGGCTGTCTAACCATGGGCTGGCCTGGCAACTGGCACCTGGGACCTGATGCTGTGCTCTCTGCACCCTGGTTTGCACCGAACACATCTATCCAGCGAGTCTTGGGCTTTGGTTCCTCAGGGAGCCTTTTCAGATGAACCTCAGCCACGGTCTCATCGACAAATCCCTCCTAAAACCCTCTACCGTTACAAAAGGGGCTACTCCAAAAGGGGCTGTGGCCTTTGGTCCACAAAGTTCATGCCCACCCATAAGGCATACCCAGCATGCAACTCCCCCTCCTCACGGCCACCCCATCCATGGCTCTGAGAGGTTCCTCGCCCTGCCCCAACCAAAATGTGTTCACATGCATAGAAAGAGCATCCAACGAGGATTTCTGATTTGTCCTAAATATCTGGGTGTGTCCTGCCCCCTTATGATATTACAGTCGGTGGGTGCTACCCTTCAGCTGCATCTGGGGGCACAGGCATCACTAAGGTTGGGGTCTCACTGCACACTCTATGCACATCAGCACCAAGTTTGGCCCATTAATCCCCCACACCCTGTGAGGTAGACATCATCACCCCCATCTAACTTAGGGACCCTGAGGCTCAGAAAAGCTACCCAAAGTCTCCCAGCCATACATGTCCAGAGTCTGGACATGAACCCCTCCTTATAACCCGAGGGCACACCCTTGCCACCGGCCACCTTCTCCCCGACCTGCCAGTGAGATGGCAATGTCTGCCCCTCAGGTTCCTCCAGCAGGCCCACAGTGCTCACTCCACCCCTCACATCCTGACCACTGCCTTGGCCTCCCGCGGCCTCCACTCTGCTCCGCACTCACACACGCAACCCCGCTGACCCTCGGCACCCCATCTCCTCCTGAGACTCACATATTAGCTTCTCACAGGACGGCTCCTGTGGTTGCTCCTCATGACCTCATGTGTCCCACATCCAGGCCTGGGGCACTCACCAGCTCCTGTAGCCTCCATCTCTGGGCAGGACGGTGCCATCTGCCTGGTCACCAGAACTTGCTACCTCGGTGCCACCTTTCCCTACCCACTTCTCCCAGCCCACCCCATCCGCCATGTCCACACCCATGTGATCTCCAAGCCTGCCCCCTCTGCCTCTTACCATCCCCAATCCGTCTTCTCCTTTCCATCCCAGCTTCTCACAGGAATGACCATTTCCCGCTCCCCTACCCTGCCCCCAGGCCAGTGCCAGAGCAGTCCATCTCAAATGCTGTATCTGCATCCTCTAGTAGGCACCCGACCCAGGACCAGGAGCACAGCAGTTGGCCAGCACTGAATGAATGAGGGCATCTGCTGAGTGAATCACCACGTTTTCTCCTCCCAACACCCAGTGGCTGTATGACTGTCCATACCCACCAACAGCACACAAGGTTCCCTTTCCTCCACATCCTCACCAACACTTGCTGTCTTTCATCTTTTTGATAAGCCATTCGAACAGGGCAGGTGATGTCTCACTGTGGTTTTAATTTGCATTTCCCTGATGGTTTGTGATGACAAGCATTTTTTTTTTTCATAGATCTGTTCACCACTTGGATGTCTTCTTTTGAGAAATATCACTTAACATGTGGAGTCTAAAAAGAGTCCTAGAAGTAGAAAGCAGAATGGCGGTTACCAGGGGCTGGGAGATGGGGCAAGGGGAGAAGGTCAAAGGATACAAGATCTCAGTTAGATAAGACATATAGGTTTCAGTGATCTATCGCACAGAATGCTGACTAGAATAAATACTAATGCATTGTATATTTCCGAATTGCTAAAAGAGAAGATTTGAAATGTTTTCACCACAAAAGAAGATCGGTATGTGAGGTGAAAGATTATTGATTAGCTTGATTGAAACATTTCACAATGTAAACATATATCAAAACATCAGATTGTACCTCATAAATATATAATATATACAGTTATTATGTGTCAATTACCAAAACTAACCAACAGCTGCGTTGCCCTGAAGGCGGGGCCTGGATCCTCAGTGTGGCCTCAGGTACCCCCGTGACCTGGCACCTGTCTCCCTCACCCTCCCCTCCACAGATGCTGCCTCGGGCCCCCCCAGATTTCCCCGTCTACTGTCTACCTCACACACCACGCTGCGCACGCAGCTCCTCTGCCTGGGGCCCATCCTCACCTCCCTGTTGCTGTCCATCATCCTTCATGCCCAAGAGTCCTCCCCACCCCCACCCCTGCTGTGGTCAGTTTTGTGGACCTTCCTGAAGGATCGCTCCTCCCCTGTACCGACCTTGCCAAGCAGGTCCACACTGCACACTGCCTGGGACCCGGGCTAGGGACCTGCAGACTGGAGGCCCTCGAGGGTGTGCGGGCGTCCAGGTCCCCGCCTGCCTTCCCAGCAAACGGCTAGTGAGATATAGCCCAGGGACAAAAAGCAGAATCCCTGCCCCCAGCATCCCACAGGCCCTGGGAAGGCCCTCACTGCAGGTCTCCGAGCTGGAGCAGGGCTTTCTGCCTTGGCTGGCTGGAGGGCCAACAAGTGCCCTTCCTTTGAAATCACTTTGTTTATGTGTGTTAAAGGCCAATGTTCTCCAGTTATCTCTAAGCAGTTTCCATCTTACAATGAATTACTGCTCTCAAATGGAAAGGCCGGGGGAGTGCCAGCGTAGCCCAAACGCGGCCCAAATCGCTTTGCCCTCTGAACTGCTTGTTTCAGTGTTGGCCTCAGCAGCCTCCTCTGCCAGGTCTGCGCGCTGCAAAGTTCATTTCTAACGTTGTGATGCTTTGGAGAGCCACAGACAGCTGCTCCGCCTGGCTCCTGCCCTGGGCTCCGGGGGCTGGGCCTGACCGTTCTAACTAAGTGAGTGTGGCCGAGATCGCCTCATTGGCGCCTTTCTCACTCATCTGTATTTTCTCCAGTCCTTTCCAGATGCATTTGCCACGGCCCTGTACAAGGGTTGGAAGGGGAGAGGGAGCCATAAATCATCTGCCCCACAGTCCTTATGAAAATATTAAAAATGCTCAAAATAGGTGTGGGCGGAGGCCAGTGAGCGGCAGGGCCAGCCCAGGGCAGCGTCACGAATAGGAGCTTCCCAGGCCGAATCGGAGCTCCCCGAAGGCTCCATCCTCGTAAATCAGCCTGGCCTCCGCTTCTCGCTGGCACTTCCCGCTCCGGCTTGCACGAGGGTGAGGGGGCTGCTGCTGGCCGGGTGGGATAGGGGCCTGGCTTAGCCTGGCCGGACACCCGAGGCCACAGACCCAGGCAACCCCACACCCCACGCACAGTCCGGGGATTACGCAACCTCGTCTTGATGTGACCAGAGAACACCATGTACAGGCAAAGCCCAGCCCCTCGGGCCCGCAGAAGACAAATAGCAGGGAGGAAGGAGCATAGGTGCTGCCCCGGGCAGGTCCGATTTTCCACCATGGGCCTCGGCTGCCGGCGAGTGGCCATGCTGGGGGGCTCGGCCCCGCACGTATATGGGGTGCTGGCAGGAGCTCCACGTGCTCTGAGACATCCCCCCTGGGTCTTGTCAGACTTCATCAGGGTGAGGCGGCTGGTGGGGGAGGATGAGAAGAAAGGACTTGAGGGTGGGGATTTGTGCCTGATTCCCACTTAATCGGGATAAGCTGCTTGGAGAAAATGGGCTGTTATAATCTCTCCTTTCATGTCTGGCCAGGAATGTTGCTACTCTACGCAGAGGGCGGCATCCAGGCTCCTAAGCCAGCTCAAGAGAGCCCAGGGGTCAGCTGTCCCAACATGACTCCGGCCATGGCTGGGGAAGGTCTCTGCCAGGAGAAATGGTACAAGTGGAATAAACAAGGAGGCAGCCTGCAGAAACAGGCCTGCACCACACCAGCCGCCAGGAGCTCTGTCTGCATTCCTGGAGTCGGAAGCCACCAAGAGGCAGGGCCCGGGCTTCAAGACAACGGCTCCTTACCCTCCGCATCCTAGACTCTCCTCCTCACACAGCACAGAGGCGTTTGAGCTACCTGGGACCAGCAGGTAGCTGTGCCTGCCAGCCCTCAGGGCCCTGACACAAACCCCAGCCAGCAATGTGCCTCTTTTGTAAGAGGGGACTTCCCAAAGAGCCTCCCATCCCTTCAGTCCTGATGCCTAGTCATGCCAAGATCCCAGGACGAGGGGGGTGCGGAGGCTGTTTGGAGTCTGTGTGACAACCCAAGCGTGACCCCCAGAATTGCAGCTGAGTGGCTGTGTGACAACCCAAGCGTGACCCCCAGAATTGCAGCTGAGTGGCTGTGTGACAACCCAAGCGTGATCCCCAGAATTGCAGCTGAGTGGCTGTGTGACAACCCAAGCGTGATCCCCAGAATTGCAGCTGAGTGGCTGTGTGACCCTGGCACGTGGCTGATGTCCTCATCTCATGTGGCAGGACGAGTAGATGCACACACGGTTGAAAGTTGGTCATTTCAAGGCCAGGGGCAGTGGCTCACACCTGTAATCCTAGCACTTTGGGAGGCCGAGGCGGGTAGATCACCTTAGGTCAGGAGCTCAAGACCAGCCTGGCCAACATGGCGAAACCCCATCTCTACTAAAAATACAAAAATTAGCCAGGTACAGTGGCAGGCACCTATAATTCCAGCTACTCAGGAGGCTGAGGCATGAGAATGGCTTGAACCAGCGAGGCGGAGGTTGCAGTGAGCTGAGATCACGCCACTGCACTCCAGCCTGGGCGACAGAGTGAGACTTCATCTCAAAAAAAAAAAGTTGGTCATTTCAGAAAGAGTGGACTACAGATCAAATCCAGTAGAGTTCCCCCCTCTAGACCTCACCTAAGTCAAATTTGCAGACACAGAGGGCGATTGGTGTCTCTCAGGAGCAGAGGGAGGGGAGGATGAGTTAATGTTAACAGAGAGAGTGTCAGTTTGGGAAGACGAAACATTCTGGAGATGCGTGGTGGAACGTATGTGTACTTAACGCCACTGTACTGTACACTGAGAATGGGCAAAATGGTAAATCCCATGTTAGATATATTGCACCACAACAAAAAACTCAAAACAAAGAAAGGGTGGACTACACTTATATATAAACACGACCTTGTTTGCAGAATTTAATTCATAATATATATAAACTGTGTAAAAATTGCATAAACATATTTAAAGTTTTAAACATAACAAAAACAATAACAAAGATTGAGAAGCTGGGTGGTGTCGGGGCGAGTCTGAGCCAAACCTCGTCTTTTCTAGTGTGTTTTGTTGGGGGGTACACAAATGGGTTTAAACAGCTAAATCAGCACCCAGGACAAATATTTCAATTAGCGCTATGGGAGAAACTCATCAGAAGAATTGAGCCCAGAGTGGCGTGGGGCTGGAGTAGGGTGGGAGAACTGGCGTCACCCCTTATACCTTCCTGCAGTATATAGCTAACATTTGATGATTACTAAATCATGTCTGCACATCACTTCACAATAACTTCAAACAGCTGCGATTCAATCACCCATGAAACGAGCTAAAACTTTCTCCAACAGAGACTTTAAAATCTTCAGGCAACTAACTTCTCTTCCAGGTGTTCCTGGTCTTGGCTTCCTGAGTTTGAACCTACAGATGTTTCTGACTTGAACTGGGTCCCCCACCGGGTTTGCAGCCTCAGGGGAACGGAGGACACAGTTTCCTTATCCCTCTGGGTGCCTTGTGTCCTCACCCTCTCCACCTCGCCATCCCTCTCCCCTCCGCATCGACTCCTCCTCACTCTCCAAGACACAGCTCTTGGGGAAGGAGGGCTGTAGCCCCAGCAGGATCCAGTCCCCTGGCTCCAGCCCCAGCAGGAGAAGCCCTGGGGAAGTGCAAAGGCAAACAGGAGTTTGCACACACACAGCCTAGGGAGCACAAGGCAGCCCCCGCTGCTGGGAGCCAGGAGGATGGAGGCCAGCCTCAGAGGATGAAAGCAGAGGTGTGGAGAAGAAGAGCGGGTGAGGGGAGGGCTCCGGGAGCTGATGGAAAGAGAGCCTGCTCCTGTGGCTCTCCAGACCCTCCCTTGCCCAACCCCCCTCCTCCTCCTTCCAGCCCCTACCTCCCCCTCCGCACTGCCTCCATGGGCACAGCAGGCATGCGATTAATATGCACAGCCAACTGAGGCCTGTGGCACCGTCCTGTGTCTCTGTGACTGGACAGTTGCCATCACACTGGACGCGGGGCGGTCCACGCTGCTGTGGGGCCTGCTTAGTGTGTGCCCACGGAGGGTCAGGGCATCTGTCCAAATCCGTCTCACACTGTGCCCTGGGTTCCACGTGGAGGGCGAGCGGGTTTCTCCAGCACCCCTCGTGCACATCAGTGTTCTGTGCTGATCCCTGCTGGGCAGTTTTATGCCCCGGTTGCCATTGGGTGGGCACGTGGCTGTCCTTAGTGTAGCAATGACTCTGAATTCTTCGGTACGATCACAGGAGCCATACACAGCTTCCTGCCCACAGGGAGCTCCTGGACATGGGGAGGCAGACGCCAAGGCAGCAGGCATGGCCCAGTAAACAGAGGGAAGTGACGGGGCTGGGCATGAACACAGGCGGAATTTGGGAAGCCTCTGTGACGATGCACTTTTAGTGGTCAGTGTCCCTCTGCTGCGCCCCTTGGTCAAATATCTAATGACGTGCACATGCATAGGGCATGAAATCATAAAACCAGACAGGGCTGTGGGATGCCCATATACAAGCCAACTTCCTTTCTTCACAAATAAGCTCAACACATGTGCTCAGAATGCTTATGTGGCCCGGCCCCAGGTAGAAAGCTGGTGAGGACCACGGCCTTAGACACACATTTACATATAAACCACTGTGTGCGGAGACAGGCTCTTCTCTTCTCTATTTTCCCTGAGGCAGGGACTGGGACCCTTAATTATACGTAAGAAAAATGGAAGGTGCAGGCACCGCCCTTGCTTACCTCTGTCCTAAGGGCTGGTGTGGGGAGCAGCACTCACCCCACTGCCTGCCTCCCTCCTGGGCCTTCGGTGCCCAGCAGTTGTTCCAGTTGAGAACCAGAAACATTTTGTCACACAAACACCACATGGTCCCCTGTCTTAATCCGTTCCTACTGCTGTAACAAAACATCTTGGGATGGGTGATTTCTAAATCATTGGTATTTATTTATCACCATTCTGGAGACTGCAAAGTCCAAGATGAAGGCACTGGCAGAGGCAGCATCTGGAGGGGCTTGCTCTCTGCTTCCGAGGTGGCGCTTGTCCCAGGTCCTCACGGACGAAGGGGCGGAAGAGACAATCAGGCTCCCTGGAGCCGTTTCATAAGGGTACTGATGCCATTCGTGAGAGTGGAGCCCTGAGGACCTAATCACTTTCTAAAGGCCCCATCTCGTAAGACTATTGCATTGGGGATTAAGTTTCAACATGAATTTTGGAGAGACACAAACATTCTAGCCATAGCACCCTCTAAACTCAGAGTTGGGTGCCTCTAATTTTCCTTACAGCAAGCATTGCCTGTGGACACTTACCAAGTGGCCAGCTGGCCAGAGAACTCATGCGCCAGCCAAGAAGGTCCGTGAAGAGGGCCTCGTGAACCCCCAGGGAACAGCCGCCAATGGCAAGACTTTTTCTGCATCCCCGCCCGGTGGACTCTGTCAGGCCTCACCCTCCTCACCCTCTGGCTTCATGCTGTTCCCTGGCAGTGGTGTTTTTTTGTTGTTGCATTCTTTCTTCCCAGCATTTAAGGATGAATTAAATTCTTTTCCTTTTTTTCCTGATGCAAAATAATAACAACCCAGAAAGGAAAAAAAAAATCCAGCTGATGAAAACTCCTGATGTGTCTAATAAATCTTTTCAAAGCATATTTGGAATTGGCCAGTCCAGTCGGGCACAGGACATGCTGCATTGGGGTGAGCGGCGGCCAGGCCGAGAGAAGGTGGCCCGTGGCGTGGCTGGGCCCGGAGTCCAGTTCTGCCACTTAGATCCGTATGGCCTTAAGCACACCCCTTATGTTTTGGGATCTCAGTTTTCCTCACTTGTAAAATGGAAATACCCATGGCCACCTCCCAGGCGGTGGTGAGGATGAAACACCCCGTGCATTGTAGGCCTCCGTTATAATCACAACCTCTGCCCGCTAGTAAGTCCCAGTGAATGAGGCCACCAAAGCATCCTCAAAGCCTGGAATTAAGAATGCGTCAGAGATGACCTGCAGGGCATGTACTTGTATCCCTGATTTGCAAATAACTCAACTGCGCCTCAAAGAGGTTCAGAAACAAGCCCAAGGCCACAAAATCAGAGAGTCTGAAACCACAGCCTCCTGCTTGGAAGCCAGCAATCTTTCCACGTCAGCTCGTCCTCGCCACCACATGAATTTCCTTTCTCCATAAGCCTTAAAGGAGCAGGAAAGGACTCACCGGGATGCCATTTCTTCCTCCTTCATCGCCCTCTCCCAGACCTCATCCAGAACCACACCAGGCTTCCTGCGGCCACTCTGAGAAGGACCAGGGCTCCCGGGGATGCTAGGGAGGAAGGCACCCAGCACTGGTTTCCTTTCTCCATCTCCAAGGTCACAACACTGGCCATGCCCTCTGCCAGCAACCCGGTCCCTGGCAGGTGTTGAGAAACAGGCGCTCTTGGTTGGGAGAAGCCAGGGAAGGGGCCTCCAGGCCCCAGCCTAGCACATACCAGGCGTTTCTCTTCATTCTCACTGCCGCCTGGGGCCGCGTGGCTGAGACTGTGCCCTCGCGTAGGGTTCCCATTTGGGCATTAGCTTCAGGGAGCACAGGACCAGGGCAAAATATTCAGCTTCTCTGTGCCTTGGTTTCTTCATAAAATGGGAATAAGGTAAGACCAGCCTTCTACAGTCTTGTAAAGGTTAAAGAATGATGCACACTGCTGGGTCCAAGACCTAAATCAGTGCTCAGATGTGCTGCAAGCTCTGTGGAGGAATGCAATCACCGGTACCATGACTTTGGTCTATGGCCCACCATCGGGTCCTCAGCCAGCCCCACGGAAGGGGCCCTGTTTTCTCTTGTGTAAGGGAGGACAGTCATACACACTCTGCCCACTTCAGAGTTGTTATAAGAATGACATTAAATCATGTCACGCGAGAGCTCATGTAAGTTCACACATCTATTTGTGCAGTCACCAAACACAGGCTGAGAGCCTACTGTGCATCAGGCACCATGCTAGGCACGGGGGATTCCCAGAGACAGATACCCAGATCCCAGACATACGGCGTTCATGGTCTGGCTGGGGAGGAAACACATAGCTGCCTCTGTGTGGTAAGGGCACCTTGTAAGGAGCACACATGGGTGGCCCTGGGCACAGACAGAAGGATGCTGGGGTGAGGAGTAGGGAGGCACCATGGAGAAGTGAGGTGTCATGGAGAAGTGAGGCAGGTGCCCAGCAGGGTAGGGCAAAGCTCTTTAGGCTGGCACACTGGGTCCCATGAGGTACATCAGCCCTGGAGACCTCGGGACAGCTGGGCGATGTCCACATCAACATGGGCTTCGAGCCATGATGAGGATCCACCACACACTCTGCACAGCTGACCCTGCACATCCTCTTGCAGAGCTTGGGAAGGACCCAGACAGGAAAGGAAGGAGGGCTGGAGCTGGGGTCTTCCCAGTGGAAACCTAGGCCATGGGGCTCACTATACAGTGGTACCGGAGGCACCTCTCAGATCCCAGTGGAAATGGCTTTGTGGAAGGCATAGATTTCGTAGGTGAACAAAGCTGGTCTCACTCCCAGTCTCATCGTTCAACAGCTGTTTGATGAACAGCACTTGTGTCACCTGGTAAGTCTCCACTCCTCACTGTCAACGGGGTCAAGACCTCCTACCTCCACCGGACTGTTGTCAAGACTGAGATGAATGCAAAGTGCCTCGCCCAGCGCCTGGCTCAGAGAACTGACTTCATAAATGGCCGCTCTCATTAGTAATAATTTTATAATAAGAACAAAGACAGAGTTGGTGACATGGGAGTATTTCTGAACTCAGACTAACAGGGAAACAACATCCAGGTTTCCTAGGGGCCCAGCCATCTGTGTTCGAATAAAAACGTGAATTAGCCAACAATGTTCGCCAGCCCCACCATGTACCTGGCAAATGTTTACTGGCTTTCTCTGCTCTGTCGGACCTGGAGGAAAAGTAGAATCAGAAATTCCTCTGCAGGAGCTCTGTTCTGTTTCACTTCCAGAAACCACTGGCTGTCAGGCCACTGCAGTACTCGCACACTCCAGTTCGGGAAAGAAGTCCCAGTTCCTGGCACGGCGAAGGCTTTCCCTCAATCTGTAAGCAAGACCTGGTCACTGAAGACACAGTGAATGCAACTCTCCTTCTTGGGTGGCTCTCCTGGAAGAGACACTCATCAAAGAAGTCGCCATTCCTAGGCATCGAGTTGTGTCATACTGGTGACTTAGCTTGATAATGAAAATCTCAAGAATCAAACTACTCCAAAAAATAAAATTCAGCCAAAGTTTTCCCCAAACCCCTCTACATCAAAAGTCAGCAAACTATGGCCCAAGGGCCAAATTTAACCCACCACCTGGTTTTTGTAAATAAAGCTTTATTGGCACACAGCCACGTCCATTTCTTTATATATCACCTATGGCTGTGTTCACACTACAGTGGCAGAGTTGAATTGTCGGCTGTGACAGAGACCCACAGAGCCCACGATGTTCACCATCTGGCCCTTGCAGAGAAAGTGGGCTGGCCCCCGCTCCACATAAACATGGGACAGGTGTCAGCCTCCCCAACCCCACGCTGCCATGGCCTCTGGCAGGGGTCTGATGCTCCTCTGATCCTGAGCAGAGATGGCAAGTAGGTCCCCCTGAGCGGCAGGGTGGGGTGCAGACTGCATTTCCAGGCTCGTCTGCAAGAGCTGAGTTGACTGGGGGGCAACGGACATCTCCCTGAAAATCTTGGCTGGTGTCCAGTGGACAATTTGCATGTGGAGCCTGGAAATACTGGAGTGTGGTCTCACACACCTAACCCATATTAGCAGCTCCTTAGATGACAGTGATAAAAGCTTCCATTTGGCAACCGCTTTTATGTTTATAAAGTGGTTCGTATCCCTTGTTTCACTTAGTTCTCAGGTCAATCTCATGAGGCACCTTGTTTCTTAATTTGCAGCTGAGGAGACTTACTCAGAGGGTGATGTGTGGTTACCTGCATGGCCCGTGGGGCAAAGATTTCCTGACGTAATAATCCAGGTCTTGCCACACTGCACTCCCCCAGGCTCTGAGCGACCCCTGAGGCCACCTCCAGAGGCCCGGTGTGGGAAGAGGGTTCCAGGGGACCACTGTGCTCCACGCTGAGCTTTTCAGCAACCCTACCTGAGTGCTGTGAGCCAGCGGTGGTCATCCATCCTATCTCAGAACTCAAAATAAACATTGACCACTCTTGGTCCTAAAAAAACGTTAGGACCACAGCGGGGTGAGCAGGGGCAGAAGGCAGTGAGGAGAGCCTCTCAGTAGAGAGGAAAGGCTGAGAGCAGAATTAGAGAGGGAGCCAGCAGAGGCCGGGGCTGCCCAGGCCGGCCCTCCGACCCTCCCTCTACTGCCCAGGCCGGCCCTCCAACTTCCCTTTCTGCTGCCCGTTTCCTGAGTCCTGGCTGAGCCTCTGGAACATGGAAGAGGCCACGATTTAGAATCACATGGGGATTGTGTTTCATTGTGTGTGAGTGTGCCCCTCCCATGACCCCAGGGGAGGAGGCTCCTTGCCCCTTTCAGACTCTGGTGCTTCAGGCATTCCTTGGTTTGTGGGAACAGAACTCCAGCCTCTGCCTCCGTCTCCGCATGGCCTCCCTGTTTCCATGTGTCCTTTTCTGTCTCCTATAAGGACACCAGTCATTGGGTTTAGGGCCCACCCTAACCCAGCAGGTTAATTACACCTTTCTTTAATTACACCTGCAAAGACCTTATTTCCAAATAAGGTCACCCTCTGAGGTTCCAGGTGAACACGACGTTTTTGGAGGGTCAGGATTTTGCCACGGAAGGGTTGCCGTGAACAGATTGGTGATTGTCAGGAGAGTGGAGTGTGCCTGGCTCTGGGCAGTTCTGTTCGTGCTCCCTGGCGGAGGCGGCAGCAGGAGGGCCCTGTTACCTGTATTCCCACCTGTCCAGGACTCCGCGTGGACTTCAGTCCAACCCCTAACATGGCTCACAGGCCTCTTCACCATCTGCTGTCTGCGGACAGCTTCATCTGCCTCCCACGCTCCTTCGGAGCTCACTGACCTCTCAGGTAGACCCTGCTTTTCAGCATTCACTGCCTTTGCCCCGCTGCTGCGGCCGGGCTGCCCTCAGCTTCCCACGTGGCCCACAGTCCACTCAGTTCCTGCGTTCCACACCGACCCTCCTGCCGCGTGTGGGCTTGCCTGTCTGTCTTCCCTACCAGATGACAAATGCCGCTTAGAACCACCGCTGGGTCTCATTGATCCTGAACCTCCACTGCCTAGTAAAGTTTTCCTCCTTTTAAACCTTTACCTTGACAGCTCTTTTCTAGATTCATTCAACAAATGCACCATTAATTTATGACAACGAAGACTAAACCAGACCTGGAATGCTCAGTTAGTGATTAGCGACACCCTGTCTTGAACCACCGCGTGACTAAGGGCAGAGCCAAGCTGTCTCTATCTTTGTTTCTGGCAGTCGGAGGATCAAGGCACTAATACGCTTACTGTGCCCAGACAGCCCTCCTTTTACCTGGCATCCCATTCACTCATTCCGTCGTCTGTGCAACAAACACTGACCACCCCTCCAGACAAGGACTGAGATGCCCGACACCCGATTCCTGCCTTGAAGGAGCTCTCTGTCTAACGGGAAGACAGGACAGGAACCCACGCAGCCAAAATCAACTGCAGAACGCAACTTCCTTCACTAGTGTCTATAACAGCCTTGTCACAGGGTGATAATTGCTGCATCTACTTTCCCTCGACGGCAGACATTGAACAGTAGGCACTCAGTAAGTATTCGGTGAATGAATAAACAATTACAGAAGAGCGCTGCCAGATGCAGATGGCAGGAGGAAGAAGAACCACAGACTCCTCCTCCTCCTCCAAGACCCAACCAAAGGAAAAGAATTCATTAGAGCAAAATTCACTAGCAATAACCACCTTGTGCCATAAACATGAAAAAGGGCAGCCAAGGGAAAAGCAGGAGATGCTGGTTTGGCACAAGGTCGTGTGATTCCTAACCCCACCCTCAACCCCTGGAAGCTTTCCTAAGGAAAGAAATTGAGACTGAGAATTCTCCCAGAACTCCTGCAGTGGGCGGCCTATGGGGCAGGGCTGCAGGGACAGCCAGGCAAAAGTGAAGTTAGAGCTCTCAGGAGTAGAAGTTCCTGCACTTCACAATGGGAGCTCAGCAAGGGAAACACATTTGGCATTTTCCAGGGCGTGAGGCTGCCAGATTTAGCACATGAGAAGGTGCCAAAATGTCCCCTTGGGGACATACTTATACTTAAAAAATTATGCATTGTTTATCTGAAATTCAAATTCAACTGGGCATCCTGTATTTTATCTGGCAAGTCCACCAGGGCACTGTGCTGAGTTAGAATAACAATTTGTGGCCTGTGGGAGGGAGAACATGCCCACAGCTGAGTGAAGTGGTCCTGGGACAGAACACTCAAGGGAGGTGTCCAACAGGGACCACCTCCGCTACCCCTCACTCCCTGAAAACTTAGACAATAGGATATCTGATTGAGAGTAGTCTTCAAAGTACAGCCCAAGGAGAGAATGACAAACTAGCCCCCGGTAAGATGGGGAAACGTATCACAGAATGCATCGCACAAATAGGAAAGCTAGATGGAGCTGCCTCTGCCATATATCATGAAAAGAATGAAAAATAGCAAGGCGATAAATGCACATGTACTACCCAAAGAAGGATGGGAAGGGAGGAGAGAGAACAAAGAGGAAGGGAATGAGAGAAATCGTTGAAGAATAAAGTCTGGGAGAAAACGCAGGATCAGATTCCCTGTGAGTGCTGCATACCAAAGAATGAATGGCTGGCTGAATAGATAGATAGATAGACAGACAGACAGATACATAGATAGAGAGATAGAGAGATAGATAGATAGATACATACATACATAGATACATAGAGAGATACATAGATACATAGATAGATGATAGATAGATGATAGATAGATAGATAGACAGATAGATACATAGATACATAGAGAGATACATAGATACATAGAGAGATAGATAGACAGATAGATGATAGGCAGATAGATAGATGATGGATAGACAGATAGATGACAGATAGATGATAGATAGGCAGACAGATAGATGATAGGCAGATAGATACAGATAAATTAGATATATAGACAGATAGATTAGATAGATAAATTAGATACATAGATACGTATGCATATGTTTGAATATATCTATATCTACATATAATATATATGTATACATTTGTATATATGAATACTACTCATATATATATATATATGAATACAACTATACAAAAACCAAAAGGTGCAAGTATAAAATAAAAGAATAATATTGACCAGCTAAGAAACCTTAGAGCCAATTTATAAATCAAATAAATAAATTACAAACAAGAAGAGATCTGACACTTGGAAACTAAATTAATGACATGGAGTTATGATCTGAGGTCATGACCGGAAATGCAGAAGAAAAAAAATAAAGAGTTGGGAGTGATTAAAGAGAAGATCATGGATATGGAGGACAGGCAGGGCATTCAAACGAAGGAAAACAAATGTCCCTCAAGCAGACAACTCACTAAATGGAATAGAAGACATTATTCCAAGATATAACACAAGACATTTTTCCTGAAGTGAAGGAAAAAGTGGATATACCAATTGAAAGATTACTAATATACCAGGAAGGCTTCAGATATACCCTGGTTGTTACTAAGCACCAATCAATGTCAAAGAGCTCATTATTTAAGCATAAAACTAGAAAAAAGCAAATAACTTACAAGGTGGAAAAAATCTGTTAATCTCAGACATCACAGAATCATTCAGCAATAGAAGACAACAGAGCAATTTCTTACTTTGCCAAATTACCCTTCAAGAAGAAAACAAAAGGCAAGCATTCTCAAACATTAAAGAATTCAGTAATATAAAACCTATGAATCCTTCTCAAAGGAAACACTGAAACAATAATCCAGCTAAGCAAAAGATGAGTAAAATTTTAAAAACTCTAGTATAGGTGAGCCTTGGTAAAGAGGTGTCAGTGAGCAATGCAGATGTTTGCAACTATAGCAGAAATCATACAATGGAGAATTATGCTTTGCTGATGGTAAATATTATAAACTCCGGTGCAGCAGACAGGGAGGTGCTCCTCTCAGACCCCTTTCAGGACCTAATGGGGGATCCCGACTTCAGGATCCAGCTGTAAGGGGTTAGGCAACAGCCTCCAGCTGTTAACTCTCAGCTTCTGAGCCAAAGTCATGCTCTTCTTGGGGCAGCCCCCAGCCAGTGACTGAGCAAGTCAGCGATGGAGGGGCCTGGTCTGTTCCACCCAAAGTGGGTCTCCTCTGAGGGACAGTCTTTGCTCTGGAGCCTCTCACTGGACTGGCAGAGTTTCCTGGTCTGCATCAGAGGCTGACCGCTTTCCCTGCCCTTTTCTTCCACAAGTGTTACTCCCTAATAACCTTTGCGCTTCCCTTTATTCTTGAAGAATCCAAGCCTGCACACATAGCAAAGCAAAAATAATATATGCAACAAAAATAGGTAGACTGAGAAAGGAGGAATGGAGTGGTGTAAGGAAGCCACTCACCTCATTTTCTACAGTGGGGAGTTAAGACGTACTGCAAAAAATTAAAGCATAATGAGACCGGGAGCAGTGACTCACACCTGTAAATCCCAGCACTTTGGGAGGCTGAGGCAGGTGGATCACTTGAGGTCGGGAGTTCGAGACCAACCTGACCAACATGGAGAAACCCCGTTTCTACTGAAAGTACAAAAAACTAGCCAGGCATGGTGGCACATGCCTGTAATCCCAGCTACTCGGGAGGCTGAGGCAGGCAAATCGCTTGAATCCGGGAGGCGGAGGTTGTGGTGAGCTGAGATCGTGCCAGTGCACTCCAGCCTGGGCAACAAGAGCAAAACTCCGTCTCAAAAAAAAAAAAAAAAAAAATTAAAGCATAATGAAAAAAACAACCTACTGACTCATCTGCTTATTAATTTTTAAAATCTTTTTTCTTAACCTAAGCAGGATATTTACAGACGAATATCTCTTATGGTAAGGAAATTAAAGTCAGCTATTTCATTAGAGTTTTCCTTCTTTTAAACTCAATTAAATTTTAATATTTTAATCATGTAAAATATAATGCTATTTAAAAAATAATTTTACCTTGTATATATATAATTTTAAATTGTACCATATATGTGTATATATATTAATCTATTCTTCTATCTAGTCATAGAAATTTGGCATGATGTTCATCAAACACTAACTCTGTTTCTGCGTAATGAGCAACTTGTTGGTTTCCTGTTTGTACTTCTCTGTTTTGATTTAGTTTATGTAACATTCATGCAAAACTTTTTTAAAAACAATAAAGCCATTACTTTAAAAATAATAACTGTAACAACAATATATAGCTTACATTTAACAGAAGTTTACATGTATTAACTTTTTCATAACTCATAAGCAGGTGAGTTACCACCATTATAATATATTAAAATAAAGAAAATAAAGCCATTGTTTAAATAGAATCTATATAAAATATCACTAGACTAATTAGTTTAACAAGATGCTGGCTGCATACACATATACATTGCATTTCTGTACACCATCAGCAAACACTTGGAATCAATAAGAAATAAGTGACTATAAAAGGTGTCTACCTTTTATAATAGCAATCAAACCCAAAAGGTATCCAGAAATGGTTCTAATTAGAAATGCATAAGATCTTTATGCCTTAAACTTTACTGAACTCTAGACTTATTGAACTCTGTTGAAATACATTTAAAAATACCTAAGTAAACGGAGAGATAGCCCATGTTTATAAATATGAACACTCAATATCGTGACAATGTCAATCTGCCCCCAAAGGGGGGTTATGATCCAATGACAATTTCAGCTGGGTCATTTTGTGGAAATTGACAAGCTGATTCTAAAATGTATATGGAAAAGAAAATGGTCAAGAATGGATAAAGTACTCTTGAAGAATTAGTTAGAGATTTGTCCTAAAATAAAGGCTTATTCATAAAGTAAGAGCAAATAAGGTAGTGTGATATTGGTGCAGAGATAGACAAACTGACCACTGGGACAGAATAGAGGCTCTAGAAAAAGACCAACACATATATGGAGCTTTGGGATATGACAGAGGTTGCTTTGCAGATTAGTGAGGAGGGGAGAACTGTACCTCCTATGCCATTTGTTAATGGTGCTGGTACAAACAGCTATCCATTTAAGAGAAAATGAAATTAGATTTCTATTTCAAGTCATAAACAAAAATCAATTCTAAATGGATTAAAAGACCAAAACATGAAAAAAAGTTTAGAGAAAATATTAGGCAATATATTTTTATCTTAATGTAAGGAAAGATTTCTTAAGACACAAAAAATATTAAACATAAAACAAAAAATTAGGCCAGGTATGGTGGCTCATACCCGTAGTCCCAGCACTTTGGGAGGCTGAGGCAGGAGGATTGCTTGATGCCAGGAGTTTCAGGCCAGTCTGAGCAACCTAGTAAGATCCCATCTCTACAAAAACTTTTTAAAAAAATTAATGTGGTATGTTGGCACATCTGAGGTCCTAGCTACTTGGGAGGCTGAGGTGGGAGAATCACTCAAGCCCAGGAGTTCAAAGCTGCAGTGTTTTGTGATCATGCCACTGCACTCCATCCTGGGCAAGAGAATAAGACCCTATCTCCAAAAAACCCACAAATTAATAAACTTTAAATAATTATAATAGACAATTTATATTAATCAAAAGCCACCATAAAACAATGGAAAGAAAGCCACAGACTGGGATTTAATGCTTGAAACACATATAAAGAACATAGCACTAGTATCTAAAATACATAAGGAACTTCTTCAAACCAATTAGAAAAAAGTTATATTAAAAATGAGCAAAACACATAGTCATTTTACAGAAAAAGCACAAGTGCCAATACATTTATAAAAAGGGGCTCAATATCATCAGTAATCAGAAAAAAATACAAAATAAGGTCATAATAATCAACCATTTTACACTTTCTTCGCAAAAATTAAAAAGTCTGACTGCATTACGTGTTGGAGAAGATATAAACAAATACTTTTTTATTTTTTGAGACAGGATCTTGCTCTGTTGCTCAGGCTGGAGTGCAGTGACAAAGTCATGGCTCACTGCAGCCTTGACCTCCTGGGTTCAAGCAATACTCCTGCCTCAGCCTCCCAAAGTGCTGGGATTACAAGTATGAGCCACCATATCTGGCCCAACAGATACTCTTATACATGGCTAGTAGGAGTATGAATTGATACAAACACTTTGGAAACCAATTTGGCATTATTTTGTAAAGTTGAACACTTGCATACTTAACGACCCAAAAACCCCCCTCCTAGGTATATATCTATAAAAGAAACTAACCCAAACACCCCTCACAATGGAATATTATGCAACAATGAAGATAAATAAACTACAGCTACATGAAGCAACATAATATTTTTATAGAATTCAAAAGCAAATAAAATTAAATAATATATCCTTAGGCATTGCCTTAGTCTGTTTAGTGTTGCTGTAAAGGAATACCTAAAGCTGAGTAATTTATAAAGAAAAGAGGTTTATTTGGCTCACACTCTTCTGGCTGAAAGACTGGGCACCCTGTGAGAGCCTCAGGCCACTTCCACTCACAGCAGAAGGCAGAGGGGAGCCGGTGTGTGCAGAGATCACATGGTAAGACAGGAAGCAAGAGACAGGGCAGGGGCCAGGCTCTTTTTAACAACCAAATATTGTGAGAACTAATAAAGTGAGAACTCACTCATTACTGTGTGGCAGTGTCAAGCCATTCATGAGGGATCTGTCCCCGTGACCCGAAGACCTCCCATTAGGTCTCATCTCCAACACTGGGAATCAAACTTCAACATGAGGTTTGGAGGGGACAATCATCCCCATATGATAGCAGGCATAAAAATAAGACTGACTTTTTTTTTTAAGTAAGGGTATATAAGAAATTGATAGAAAGTAGTGATTATCTCTGGGAGAGGCAGGAAGCAAATAGGTGCACTTATTGGTTTGTAGGTTGTTTCTCCCTCTGCTTTACAGTCTAAATATATGTCAAACATCATCTTTTGTATGATTCATGTATTCAAAGCACAGAGAGGTTAAGTCATTGTTCAAGGCCATGGAGGCCATAAGAGAGAGAGCTGGGGACAAAGGCCCAGAGTCCTGTCTCACCTCCTGCACTGCATTCTCCCCTCCAACACTTTCTCACAATGCTTAATGAGCTCCCTAAAAAGAAAGGGCTGTGCAGTAGAAAGAAAGATCAAATTATGTCAATTCCAAATATCTTCCACTTTAGTGATAGTAGTCCAAACCAGCAGAAGTAAAAGAGGAAAATGAACAGAGAAAATAAAAATGATTGTGGCTCAAGCCCCTGGAACGTGTTTGCAGACCTGGCAACCGAGACTTCTCACTGGCAATGATGGGTGAAAAGTGCAAAGCTGTATGTAACCCAGCCTTTTGATTTTGGAAGGAAAAATCTCCATTTTTCTAAATATTTAGCCACCAACTCCTGAAGAGTCCTTTCAGAAGAACACTGTGAACATCAGCAGCCATGAACAAGAGCACATATCCCAGACCCCAGCAGGAGTGTTTAATGGGTAGGCTCAGCCTCTGTGAGGGGCCAGCACAAACTTTGGAGAGACTGCCTCAGACCATTCCACTCCCCTGTGCTTAGAATACATCTTCATTTTACTTAAGCCCTTACCTCTAGGACTAGAATTCAGTATCTGTAGCACTTAATTTCTTCATGTTGAAAGCACTTTTCATTTCCTTAAAAATCACCTCTTTGCTGAGTATACAAGTAACATATGTTTACTCTAGAAAATATGAAAAATACAGATAAATAATAGGAAAGAAGAATAAACCATATGCAATCCCAACCTATGAAAATAATAGCTGTATCAACTGGGTGCATTTCCTTCTAGTCTTTTTTTCTATGTACAGGTACCTACGTATTGATGTGCGTGTTTATATGTATATTTTCCTACCTAACTGAGATCTTCTTGTACACATAGTCATTAAGTACATTTTGACTTCAAAACAACACGGCTCCCTCTCCTCAATTCATTGATAATGCTCTCTGCCTTTCTTTCCATAGCCTGTGACCACATCAGCTATATCCTATGCTAGGATTAGGGTGGTAATGATTTCATTACAATCCTTTGTGACCTGCCCTGTTTCTTTAATTTTTCACAGTTCTTCAGATCAGAGACTGTCCTGAGCCAAATACAATCTGATGAGCTCTCTCAAGACTGGGTGACGGGCACTTTAGGAAACAGTACAGCTGGGGGAAGGGAATTTGCAATAATAATCAGCAATGTGCATTTATATAGTGGTTTGAGCTATATGATTCTTTTCCAGGGAGAAATATAGCTGTTATTCCTATGGACAAGGAAGGGCACGACAAGTTAATCTACTGGCCTCTTCAGTTGTACTGCCAGAAATTAAATCCCCACCTTGAAATTCACTAAGCCTGAGTTTTCTCATCAATAAATTGGAGATAATAAAAGTACCTGACTACTATGGTCTGAATGTGTCTCACAAAATTATGTGTTGGAAACTGAATTCCCAATGCAACAGTGTCAGAAAGTGAGGCTTCTCTCTCTTTTTTTTTTTTTTTTTTTTTTTTTTTTTTGACGCAGTCTTGCTCTGTCGCCCAGGCTGGAGTGCAGTGATGGAGGTGAGGTCTTTTGAAAGGTGTTTGGGCAGAGCCCTCATGAATGGATTAATGTCACTATGAAAGGGCTTGACACAGTGTTCCTCTCCTCCAGAGGTCTCAGCATTCAAGGTGCCATCTTGGAAGCAGAGAGCAGCCCTCACCAGTTGCTGGAAGCTTGATCTTGGAATTCCCAGCCTCCAGAACTGTGAGAAATCAATTTCTGTTGCTTATAAATTACCCATTATCAGCTATGCTGTTACAGCATCACAAAGACACTAACTTATATGATTATGACGTGACAACTAAAAGATTTAGCACATATAAAGAAGACATCTAGCTTACTCCCTGGCATATAATGAGTATTAAGTAAATGTTGCTACTATTAGTGTTGTGGTTACTGTTGATAATGGTGGTGATGATGATAACAATGATGACAAATAAGTATTTTTAATCCATTTTGAGGATTAAAGGTATCATTTTTATACAATAAAATGGACTCATTTGAAGTCTCCAGATGATTGTATATACTTGGTGACCAGGTACAGAATATTTCCATCATTCCAAAAAGTACCCATAGACCCATTTTCAGCCAACTGCTTCTTCCCCTTGCAATGACAACCCCAAATATTGTACATTAGATCTGTTGTTATACATTAGATCTGTCTTCGCAGCGATTCATACAAAGAATTCCATTTTATCCTAATTGTTGGCTTATTAGCTATATGTCTTTGTTTTGTATTTTAATGGTTGTGTGAGGGTCCATAGCATACATCTTCACTTATTATATTATCACCTTCAAATAATACCATTTCACATAGAAGAACTTTACTTCTATTTCTCTTAACTCAATCTTGATGCTATTTAATACATGTAATTTACACTTATCTCATAAACCCCAAACTTCGTTGTTATAATTTGTGTTCGAACAGCCAACTATCTTTAAAGAGATTGAAATAATAATAAACCGTCTTCTATATTTACCCATGTAGTTACCATTTTTTGTCTTCTTCATTCCTTTGAGTTGATCCACATTTCCATCTGGTATCATTTTCATTTTGCCTAAAGGACTTTCTTTAACATTTCCTGTAGTGTCAGTCACTAATAATAAATTATTTTGGATTTTTGTATGTCTGAAATCAACTTTATCGCTCCTTCACATTTGAAACATTTGAAAATCTCTGGGTGTAGAATGCTGGGTGGATAGTATTTTCTTTTCAGTACTTTAAAGGTGTTGCTCCACTGTCTCCTCACTGACATCATTTCCTATGATAAATCTGCTGTCATCCTTATCTTTTTTCCTCCACACTTCCACATCTTTTTTTCTTTACCCCTTATAACACTTTCTTTATTGGTTTTGACCAACTTAATTATGATTAATTATTGACGTATTTTTCTATCATATTTCTTCTCCTTGGGGTTCATTGAGATTCCTGGATCTGTAAGTTGACAGTTTTCATAGAAACTGGAAAATTTGGGGTTATTACTTCTTGAAATGTCTTTGCTGTCTCCCCTACTCCCCCCATTTTCAAAGATTCCAGTTACACTTATATTAGGCCACTTGAAGTTTTTCCAGAATCACTGATGCCCTGGGGTTGTTTTTAAGTTCTTTTCTTCTCTGTGTGTTTCATTTTGGATAGTTTCTATTGCTATGTCTTCAAGTTCCTTAATCTTTTTTTCTGTAATGTCTGATCTTCTGCTAATCCAATCCATTGTATTTTTCATCTCACACATTGTAGTCTTCATGTCTATATATATTACATATCTTCCATGTCTCTACTTAATTTTGTTAACATATGGAATACAGTTATAATAACCATTTTAATGCCCTTGTCTGCTAAATCTAACAACTTTGCCAGTTCTTGACGAATTTTGATGGATTGTTTATTCTCCTCATGATGGGTCATGTTTTTCTGCTTCTTTGCATGTCTGGTAATCTGTGATCAGATGCCAGACATTGTGAATTTTACCTTGTTTGGTGCAGAAGTATTTTTATTTATTTCTATAAATATCCTTGAACTTTCTTGGCATAATTTGAGGTTGACATTAAGTTACTTGGAAACAGTCGATCCTTTCAGGTCTTGTTTTTATGATTTATTAGGTGGGTCTGGAACAGTGCTCAGCCTAAGTCTAATTATTCCCCACCACTGAAGCAAGACTTTTCTGAGAATTCTACCAGTGGCCCATGAGTTATGAGTTTTTCCAGTCTGGCTGGTGGAAGCAGGCATTATTCCTGGCCCTGTACGCGTGCCTTTTGGGTGTTTTCTCCCAACTTCAGGTAATTTCCTCACATGCATATGTTCATCAGTGTTCTGCTGAATACTACAGAGGGAACTTCTGCAGTTCTCTGGAGTTCATCCTGTGTACTTACCTCCTCCCCACTGTCTGCACTGCAATTTCTAGATACCTTGGTTTTCCCAGACTCTCAGCTCCTTGTCCTCAACTTAGCAAGCCAGCCAGGCTCTATCTGGGTCCTCCTTCCTTGTGCTGCAGCCTGGAAACTTTGTCAAGGCAGTAAGTAAGCTGGGGAAATCCTAGGGCTCACTCAATCATTTCCCATTTCTTGGGAACCTATGTCCTTTGTTGCCTGATATCCAGGGACTTAAGAACTATTGTTTCATATTTTTGTCTGGTTTTTCCTTTTTGATTTTTGCATTGTTTCAGGCAGGGGAGTAAACAGAGCCCCTGGGACCCTATCTTGTGTGGAAGCAGCAATATCAAAAGAAATATTTTTAGCCCCTTGAGCTTAAAGGTATACTTTTTTTAGAAAATGCATTTTTAATTAATTTGAAAATTTATAATTGACACGGAATAATTATATATATTTATGGGGTACAGTGTAATGTAGGCCTATTTTAAGTCTCCAGAAGAGTTTTTCTAATATTAATAAGATTTTTGACTTCATAGTACTGAATTTTAAAAATTCTTTATATATTCTAGGTACAAGATTTTGTAAGTTGTGTATGATGAACATTTTCTTCCATTCTTTGTCTTGGCTTATAATATTCTTAACATTATATTCTGAAGAGTAAGTTTATGACTTTGATTAATTTCAAATTAATTTTCTAAATGTTAGGATTTTTGTATCTGTGCCTTATCTAAGAAATTGTTGCCTACTTCAGGGTCACAAGATTTTTCCAATGTTTTGTTCCACAAATTTTATTCTTTCAGATTTTAGGTATAGGTCTATACCTCGCTTGAAGTTAGCTTTTTTTTTTAATATGGCATGAGACAAGAGTCAAGTTTTACATTTTTCCATATGGATATACAGGTGTTTCAGCAACACTTGCTGCATCTTAAGTCCCCCATTGAACCTTACTACTTTTGTCAAAACTCAATTGACCACATATGCCTGGTCTATTTCTAGACCCCTTTATTCTGCTCCACTAATCTATATGTCTAACCTTATGCCAACAGCACATTACCTTTCTTTTTTACTTTAATTTTATTTTACTTTTAGTTATGAGATACACATGCAGAACGTGCAGGTTTGTTACATAGGTATACTTGTGCCCTGGTGGTTTGCTGCACTTATCAATCCATCATCTAGGTTTTACACCCCACATGCATTAGATATTTGTCCTAATGCTCTTCCTCCCCTTGCCCTCCACCCACAAACAGGCCTCGGTGTGTGATGTTCCCCTCCCTGTGTCCATGTGTTCTCATTGTTCAACTCCCACTTATGGGTGATAACATGCGGTGTTTGGTTTTTGTTCCTGTGTTAGTTTGCTGAGGATGATGACTTCCAGCTTCATCCAGGTCCCTGCAAAGGACACGATCTCATTCTTTTTTGTGGCTGCATAGTATTCCATGGTATATATGTATGACATTTTCTTTATCCAGTATATCATTGATTGGGTATTTGGGTTGGTTCCATGTCTTTGCTATTGTAAATAGTGCTGCAATAAACATACGTGTGCATGTGTCTTCATAGTAGAATGATTTATACTCCTTTGGGTTTACACCCAGCAATGGGATTGCTGGGTCAAATGGTATTTCTGGTTCTAGATCCTTGAGGAATTGCCACACTGTCTTTCACGATGGTTGAACTTACATTCCCACCAACAGTGTAAAAGTATTCCTATTTCTCTACAGCCTCACCAGCATCTATTGTTTCTTGACTTTTTAATAATGGCCATTCTGCCATTCTGACTGGAATGAGATGGTATCTCATTGTGGTTTTGATTTGCATTTCTCTAATGATCAGTGATGTTGAGCTTTTCTTCATATGTTTGTTGGCCACATAAGTGTCTTCTTTTGAGAAGTATCTGTTCACATCCTTTGCCCACTTTTTGATGGGGTTGTTTTTTTCTTGTAAATTTGTTTAACTTCCTTGTAAATTCTGGATATTAGACCTTTGTCAGATGGCAGATTGTGAAAGTTTTCTCCCATTCTCTAGGTTGCCTGTTCACTCTGATGCTAGTTTCTTTTGCTGTGCAGAAGCTCTTTAGTTAATTAGATCCCATTTGTCAATTTTGGCTTTGTTGCAATTGCTTTTGGTGTTTTCATCATGAAGTTTTTGTCCATGCCTATGTCCTGAATGGTATTGTCCATGTTTTCTTCTAGGGCTTTTATGGTTTTGGTTTTGGGTTTTACATTTCAGTCTTTTTTTGAGACAGAGTCTTACTCTGTTGCCCAGGCTGGAGTGCAATGGCGCAACCTCGGCTCACTGCAACCTCTGCCTCCCGGGTTCAAGTGATTCTCCTGCATCATCCTCCTGAATAGGTGGGATTACAGGCACCTACCATCATGCCCAGTTAATTTTTTTTGTATTTTTGTAGAGACGCAGTTTCACCTTGTTAGCCAGGCTGGTCTTGAACTCCTGACCTCAAGTGATCTGCCCACCTCAGCCTCCCAAAGTGCTCGGATTACAGGCGTAAGCCACCGCACCCAGCCACATTTAAGTCTTTAATCCATTTTGAGTTAATTTTTGTGTAAGGTTTTGGGGGAAAGTGTGTTATTACTAAATCAGTTTCAATAATGAATGTATACGGCATAAGGAAGGGGTCTAGTTTCAGTTTTCTGCACGTGGCCAGCCAAACACTACATTATCTTGATTACAGAAGTCTACATTATCTTGCTACAGAAGCTTTATAGTAAGTCTTGAAGTCAGGTAGTCTAAGTCCTCCAACACTGTTATACTTATTTAAAATTACTTTGACTATTCTACGTCCTTTGCAACCCCATATAAGTTTTAGAAACAGTTTATTCACTTCTGCCAAAAAGCAATTATGTTGGGGGCTTTACTGTGATTGCACAGAATTTATAAATTAACTGGATGATAATGAACATCTTTACATTATTGAATCTTCCAATACATAAACATGGTATATCTCTTTATTTAGGTCTACGTCAGTTTCACTCAGAAGTGTATTGTTTTTAGTGTCCTTGACTATTTTGGTGAATTTATGCTTAATTATTCCAAGTATTTCTTATCTACTATAAATTACTTACCAGCATACAGAAATGTACATTTCCTAAAATGCTGCTAAACTCACTTATTAGTTCTAGTAACCTTTTCAATCAGGTTTCTTAGGATTTTCTTCAGTCGTCTGTGAATAAAGACGGTTTTATTTTATCTTTTTAAATCTGTATGCTTTTCATTTCTTCTGATTACCTTACTAAACCGGCTATGACTGCCAATAAAATGTTGAATAAAATTGGTGAGAGTGGACCCCTTTGCCTTCATTCTCATTTTAAGGGAAAATATTCAGTCTTTTACTATTAAGTATCAGGTTTAGCTATAGGATCTTCAGAGATGCTCTTAATCAAATTGAGAAAATTCCCCTCTGTTTCAGTTTACTATGAGCTTTTATCACGAATGGGTATTATATTTTGTCAAATACCTTTTCTGAAACTATTGAATTAAGTATATGGTTTTTTTCCTTTCATTCTGTGAATAATGAATTACATCAATTTTTTGTAATGTTAAACCAGCCTTACATTTCTGGGGTAATCCTACTTGATCATAGTATTCTTTTGATATATTGCCAGATTTAATTTGATAATATTTTGTTAAGGATTTTTTGCTTCTAAGTTCATAAGAGTTATTGGTCTTTAGTTTTATTTTCCAATAAAGACATCATCTGGGCTTGGTATTGAACTTATACTGAGTCACGAAATCTTTCCATCCTACTCTATTTAAAATGAGTTAGAAAATATTTGCATCCTACTCTATTTTCCTCAAAGGCCTTATGTAGGATTGCTATTAATTATGACCTAAATATTTGCTAAAATTCACCCATGAGGTAATCTGCATTATAATTTTTATGGGAAACTGTGTTATTACAAATTCAATTTTAATAATGAATATGGAGCTATTGAGTTGTTTTATTTCTTCTTAAATCAGTTTTGATCATGTGCATTTTTTTTCTTTTATTTTAAGCTCAGGGCTACATTTGCAGGATGTGTAGATTTGGTACATAGGTAAACATGTGTCATGAGGGTTTGTTGTACCAATTATTTCATCAGCCATTTGCATCTTTCAGGAAATATGTGCATGTCATGTAGGTTGAAGAACTTATGGCCTGAATTTGTTTATTGTATTGCCTTGTGATCCTTTTAATGGCTGTAAAATGCTTAGTGATATCCCTTTCTTTCAGTCCCAATATTAGTAATTTGTGCCTTCTCTCTTCTTATCACTCTAGCTAAAAGTTTATCAATTGCATTGATCTTTTTAAAGAATCAGGTTTTGATTGTATTGATTTTCATGACTGTTTTTCTGATTTCTATTTCTTCTATTTCTCCTTCCACCTTCATTATTTTCTTCTTCTTAGTTACTTTGGCTTAAATTTCCTCTTTTTCCCTCTAGCATAAAGTGATAATTGATTTAGGATCTTTATTCTGTTCTACTATAAACATTTAAAGCGATCAATTTTTCCCAATCAATGTTTTAGCTGTATTTCACACATTGTTTAGATTTTCACTATGTTCAAATATTTTGTAATTGCTCCATGATTCCTTTTTAGTCCAACAGGTTGTTAGAAATGTAGATTGTGTTTAAAATTCTGGTATTTAGAGGTTTTGCAAATTTATTTCTGTGTCGATTTCTATGTTAATTCCACTTTGGTCAGAAAATGTATCCTGCATGTTTTCTTTCCTTTGTTATTTACTAAGGTTTGCTTTTTGACCCAGCCGTCTATCTTGGTGAATGTTCTGTTTACCTATAGAATATGTTCTATAGTTTTTGGATAGAGTTTTCCATAATTGTTAATTAGGTCAAATTGGTTTAGCACATTGCTCAAGTCTTGTCTATCCCTACTAATTTTCTGTGTACTCTATCAGTTCCTGAAAGAGGAATGTTGAAATTTCCAACTATAGTTGTGGATCTGTCTATTTCTCTTTCCAATATTTTTAGGTTTTGCTTCCTTCATTTTGAAGCTCTGTTATTAGGTGTGCACACATTTGAGATCACTATGAATTCTTAATTAATTAACACTATTATCATTATAAAATATCTTTCTGTATGCCTGGTAATCTTCCTTGTTCTGCTGTCTACTTTGAATGATACTAACCATAGTCATTCCAGCTTTCTTATGATTAAGTATTTGCATGGTATACATTTTTACATCCTTTTATTTTTAACACTGTGTCTTTATATCTACCATAGGTTTGTTATGAACAGAACATACATAGGTAACTTTTTAAAAAAATTCAGTCTGATGATATCTGCCTTTTAATTAGAGCGTTCGCACCATTTCTATTTAATATACATATCAATTACATTACTTTCTTACTATGTAGGTTCTATATATCCAATTTGTTCTTTGTTCTTTTTCTTCTATCTTTTGATTAGCTGTATTTAACATTCCATTTTATCTGTGTTATTGATTTATGAACTACACCTCTTTGTTTTATTATTTTAGAGGGGTGCTCTATAATCTGCAATATGCAATTTACCTTGACACAATCGCCTTTAAATAACATTATACCATGTGACATACAACTTAAGAACCCTATAACAGTAGAGTTGACCCTTGACCAACATGGGTTTGAGCTGCATGGATCCACTTATATGCAGATTTCTTTTCAACCAAACTCAGATAGAAAATACAGCATTCACGGGATAGGCCAACTATGGGACTTGAGTGTGTGTGTATTTCGGTGTCTTCAGGAGTTCTGGGACCAATTCCCCATGTATGCTGAGGGACGACTATATTTTTATTTCCCACTCTCTTGTCCTTTGTGTTTTGCTATCATAAATTTTATTCCTACATAGGCAATAAGCTGCACAATTCATTGTTTGTTTTAGACAATTATCTATAAAGAAATTTTAAAACTAAAAATTGTATCTTCTCACATATTTAACATTTCCATAATTTTTCATTACTTTGTATACACCCAAGTTTCCATCTAGTATCATATTTTTTTTTTGCTAGAGGAACTTCTTTAAACATTTATATATATATATATTTTATTTTTTTTTTTTTTTACTTTTTAATTTTTATTTCTTCTTATAGATGGAGTCTGGCTCTTATGCCCAGACTGGAGTGCAGTGGCACAACCATAGCTCACTGCAGCCTCAAACTCCCTAGCTCAAACAATCCTCCCACCTCGGCCTCTTGAGTAGCTAGGACTACAGGTGTGCGCCACCACACCTGGATAACTTCCTATTTTTATTTTTTTAGAGATGAGTTCTCACTATGTTGCTCAGCCTGGTCTCGCACTCTTGGCCTCAGGTGACCCTCCTGCCTCAGCTTCCCAAAGTGCTGGGATTATAGGTGTGAGCCACTACACCCAGCCCTTTTAACATTTCTTATACAGGTCTGCTCACAACACATCTATATAGGTATTTTTTTCCCATACAAGTACAGATTTCAACTTTATTTTTGATATGTTTTCTTTGGGTATATAATTCTGGATTTACAGTGTTTTTGCTTGTTTGTTTCTTTCAGCACTTTAAAGATGTCATTTCATTTTCTCTAATTTGCATTAGAAGTCTGCAGTATTGTTATCTTGTTCCTTTATATGTAAATTGTCTTTAGTCTTTAGCTGCTTTAAAGATGTTTTCTTTACATCCTTGATTTTTAGCAATTTGATTATGATGTGCCTGGGGTGTTTGTGTGTGTGTGTGTGTCCTGCTTGAGTTTTATAAAGATGCTTGGATCTATGGGTTTATAGTTTGCATTAGACAATTTTTTTTGGCCATTATTACCTCAAATATTTTTCTGTTCCCTACCCTTCTCTTTCTGTGATTTTAGTTACACGTTTGCTAGACCAGCTGATATTTTCCCAGGGGTCACTGATACTGTGTTTTCTTTCAGTCTTTTTTCTGTATGGGCTTCATTTTGGATGGTTTCTGTTGCTACATGTTCACATATACTGCTCTGTTGTGTTTTGTTTTGTTTTGTTTTCCTGCGGTGTGGAGTCTACTGTAAGTTTACCCAGTAAGTATTTTATCTCAGATTATTCCATTCTCCATCTCTAGAAGTTACATCTGGTTCTTATTTTTTGTATCTTCCCTTGTTCTCCCCATTATGCTAATGTTTTCTTTCACATCCTTAAGCATGTTACACATGTTTCTAACAGCTGTTTCAATGCCTTTTATGCCAATGCTATCATCTTTTGTCATTTCTGAGCCTGCTTCTATTGACCAAACTTTCTCTTGTTTATGGGTCATGTTTTCCCACTTAATGACATGTCTAGCAAATTTTGATCAGATGCTAGACACTGTGAGTTTTATGTTTGCACGTGCTGGAGTTTGTTTTATTCCTATAAAGAGTAACAGGCAGTTAAGTTACCTGCAAATCACCTTGAGCCTTTTGAGGCTGGTTTTGAAGCCATTTTAAGGAAGGCTCAGAACAGCCTTTCCTTAAGGCTGGGGTAGCCCCACTGCTACAGCAAGGCCCCTCTGTTCTTTACTGAAAGCCCTGTGTATCCAATGAAGCCTCTCTTCTCTCACTGGTGGGGTCTTACATCATTCCAAATCCTGTGTGAGGTCTGAAAATTTTCAGCCTACATCTCCCTAGTAATTGTCCTTTCCTAAAAACTGTTCTTAGCCTGGCCTCATGGAGCTTAACCTTATGCAAATACAGAAAAGTATTTAGCCAAAGACTCAAGGAACTCTTAGGCAATTTCTGTAGGTCTTTCTCTGTGTAATCCCCTCGTCTCTGGTACTCCCTTGGATTATAATCCTATGCTTACTGATATTCAATGTATGAGAAAGTTGTCTTATATATTTTATCTACTATTCATTTTGTTAATAGTGCTAGGGTAAGTTCAGACACAGTACTCTTTCATGGTCAGAGCAAAATTCTGATGTCTGAATCTTTAAAGCAATGCAAGATGTGGATTAGCTTTTGGGAAAAAAAAGAGAGAGAGAGAAAGAGAGATGGTGCTGTACCAACCAGAAGTTCTTCCATAGCTCAGAGCTATGTCAGATGCTATAAGGGACACAAATACCAATTCTTTTTACACAATTGCACAATTAATAAGCATGTGGGATTTCATAATTTGCAAAGAATGTTCACCTCCATATTTCATTCTAAAAATAACTTTGTGAGGTGTCATTTATTGCTATGAACATTTTGTGAAGGAAGTGCCTCGTGATGATGGAAAGCATACGCCAACTACGTGGGTTTCAGTCCCAGCTCCCTCATGTACCAGCAGTGTGGCTTTCCATTGAAACCTTCCATCTAGCTTTCTGTTTTTGATGTGTTCACTCTTGTTTTATGTTCTTTTTCTCCCCATTTCTTTCTTCTTTTGGATTAATTTTGTGCATTTTATTATCTCATGTCCTCCTTTATTAACCGGTTCATTCTTACTATTCTCTTAACAGATACTCTTATAAAACTTATAGTTACTCTAATAAAGTAAATACTTTTATCACTTCCTGGCAATGCAGGATCTTAGAACACTTTGACTTAATTTACTTCCTTGAGGCCTTTTGGCTACTGTTTTCATGTGTCTTAATTTGCTATGTATGTTTAATTCTACAGGACATTATTATTATTTTGGTTGCTCCATATAGTCAACATTCATTTTGATTTAGTCACACATTTGTCTTCTGTGTTGCCTTTATTTCTTCCTGCATTGGTGCTCTTCTATTTGGGATCATTTTCCTTCTGCCTAAAGAATATCCTTTAGTATGTCCTTTAGTATGTGGCTGCCAGCCACAAGTTTTCTCAGTTTCTATTTGTTTGAAAACGTCTTCATTTCATCTTTCTTTTGAAGGATAATTTTGCTGGCATAGACTTTGGTTATTTCTTTGAGTATGTTGAAGATAGCATTCCACCATTTTCTAGCTTCCATCCTTTCCGTTGAGATGTCTCCTTTAAATCGTAGCGCCGCTCCTTTGAAGGGAGTGCATCTTCTATTTCTAGCTTCTTTTAAGTTTCTCTCTTTGGAATTGTTCTTTCAGCTATTTTACTGTAATGTACCTCAGTATACTCTTCTTTGTAGGTATATTTTGCTGGGCTCATAGTAATTATTGAATCTGTTGCTTGGTTCTTTCTACATTTTTTGATAACTGTAGCTGATCTAACTTCAAATTCTGCTTCTCCCTCATTCTCTCTCTCTCTCTTTCTTTTCCTTTGCAGACTTCAGTTACACAAATATTAGGCATGTTGACTATTTCCCATATATCTCACGCTTCTTTTCTGTATTTTCCACCCTGTTTTTTCTCTCCACACTGTGGCATAGCTGTTTTCTTCCTGTTTGGGCTTCCTGTGCCTTATTTTCATCGGTTGTGAGACAGTGATGATAAGGAGCCCTCACCGGCAGCACTGCCATAGGGATTCAGGGTGCTAATACACGCAAGTAATTCAGACCAGTGCCTGAAAGATCACTACTACTGTCATTCACATTACACAGACGGGAAAACTCAGGCTCATGTAGGCCAGGTGACCTGATCAAATCGCACCATCAGAAACTGCCCTCCTGACACGGGCCTCGTAAGCTTGTCCAACTATGGGTGGGTGAGTAGAGAAAAGAGAATGGGCACACCGGGGGAACCCGACGAGACCTAGTTGACAGGAGTGCACTGATGCTCCAGGGAGACCTGGAAGAGAAGGACGGCTTGAACAGCCAGGGCAGCACACAGGACCAGAGGGCTAGATTAGGATAGGAGATCACCTGGAGATCACCTGCTCAAATAAGACCCCAGGACAACAGTGGCTCAAACAAGATAAAAGTTTCTTTACCTCTCCCGTAGCAGAACATGTGTGTGAGCATAAGCAGCCCAGGAGGTGTTTGAAGTACATTAAAGAAAGTCACTGAAGAGAACAGGCCAAAGTGGATTTGAATGGCCGCCAAAGACACCTGCGCTGGGGACAAAGACCACATCTCATCTGAGAAACTCCTCAGAGGCTGGATCAAATGCAGAGCTCCTTCTCCTGGGGAGCAGAGCTCTTTGAACTCACGCTGGTGAACACTGCACCAAGCCCTTTACCAAACGTCCAACTTCCAGTCTCTCCCTTCAGCAGTCCAGCATACCAGGGCGTTCCTCCTAAGATGTATCTCAAAACATGTCACTCCTATACTTAGAAAAAGAAAGAAGAAACCAGCCCAGAAAGTTGTCCCCCTTGCCTACTAGATAATGTCCAAACCACCTTAGCTCAGCTTTTGAGATCCACCATGATGGAGCCCACCCACCCATCCTCAGTCCACCTGCTGCAGCTTCTCCATAACCCAACACAGGTCAATCTTGTCTCCCTAAACACACCATGTGCTCTCATGCTGCCATGGTTTGCCTGGGGCCCTCTCTACCTCCTCTGCTTTCTGGAGAACCCTTGCACTCCTCCCAAGCCTTCAAGTTGGAAAGTGAACAGTCAGCATATGTCTCTAGCTCAGCCCTTACTGCGTGGATTCATGAAGATTGGTTCACTGTCAGCCCCTGACCAGAACGTGTGTTTTAGGAAAGCAGGAACCAAGTCTTACCAATGTCTGTAGTCCCAGCCTCCACCCTGGCATACAGTAGGTGCTCATTGAATGTGGGAGGGAAAGAGGAGACACATGGAAGGGAATGTCATTCAGTATGCAGGGCTGCTATGAAGACCTGTCAGGAGGCAAGGTGTGGGGCAGGCGGACGCATATCAACACGTACAATTCAAAGACGCCCAGGAGGACCCCAACTGTGCACCTGGCTCATCTTTTATCACGCCCCAAGTTAATCGAATACAAACTGGATCTTACTAAATACAAGGCTGGATTCTCAGAGATAATTTGTCTCTGCTCCCCGCAGGCTGAGTTTCCACTCTCCACTACCTGTGTAAGAATCCTCAGCCCAGGCAGCCTTAGAAATCACTGCTCTCAACAACTTGAAATACATCCAAGAGCAGAACAGACAACTGTTGGCAGCTTCGGAGACCAAGCTCTGCATTGAGACATGGCATTAAATAAGCGTATCCAGAAAAAAATTATATAATACATGGAAACGAGCCCAAGAACCAGGCAATGGTCTACGCACCACAGGATTCTAAGTACAGAACAAGGCTAAAAGCTGGTAAATTCATCCATTGCAGGCATTGAAACTCAGCTAAGAGGTAAGCAGGTATCTGTAAGGTGTCACTTTAAATAAACAGCTCCATAGAAAAATGGTTTTCACCTCCCGTTTCACTCCATTTTCACTTGTTCAAGGGTCTGGCCTTATCGTTATATAACAAAAATCTTAAATACTGAGATTATTTAAATGCTGGTGAGATAAGATGGATAAAATAATCAAAGACCTAGGGTGCCCACACCTTCCCTCAGGGCCCCTGGAGCAGCTCTGGCCAGGAAGCACAGGTTCTAGTTGGCACAGGCAATCAATGGCTGACAAGGTCCTGTACAGACTTAGAGACCTGGTTTGGGGAAAATGTTCCAAATGTCGGAGGATCCACAAACACAGAGTTCTTGAATTAGAAGGAAACTTGGAAAGAAAAGCATACGACCTTTCATTCTAAAGTCTGAGGACGCAGAGATGGACCAGATGCTTCAAAAACACATGGTGTCAAGGAGGAGCATTCTTGGACACAGGTACCCATGAACACCCAAACCATTTTATCCCTCTCTGATGCTCTTCTGTCCCTGAGCTCATGGGGACCCTGCTGGACTAGCTCTGTCTCAATAGCCCCTCTAGAAAGGACAAAAATTGGCTGGGCATGGTGGCACATGTCTGTAATCCCGGCACTTTGGGAGGCCGAGGCGGGTGGATCATTTGAGGTCAGGAGTTCAAGACCAGCCTGACCAACATGGTGAAACCTTGTCTCTACTAAATACAAAAATTAGCCGAGTGTGGTGGCAGTGGCCTGTAATCTCGGCTACTCAGGAGGCTGAGGCAGGAGAATCGTTTGAACCCAGGAGGCAGAAGTTGCAGTGAGCCGAGATTGTGCCACTGCACTTCAGCCTAGGCAACAGAGTGAGACTCCCTCTCAAAAAAAAAAAAAAAAAAAAGAGAGAGAGAAAAAGAAAAAAAAAGAAAAGAAAAAGAAAGGGCAAAAATCAGCTAATACCATTGGGTCAAAATGTGGCACAGGCTGATCTGCCACCAGGCAGACCCTGAAACAAGACAAAATTTCCTCAAAGGATGCAGCCAAAGGCCTTGGGCCAGGGAAGGCTGGTTATAAATGGAAGGAAAAGCACTTCCTGCCTTCTTAGCGCTCATGCAGTTTCAGTAGACATTTTGTATTGTTTTGATGTGTTTTTTGAGTGTGTCTAAGACAGAAAACTTACATAACCCTTTGGACCAGCTCCTCGGGAGACGAGAAACCTTAAATGTCAGCTTGCAGCTACAGCGAGCAGGCTTATCATGAGCAGGACTGTCCTTCACAGGCGGGCCGCAAGACACTCTGGCCACGCAGTGGGCGGCTGGTTGCTCCCGGAGCTGCTGGCCTCCCAGGTACACCACGCGAATGTTCTGAGAACAACTTTTAACCATGGTGACTTCTGGAATAGCCATTGATTACCAGGAAATTTTAGGCCTCAGGTGAACCCAGCCAGCTTTTTCCACAAACTATGTTAAATTCTCTTTACGTAAGCCCCAGCCTGAGAACTCTGTGCTATTTTCACAACTTCTTGTGAGTCTTAAACTACTTCAGAATAAAGACTTATATCTTGGAAGTTTGGTCATATCCTCCCAAATTTTTCAGATATGGATGTCAAGTATCATGGAAAGTAAGAGGCTCACCCAAGTGTGTCCATCAAGGTAAGCTCCGTGTTGCTGCGTGAGTACAATCTCTCTCTCTCTCTCTCTTTTTTTTTTTTTTTTTTTTTTTTTAAAAACAGGGTTTCACTCTGTCCCCAAGCTGGAGTGCAGTGGTGCAATCTAGGCTCACTGCAGCCTCGACCTCCACCTCCCCCAGCTCAGGTGATTCCCCCACCTTAATCTTCTGACTAGCTGGGACCGACCACAGGCATGCACCACCACGCTCAGCTAATTTTTGTATTGTTTGGTAGAGATAAGTTCTCGCTATGTCACCCAGCCTGGTCTTGAACTCCCGGGCTCAAGCACACCTCCATCCTTGGCCTTTCAAAGGTCTGGGATTACAGGCATGAGCCACTGCATCTGCCACAGTCCCCAGTCTGAATGCCTCCCTCTGGTGGGCTGGAGCTCTGCTCCGAGATGGCATCGAGTCATCCTTTCTGCAGAGGTTGACGACGGGGCACCCGCGTGGAGCACTGTGGGTCACTGTGGCAGAGGCCAGGCAGGGCCAGCGGGGCTCTGGCACTTTGCGCAGCCACCGGGAAGTATCTGGCATCACCCCCACTCACATTCCACGAGGCATAGCAAGCCTAGTAGAATAAACGTCTCCTTGCAAAGATGACTTTCATCTCCCGTTTCATTCCATTTTCCTAACGGAGAGAAAGTAGAGAAAGGCAATCCCACTGTGTGTCCAAAGAGAGCCAGACATATTTGGTGGCCAGTCCTGAAGACTGGCACGTTGGACAGCAGCTGTCCTCGAGTGAGGAATGGGACATGCATCTAGTCAACTACACCGCCTGTGTCCTTTCCACTACGCCGCAGAAACTGTGCAGCCGCACTGCTGTTTTTAATTACAAAGTTTAAGTCGTATGTATTTTAACACTCTTTCAAAAGTTAAAAGACTGAGGCATAAAACCTCAGTATCTCTTAATCTATGCCTTGTTTTAATGAATGTCTATTGAGTCCTCTCAGAGAGAAGTTGCTGGAGAATATACAGTAGCACCCCATTATCTGTGGGATACGTTCCAAGACCCCTAGTGGATGCCTGAAACCATGGATAGTCCTGAACCCTATATATAAATATTTGCACATATGTCTATATCTACACACATGCATATACATACATGTATATACACCATGTTTTTTTTTTTTCAGTCTGATCACCGAGACAGCTACTAAGTGACTAATGGATGGGTTGGATGAGTGGCGTCTACAGAGTGAATATGTTGGACAAAGGGATGATTCGCACCCGGGGTGAGATGGAGCAAGATGCAGCAAGATGGCACAAGATTTCATCATGCTACTCAGACTGGCATGCAATGTAAACCTTATGAACTACTTATTTCTGAAATGTTTTCATTTAATATTTTCAGACCTCGGATAACCACAGGTGACTGAAACCACAGAAAGCAAAGCCATAGGCAAGAGGGGGCTACTGCACGGGGCACTGGGTGACATCTGAAGGTCAGATCACACACAGACTTTAGTGTGAGTGTGTCCCAAATGGTGCAGGGAGCCGACTTATACGAAAAAAATTACTCATTACTTATCTGTCATTCAAATTTAACTAGCATGCTGGGGGGAGGGTGTGGTCTGTTGGTTTGTTTTTGCTAAATCTGGCAACCCTACCTCAAAGGGGGAGGGGCTCATTCTACCAAACAATGCATCAAAGCATGGGTTTTGTAAAATTTAAATTATAGGAAAACGTTTAAGGCAAAAGGTGCTCTAATCTCTGTAAGGGAGGCAGAGCTCATTCCCTAATAACACTGCATGCACACTCGAAGGAAGATGTAGTGAGATAATTTCTGTGTTCATCCCAGCTCCTTGCCCAACATGCACCCCCAAAGAACTCTGGTTGGTTGGATCTACTGCACCTGCTTCTGAAGAAATCTCCAATTTTGGTGGACACCCTCCCTCTACATTACCCGCCTGACCTTTCAGAACCCAGCGGGCCGGGTCTCAGCACATTACCTGGGATAAAGAAGACCTTGATATGTGTTCATTAAGCAAAACTGAATTGGAAGGAAGAAAACAGAGAGGGAGGGAAGGAAAAAAGGAAGGAAGGGAGGGAGGGAAGGAAGGGGAAGGGAGGGAGAGAGAGAGAGAGGGGCATGGAGAGAAGGAAGAAAAGAAGGAAGTAGGAAGGGAGGAAAGAAAGGGGGAAAGAGGGCAGAAGAGAAGAAAGGAAGGGAGGGAGGGAGAAAGGAAAGAAGGAAGGAAGGAAAGAAAGAAGGAAGAAGAGAGGGAGGGAGGGAGGAAAAGAGAGGGAAGGAGGAAAGGGAGGGAGAGAGGAGAGGAGGGAGGGAGGAAAGGAAGGAAGGAAAGTGATAGTATGGGATCCCATTTTGACTGGACATCTCTGAAAATGCCCCTGTATGCTCACCAAGGCCCTCAAGAAGGCACTCAACAAATGCTAATCAATGAAGCCTGTTCCCTTTCTCAGAGCCACCATCAGCCCCTACAGCACCTGCATGGGAATCAGGACAGGTGTCCCCTTCAGGTAAGCACAGCTCCCAGATGCAGAGGTCAGTGAGCGGACACCACCTGTGGCTTGTGCCAGTTGGAACACGGCCCCCTTTCCCCTGGAAGAAGCACCGCCAGGTCCCACAGCCTGGCCAGCAGAGTAGGAGGCTGCGCCCCAGCCCTTGCCTGCACTCTTCACATCCGCTCCCTGCTCCTGATGGAAAGGCTAAAGCATTGGGAAGTGCTCTCAGAGCTGGACTTTCACCCCTTGTAGAAAATGTCTTCTGCCCAGATTACCCACACCCACCAAAGAGAGGCAGAATTGAAAGAAAGAGAGGAAATCTCCCATCAGCGCGTGCAGGCACACCCACGCACACCCCAGTGATCGCCAGGTGTGAACTGTATGTAAGGTAAACAATTCCACTGGAGTGGTGAGTGAATGGAGCTCATCCAATTCGATATTTTCTAGATGGAGCGAATGGTGTCTACATTCTCCTCACTTGTTTTTACTTTTTTAGCCGTCTACTTGGTGTTTTTGGTGCTGCTTAAAAATGATTTAAAGAAACAAAAAAGGCATTAGGGGGTTGCACATAATGAAATGAGGACGACTGCAACCAAGGCTGACACTTATTCTTTAGTTAATTCAATTGTGCCTAATTATCTTGTTGCTTTGCAATCCAGCCTCTCCCCCAACCAGCAAGAGCCTCCGGAACATTCCTTATAATTGCAGAGCAGCCCGAGAGCTGAGATGAGTAATCCTCAGCGTTCTCATTCTCTGTCCTGTCCCCGAATGCCTCTCAGGATGTGGAGGAGAAAACTTCGGAATCCAGATCTTTCTCTGAGCTTTGTGAGGAGTCTCTGCCTGCGTTTCCCTCAGGCGTCATCGTGAATGGCCGGCAGACCCTGTGCACGTAGAATTTCCTGTCTGGCTGTAGGGGAAACCACTCTGACAGCCAGGCAGAGATGAAATAACCCAACTGAAAATTAATTAACTCCAAAACCTCCGCAGAAAATAAAACACACCAAGACATATATGGGCCGCGAGCAACTTTCAGCTTTGGGAAGGGATGGGATGTGATTATTCAATTTTTCTAGTCCTTGACTCCAGGTTCTTACACATTTTCTTCTGTGCCTATGCTGCGTTCTGTAATTAGAAATTTTTCCAACACTCTAAAACTTCAAAATTATACCCTAAAGTCAAGTTTTCAACAAAAGCAGGACTTCTTTGGCTTACCTTCACTGTAATTTGGTTTGGGAAAGTGTGGTTTTCAGCCATAGCAAAGAAAATGGTCTTCAGAACTCGAACTGTCTTTAGTGAAATGTTATTTTTCACCAAATATGTGTTCCCACAAAGTGTTTTCTAGCAGCTGGGAGAGGTAGCCAGCTGAGCTCTGTGTTGAAACGCATGCCCTGATACCCCCCCGTGCCCCATCCTGCAGCGAATTCTTGGGACCCATGCTTCTTAGGACCTTTGGTCCTCAAGCTATTTAGAGATCCATGGAAACTGCCCAATGAACAAGGACAGGAAACAGGGAAAGGCTGCCGCAGCGGATTCTTCTTCTTCTCCTTCCCCTTCCCCTTCTCCTTCTCTTTCCTCTTCCTCTTCCCTCCTCCCTCTTCCCTCTTCCCTCTTCTTCTTCGTGAATGAGCGCACTGATGAATAGCAGAGGATGAGAACCCTGCAGGCCAGGCACAGGCAGCATCAAAGAAACAGAGGGTGGAGCACAGGTGCCCAGCCCAGGAGATTTAAAATCAGATCAGGGACGGGCGCGATGGCTCACGCCTGTAATCCCGGCACTTTGGGAGGCTGAGGTGGGCGGATCATGAGGTCAGGAGATCGAGACCATCCTGGCTAACACGGTGAAAACCCATCTCTACTAAAAATACAAAAAAAAAAAAAAAAAATCAGCCGGGCATGGTGGCGGGCACCTGTAGTCCCAGCTACTTGGGAGGCTGAGGCAGGAGAATGGCGTGAACCCGAGAGACAGAGCTTGCAGTGAGCCGAGATTGTGCCACTGCACTCCAGCCTGGGCGACAGAGCGAGACTCTGTCAAAAAAATAAAAAATAAAAATAAAAATAAAATCATCAGATCAGGCAGACCAAAAGGCCAAGTCAGGATATTTTGAAGTTGTACCCCCTCCTCGGACTTCACCTAATGCTCCCAATGTACACAGAATGTTCTGTCCCTGGATGGAAGGTGACCCAAAATAGAGAAGAATCATGGAAAGACGAAGGCGGCAGCCTTTTTGCCGCCCCACAACACCTGACACCCGAGTGATGGGTGTGGCCCTCAAGCCAGGAGGCCTGCGTTTGGGTCCTGGCTCTGCCGCTTAATGGCTGTGTGATGCTGAGCAATTACTTAGCCTCTCCATGCCTCAGTTTCCTCCCTTGTAAATGGATCTAATGAAGACACCTACTTCCCTTACTCTTCGTCGTGGGAACCAAGTGAACTAATGCATGCAGCATGCTGAACCCTGCAGCCGCTGTGGCGAAAACACTCATTGAGATGCAAGTCTCCACGCAACAGCAGGTAAAGCCCCATTGGAAGTCATCGTTTATAATCTCAATTATTTCCTTGACCTAGAATTGTTCAATATTAACAGAAATGAGATCAGAATTCTTTCAGCCAGGCATGGTGCCCCAAGAGTGACAGTCCTGAAGCCACTGCTATTTATGGAGCCCTTTCCACAGAACACTTCCATGAAGCACGGTTACCATTCCCATTCACGGAAGAGGAAACTGAGGCACAATGCTGTCACGTAATTTGCCTACACAGCCAGAGAGCAACTGAGCCAAGATTCAAGCCCTCCGTCTGTCCACGGCCTGCCCTCTCAGCCACTGTGCAATGCTGACTGCAGACCAGCCACAACTGTTCTGCCAGGGCTCTGAGTAACCGGAACATGGTGATTTAATCAGGAGGAGATATTTGCAGAGATGTTGAAATGGGGGACATCCATAAGTGAAAGCAGTGATTTGCAAAAATAATCTGGCTGCTGCTTTCCCAAGCTTCCTCCTATGGAAGCCTCCCCTGTAACACCGAGTGGCACACCTTCTCTGCCCTGGCCGGAGCCGAGGGCACAGTCCCTGACAGAGCTCAGCACCCACCTCCAAGACACACAGGGAGACAGTCTTGGGGTCAGCGAATCTGCACATTCCGCCGGCACTCGCAGGGCCAGACAAGCTGCTCTGGCCCAATCTTCTCATTCTGTGGTCGACACACTGCGGCCCGGAGGGAGCAGAGGGTGGAATTTCCCAGGGTCACCCTTTGGAAGGATGCCGGAGCCAGACCCTGGCCTCCCCGAAGGAAAATAAAGCAGTGGCCCTGAGCCGGGGCCACAGAGCTCCATGTGGCCGGAGCAGGGCTGCGGTGGGAAGGGGAAGGATGGAGACTGGGGCACCCTCATCACCGGTTAAGGGGCTCTCCTGCCAGGCGCACGAGACAGAACATTCATGATGCTCTGAGACAGAGGAAAGAAGGTACGGACAGCAGGGAAGACTCTCTGCTCAGCCATCTTTCCAACATATTGTATTTAAACTATCAAATGCTTTAGCCAATCTGCAAAAAATAAATTCTTTGCACAGGGGGGTGAAATCTGGCTCTCTCCTCAGCAGAAGGCCCTTCTCCACGGCTCCCCTTGGCTCCCACAGAAAACACAGGGCAGCTTCTGCAGCTTCTCCACACCATATATCTAGAATTTACATAATCACAGGCAAATAAAACGATAAAAGCACACTCTTTCATAACAGGCACATTGTTACTATTATTATTCTTAAGGCAAATTAGCTTCTGATTATAGAGATTAGTCAAAACCATGATTCTGTTGATTGTGAGGTAGAACTGATTTTCTTTTCTTTCTTTTTTTTTTTTTTTCAACAAGGAGAAGAGCTGTTGTTTCGATGTCAGAAAATTACATAAAATGGTACTCAGAGAGAAATAAAGTTTCTGAAAGTCATTTAATTATCAGTTCTCTTGGAAGCGTTTAGGCATTCCAGCCTTTCGGTTGTTGTCTGTCTAGCCAAACATTTTACCCTCAAGTTTATTAACTGTTTGATTTTATTTTATTTAACCTCTTTCTTTTAAAAGTTTCTCCAATTTAAAATACCAATATTTTAGATATTTGTATGTGTTTATTGGGCTTTCTTCATCACTGAAATAATTCATACCTCTTTTGAACCAAAGAGATGCTTGTTCTTTCACCAGCATTTTTGATCAAAGACAACCAGGAAGGAAGCATCTCCTCCCTGGGCAAAATGGAGGATCCAAAACCATTAAGAGTCTGCTGCAAGATGTCACCACTCAGACTCAGAGAGCTTCTGGCTCCTCAGGGCAGCGCCAGGCACCAGAGGCTCCGTGAAAGCCCTTGGCAGGAGAGCAGCACTCACGTTGCTCCTCCCTGCCCCCTACCTGTTTTAATCATTAGTCCTCAGTTAGGTCCAGTGTCTGAGCCCTGCCTCCAGAGTTGAGTCCCGCCTCCTACCTCACCTGAACTAACTCTGAGGTTCCAACCTGGGGGTGATTTTGCCCTCTAGGGGACATCTCACAATGTGTGGAGATGGTGGAGGTTATCAGAATAGTGGGGAGGTGGTGGGAAGAGGCAGCGTTTGAGCCACAGGGCAGTCCCACCACAAAGAATGATCTGGCCCCCAATGTCAGTAGGGTCCCTGTTGAGAAACCCTGGTCTAATTGATCAGAAATGGTGGGTGAACTTTGAACAGATAACACCAGGGAGTCGTGCAGCTCTAGGGGAATCCTCTCGGACCCTGGAGTGCCCGATAGAAGCGGCGTGCACATGGGGACTCTGCCCAGATCCGAGTCCTTTTGTCCATCATGATGTCCCAGATTCCTGCTGTCATTTTGCATAGAATTAGACTGGAACATGCAAAAATATATACAATTGTTGATACCAAGATGTCTGAATTTAGGAAGAATTCCCAAACAGAAAGATCCCTCCCCCAAAATGTATGCATATAAACTTTTAAGGATGCAGATAAAATTGCCAGATGTCTTTCAATCTGATTACCTCACATGCTGGCCTGTATCCCAGATGTGAGATCCAGAGAAACGTGATGGAATGTGTCACTGTCTTCTTTTCACATCCTCTCCCAGATTTCATTAATCTGCTGATAGGTACTCATTAAAATACTAGTATTCGCCCTGGGACACAGTTTCATGAGATTACTTCACGACCGTTACAGGACATATTACAGTAAATGAATTTTCCTTCTTTTAGCATGGTGGATTAAAAAAATACATAATTTTGTGCCCCAGTCCTCAAAGAATTAAACATTTCAGCATATCTTACGACAGGATATTGGCAACGTTTTCTGTAATGGGTCAGATAGTAAATATTTTGGGCTTTGCAGGTCACGTGGTCTCTGTCGCAACTACTCAACAGTGCTATGGCAGGACAGAAGCAGCCATAGATGATGTGTAAATGAACAAGCTTGGCTGCATTCCAATAAAACTTTATTTACAAAAACAGGCTGTGGGAAGGACTTGGCCCGCAACCCTGGTTTGCCTACCTCTGTCTTACAACATAGATTTCCTGAAAATAATGCATCTAGGCAGAAAGAATAGGGGAAAGTTCAGAGTAAGACGTTGTAAAATATCGGCAAGAGTTCTCATCGTCTTACAAGAAGTAGCCTGTGTACAACTTAATATCAATCCAAGGAGGACCAAGAGGCATGCCGAAATGAGATTTAAAGGTTAAACAGAAATCTGGAGGGAAAGGAAGAATTGCAACCACACTGGCCAATGATCTAGTGTTGTTACTCTCATTTATTTGCTAAGTTTCCCTTTCAGTTTAAAGCACGGCATTTAATTCAGACATTGTCCTTCACTCCCCATGAGCCAATGAAAGAGGAGATGCGTGGGCTGTGGAGGGGCTGAGATGCTTGTGGACACCTGGGGCAGCGGCTGTGGGCTGTGGTCTCCCGGGCTGTGCAGGTCAGGAGGTCAGGAGGTCTCTGGAGAGAGGCATCATCATGGAGCTGGGCCTGCTGGAGAAAGGAGTTGGCCACGGACACCCCAAACACCCCGATTTGATCATGACACTTTCTGTGCATGGAACCCCACATGTACCCCTTAAAATTTTACCCTGTAAAATATTATGTATCAATACAAGAGAGCACCAAAGCAATCATCCTACTAGCCACCATATGCCATCCTAGCTTCTCCACAGTAACACGTCATTTACTCCTCAGAGCGGCTCAGCGAGGTAGGGCCTGCTGATGGTCCCTTTCACAGGTGAGAACACAGAGGCCCTGGGAAGCTGAGGGGTTTGCTAGAGATCAGGAAGCCAGGACTCGGGCTTGGGTGCTGGGCTCTGGGCCTGTGTGTCTGACTTCTCCGAGGGGGTGCTGCCTTCTCCTTTCCTCTCTTTCTCCCTAACCCCCCCACACTCAGCCACTAAGTATTTTTAGAATTATTACTATTTAGGTATCATCTATAAAACATGACATTTACCATTTTAACCATGTTTTCATGTATACTCCAGTGGCATCAAGTACATTCACACCATTGTGCAACCATCCCCACCACCCATCTCCAGAGCCCCCATTCAATAGAAACCCCCCCTTCTCCCCTCCCCCAGCTCCTGGCCACCACCATCCTGCTTTCTGTCTATGAATTTGACTGCTCAGGGTGTCTAGAGTGGAGTCCTGCAGAATGAGCCCTTTTGGGTAGAGGTGATTTCATTCAGCACAATGGCCTCAAGGTTCACTGGTACTGTAGCGCGTGTCAGGGTTTCCTTCCAGTTTAAAGTAGAATCCTCTGGTTGTTTGTCCATTACTCCATGGACACCTGGGTGGCTGCCACCTGTGCCCTGGTCTCTAAGAGCTGCTGGCACTCTCGCTCCTCCCTGGTCCCTTTCCTTGCTCACCTGCCCTCCCCTGGCTCGGCTCCTCCTCCCAGGCCTCCAGCCTGCCTTCCCGGCACCCCACGCCTGCTGCCTCGGGAATCTTGCCCAAACTCCAATCTGCTTGGGCCTCTCTTACTGGTAAACCCACAAGGATCCCCACCTTCAGCAAAAAAGAGTTCCAAAGGCTCCATGTAGGAGCCCAGGCCCCTCACTGACTGCCCTGGCCAGCCTCTCCAGTGTTGCCCCAACGGAGCCCTGCCCTATGTACCTACCCTTGTTTTCCTGAAAACCACACTCTTTCCTGCCTGGAGGACACCCTTCTCACCCTGGAGAGATTACCCTTCTAGAAACAAACCAAACACACCCTCTGCAGAGGCTCTGCCAGCCGCCTTCTCCAGGCAAGGCAGGCTGCCTGCCCCCACGCTCACGGCAGCTTCCTGGCATACTTGCTGCCTCGGTTTGTGCAAAAGCAAACCTGCAAGTCGCATACTTAGGGGATGGCCCGGGAAGCCCATAAGGATGTGGGAGAACAAGACAGGGAGGGCAAGAAGGACAATCACAGACTCATCCTGGAGCACATTCAACTGTGGGACACAGGAACTCATCCCTGAGACTGCCTGGAATGTAGCTCGGAACTGTCCCAACAGCTCCTAACCTTCCGAGGTTGATGGTCCCTCCTGGTTAACTCCGTGGCCAGCAAGAGGTCCCAGGAGGCCATCACTGCACACAGCAACCATCCACCATGCCTGCATGCAGGTGGCCTCTGGGTGGAACAGAGGGATGTGGGCAAAAATCTGGGATGACCGCAAGGGCGCCAGGCACACAGTGGGTTTGCGACTGTGGTATCTGCCTCTCCCACGGGAGGCAGACCCCATCACCAATTTCTCTCTGTACCCCCAGCCCATGGCAGGTTGGAGACATCTGAAAAAGGTAGCAAATGAGTCCATGAGTGGCTGTGTGGGAATGAGATGGACTGGGTCTTGGGAGAGAGGAGGCAGGAGTGGATGTTGGAAAGACAGGCTGCTGAGAGGAGAACACAGTGGCAGGGCAGGTGAGCAGCGGCCAGGGGCTCCCTCACACACTTCACCCCAGCCCCTGCGCCAGCCTCATCTGCCTGTCTCCCACCTGACCCTTTTGCCGTTCACCTCCGTCCTCTCTCTGCTGGGTTCTCAAGGCAATCGCACCTTGCCTAGCAACTGTTGCTACCGAAAGCCAACGTCCCTGGTATTCCAACAATAAAGCACAGCGCTCCGACTACAACTCCCAGATATTATTGAAAAGAAAGGCAGGTTTATTTCAAGGCCAGGAGGGGAGAGGATCTGCGTGTTGGAGGCTGGAGCAGCAGCGCATTCGATGGCCGGCCTGACAGCATGGCGAGCAGCTTGTGCTGGTGCGTCCTCCAGAAAAAGAATGCGCGCTCTCCAGGAGGTGATGGTCCCTGTTCATAAACTCCCTGTTGCTCCCTGTTCCCATTCAGCTGGGTCAACATGTGCCTGTAAATTCCTCCCGAAAGGGAAATCATAACAGCATCAGCAGCCCCAGAAATGACAAACAACTCAAGTATGGAAAGCCAGCTGCCAAGTATTCAACAGTACTCATGTTGCACCAGAAACAAAAAAAATCAGATAAGAAAAATAAACCCAGTTGTGTGCATAGTTCCTTAAATATGTATCCCATTTTGTGGTTCCTTCCAGTCTTCGGTGTAATGAATATATCCATTGGTTAGGGGTCACGGAATGGCAGGTCCTACCAGGCTGCCTTGGATTGGCGAACTGTGATGTTCTGCTTTCTCCCTTCTCTGAAGCATGGAGCGGTGCGAGACGTTCAGAACAGACAGCCACTGACATTAATTTTCCTGCTGGCCTCCTTGCTAAATTGTTTTATGACTTGTTTGCTGTGTCTTGGTTGCCCTATTGTGTTGAGTTGATTTGGCAGTGGTTATTTAAAACATGCTTTGTCATCCTCAGGATGAGTGGAGGATCCCGGGGGTCACTTTTGCACAACAAATGGTCATTGAGCTGAAGAACTGTCAGAGTCACCACCTCCACAGTCAAGTGGCAATGGAATCCGAAGACAGGGTCAGCTCGGTACACCACGAGCCGAGATCCACGGGACGGACGGTGTGCAGGCACCAAAGCGTGGACAGGCCATGCTTTGCTTAACAGCATGGGGCTGGCCACGGCACCAGGGCCTCTGCCAGCCTCACGAGGCCCCTCCTGGCGTGGCCATAAAAGCCACAGCTGCAAACGCTGACACGGCAAGAAAAGAATATGGTGAGAAACCAGCTTTTGCCTTTGCTTCTCAGACTCCTCGGAAGATCCGAAGGGCACTTTCCCATCCCCAGGAATGAGAGGCCAGATTCCTCCATGGTCCAGTCAGGAAATGTAATCAAGCATCAACGCGGAGCCAGGATCTGTGCCTCAAACTTGAAACGTGGCCCTATCTTCAAGGGTGCTCACACTCAGATGACTTAAACCAAAAATGACACGGTGTGGCCTGCACTTGCCCATGCCATAGTCAGGAAAGCCTAGTCAAGGACAACGCAAGCCCAGAGGAAGAGGGTCTAAACCCAGCCGAGAACAGCCACCCAGAGCAGAGGCCCTCCCCTGAGAGAAAGCCACCTGCTCTCAGCCATCCCTCTTCTTTCCCTACGAGCTCCAGGAGACAGAAACCATGATGCTTAGGTAGACATCAATCTGTTATGGCAGGCACCAGAATGTTTCTTCTCCTGTGTCCCATCAGGAGTCAAAACTGATCTCAGCCTGGGCAATGTAGCAAGACCTCATCTCTACAAAAGATAAAAAGGTTAGCCGGGTGTGGTGGGGTGCGCCTGTAGTCCCAGCTACTCTGGGGGCTGGGGTGGAAGGATCGCTTGAGCCTGGGAGGTTGAGACTGCAGTGAGCCGAAATCATACCACTGCACTCCAGCCTGAGTGACAGAGCAAGCCCCTGTCTCAAAAAAAAGAAGAAGAAAAGTGATATCTCTGCTACTGAGGACAAACATCATGCACCCTTTCTTCTTAAAGAGGAGCAAATTTCCCACTTCCAAGTCCTGTTAGTGAAAGTCCCGGAGGAGCCCCAGCCTGAGCCATAGCAGGAGAGTCGCAGAGAGATGAAAGGGTCTGTCCCCAGCCCACTGTGGCCTCCAGAGGTAGCATCTTCTGCTCAGCAGCAGAACAAACATTTCCATGGAGCAGCTAAGTTGAAAAGCCCCCAGGAGGCAAGGGTAGGAGTTACAAGAAACCAGAAAGTCTACGGCAAGGTCAGGGTGACTCGGGTGGGGTTTCTCTTGCTTCCCCTTTCAATAGCATTCATGAAGTGGCTGAAAGTCTTCATCTTGTTATTAGCTTTGCTTTCTGGCCTCGTTTATCTCTAATTGTTTTCCTAAGCCTTGAAGAGGAAATTCTGTTTTCTTTCTGGTCCTGCTTACATTTAAATCCACTTAAGTTTCTGTCTGTGGCTTTCTTCTCAAAAGGGCCACCGGCTCCCTGGGGGACAAGCATCCTCCTTATAAAGTTGAAGGGAACTGGGAAGATCTTGAAAGACTTCTCTATTGTTCATGCAGACAAGTTGTGGGAATTTATTTCTGTGGGTCTGTTTCCTCTTTGTTCAGGGGGCCCCATTCTTCTCCAATTATCTGCCTATACCAGAGAGTATTTTCAGAATCTGTGCAGGATGTTTTAGACTGAATAAGGACAAGCATTGAGGGAGGTTGATATTTTGCTAATAATAACAGTGGAAAAAGGTACCATTTCTGAAGCACCTACTGTGTGCTGGAACCTTCTGTGTGCATCACATTTTAACCCTCTCAACTCTCCAGGAATGTATTATGACACCTACTCTATAGATTCAAAAACTGAAGGGCAGAGATGTAAAGAACTTGCCAGAGTTACCAGCAGTGAGAGAACCAGGGGTCAAACCCAAGATTGACCCAAGCTCCTGCTGACCCCACGATTTCACGTGGCGCCCAGTGAAACTGTAAGCAAAGCACCACTCCACAAATGCCTCACTCATCTCCACACCCACCTGACACAGTCATTGGATTTTAGGACACGCATCCTTCTTTCAAAGTTCAGGAATGTTCACAAGCAAGTCAAAATTCATTTTGAAAGCTCCTTTGACTTGACCGAAGACGCCCCAAGATGTCACCAAAAGCCAAGGATGGGAAGCCCTGTTCTATCAAGGTGCTGAAACCCAGTCCTGGGGAGTGTTTGACTTGGGAAGTAGGCTGCCCTCCTTCTGCTCACCGTGGGCAGGGACCAGAGAGAGGGTCTGGGATTCAATACGAGCCTGATGGGGGTTCTGCCATGGGGTGTTGGACGGGGGCGTTCGACAAACCAGTGCAGGCTCAAACCCTGCTCCTCTTGCCCCCAGCCCCAAGAGTCACCGAGAAAACAAACACAGTAAGTCTTTCTTAAACCTCCCACCAAGCAAGGGTGCAAAGGAAGACCATGGGCCTCAGCGTGAATGCCCACGCACCACAGCTCTTGGCATGGGTCCCCCTGCCTGCCACATGTTACCACCACTCGCTTTGAAGAACAGCGTGTTCATCAGCACTCACGAGGCTTAACAGCCACAGTTTAACCTAGTAATGCCCAGCCCCCACAGCAGGCTAGTCATCATGGTCAGTGAGAAACAGCCAGACTTTTCACGCAGATGGGCATTTTCGGGGCCAGTCTCTGCACTCTCCAAGCAGGAGCTGGTTGGAGTCTCTGCAGGCTCAGGCCCAAGACGGGTGGCCTTCCCAGCAGCTTCGCCATATCAGCTGCCACGTGCTATACCGATGTCCTTCGAGGCTCATCCTAGGACTTCATCAAAACCGTTTTTGCAGATGCCAGGACTGTAATATTCACCACTTCCCCCAACCAGCACATGACCTTGATGGAGCTGGAATCAGCCAGATCCAAACAAACTGGGCGCAACGTCTGCTCTCCAGCTGCACTGTGCTTGGGGTGCACTCAGGGGTTTGTTCAGCTCCCCCGCCAAAGAATTGGAGAAGTCGTATTTCACATATAAATATATTTTACTTCTCAGTTCACTAACATCAGCCTCTCATAAACTCACTAAATGAAAAGCTGCAAGAATCACTTTGTTATGGATATGTAAAATGACATATTGCATTGGCTAATTATTTCTCTATGGAATGAACAGCCCCATGACTTTCAGGGGCCCCAAAAGAGAACGCTCTACAACAGAAGCACAAGGTCATTCTTTAGTGGGCAGGTAATTGGGAACTCCATGCTAGGCTGTGGCTTATTAGGGATTTGCGGTTCCCCTCAATGCACATTAACTGAAAAGCTGGACAGTATCTAGAGCAGGCGTGCCTTCCATGGCAACAGCATCTCCGTCTTCCCAGTGCATATGGCTGTCAAAGTCCTTGTCAGGTACCAGTTCAGAAACACATAACCCATCCTGGTATTTTTGTAGTTTCACACATCTAGTGGACTACTTGTTTGCAATAACATCATCTGGTGAGCTTTTGAGGATTTGATTCTGTGGCACTTCTTGAGGAATACATTTTTTAATATCCTTTAATTTTTGCCTAAGGACTTGGCTGAATCCAAGTTAGATCCACATGTAACCTTTTTAAGGAAGGCTAAATTGAGACAGAAAGGCCAAGATTTTTCTCCGAGTAGAAATGGATATTTATTACTTAAGAAATTGCCTAAATGTTGCTATCGAGGCTTTATAAAGACTCACTTGGTGTACTGGGGAAAAAACACACAAAGCAAAACTAGTCCACTGATTCTGTACCAATTACAATGTTTGCCTTAGGTGAATTGCCAATCTATGAGTCATATTTGTCTATATCACTCTGCCCAGGGTCAAGAGAAGTGTCTCAAATAAGCAGGATGTGGAAAAGCGTTTGATCACGGTGGCGATGCCGAGGTGGGGAAAATTCCAGTGATAACCTCTGAGGAAAATAAGCCATTTCTTACAACTAAATCCTTTCTGTCATTTCTAAAATGAAAATTAGGAGCTTATCAAAATGTAACATAGCTTAACTATCAAGATCAATTAGAGATGGAAATAATTGGGTAGCTAGTGTTCTCTACAGAAAGCCAGTGTGTAAGGAAACAGTAGTGTTATTTGTAGGAGGCATTTAATTATTTCCAAGTTGTGGGACAAGTAATAAACAAGGGTACATTTCTGGCTGTAGAATTTTGATCTATAAATGTCCTTTGAGGAATCAGCTTGTTAGGTGTATTAGTCTGTTCTCACACTGCTGATAAAGACATACCCGAGATTGAGTAACTTATAAAGGAAAGACATTAAATGGACTCACACTTCCACGTGGCTGGGGAGGCCTCATAATCATGGCAGAATGTGAATGAGAAGCAAAGTCAGGTGTCACATGGCGGCAGGCAAGAGAGTTTGTGCAGGGGAACTCCCCTTTGCAAAACCGTCAGACCTTGTGAGACTTATTCACTATCACGAGAACAGCACAGGAAAGACCCGCTCCTCATGATTTAATTACCTCCCACGTGGTCCCTGCCACCACATATGGGAATTATGGGAGCTACAATTCAAGATGAGATTTAGGTGGGGACACAGCCAAACCATATCATTAGCTTTTCAAAGATTGTACTTTCAATTATGATCAAGGTTCCATCTTAGAAAAAGAAAGCAAATGAATAAAATAATGGTCTTAAAACCAAATTCCAAATTTTGGTTGCTTCAAGGCGTAAGGTCTTACAAACCATGTTTGGAACGATGGTGGATAGTTCTTTGATGACTGACAAAGAGTTATAAATTTCTTCTGTCACCTTACAGTAGAAGGAGAATCAGAACTGATTTTTTTTTCCTTCAAAAATTCCCCGCTGGGGACAATGACCTCTTCCACAGCTTTAGTGTGCACACTCATGTACAATTTGAACAAGCAAGCCATGCCTTCTACCCCCCAGTGGCATCCCTGCATTCCTCAACACACCAAAGGGATCTGGAGACAACAAAGGGGTCAGCAGATACAGGTCTTTCTATAACTTAGTGATACGTGTACCAAGATAGCTGTTTTTTCAGGGGAGGAGGAGGATATTTAAGATATTTTAAACATCTTTTTAAAAAATTGGATGGTACCAAAAGATAGAGAATTGTATCTTCCCTATCCCTAGAGACTCATGCCTTCTTCCAGAATGTCATGTTACCTGATTTTCTGTTTGCACCGGGTTGAATAGTAACCCCAAAATTCATGTCTATCTGGAATCTCAGAATGTGACTTTCTCTGGCAATAGGGTCTTTGCAGATGCAATTAGTTCAGATGAGGTTATAGTGGGTTAGGTCAGACCCCAAATCCAATGACTGGAGTCCCCATAAGTAGAAGAGATAGACACAGGGAGACAGAGGCACAGAGGGAAGAAGGTGGCGTGTTAGTGGAGCCAAAGACCAGAGCTGTGAAGCTGAGGAGCACTGAGGCTTGCTGGCAATGCCGGAAACTGGGTCGAGGCGTCCTCAGGGAGCACAGCCCTGCTGATGCCTTGACTTCAGACTTCTGGTCTCCAGAACTGTGACAATATCCATTTCTGTCGTGTTCAGCTCCCAGTTTGTGGTCATCTGTCACGGCAGCCCTCGGAACCTAATCCGCTGCTGAAAACATGCCCCTTACTGATGTGCTGAACCCTATTCCCATATTTGGACAAAGAAATGGAATCATGTGGCATGACCAAAACCATCTGCATCTTTAGCAGGGGCGGCATCCTAGGCTGCATGTTAGGATCTCCTGGGGTTTTTTTAATTTTAAATCCCACTGCCCAAGCTGCACCCCAACCCAATTAAATCAGAAACTCTGGAGGTAGACTCAGACCTGGGTATTTTTAACCCTCCCTGGGTCATTCCAGTGTGCAGCCAAGACCGTGAGAACCACTGATCTCTAGGATGCAGCAGCGTGGTTTTCTCACAAAACCACTGGCTTCAGAGTTAGTCAAGTTTTGGGTTAATTTCTTGTTTTGCTACCTCCTAGCTGTGTCCTTGGGCAAGTCATTTAATGTATCTGATATTTACTTTCTCCCATCTGCAATGAGATTGTGAGGATCCGTCTTTTTAAGCATGTAAAATATCTGAAAATGCCTGGCTCAAAGTAGACAGCAAATAAATGTCATTTTCTTTTCATTCTCCCGACACATAGAGGGACAATTTCAAAGGACATGTAAGAATCCAGGCTGTAGAGTGAGGCTGTGAGAATCAAATCCTGACTCCACCACCTACTAGCTGTAAAACCATGGGAACTTCTCAGTGCCCAGTTTCCTCACCTATAAAATGGGGCCTCAGAGAGCCATTATGAGGTTTACATGGGATAATAAGGTAATTTGACCCAGGTAAAGCACTTAGAATAGTACCTGGCTCATTGAAGCATTCATTAAATGTTAGCTCATATTGTAGATTTACATTATAGACATTATCTGACAACACTCTGCACAGCCCGCCCCCCCTTGGAAATGTGAACTTCATGTGGTACATTTTAGCATTGCTTCTCTTCGCCGTCCAGAGCAACATGATATACACAAAAGAGTCAGTAGACAGCAGTCCGGAGACTTGAGCTCTGAGCTCCGCTGAGATGCCACTAAGCTTCAGGATGGAAGACAACACTTTTCTCTATGCCTCATTCCAGGACTCAAATTATAAAAGAAAGGGTTTACTAAGCTGATCCCTATGGTTCCTTCTAGCATATAAAAGTTATGATCATCTGAATATTATAAAGCAATAGATGAAGTTTGGGCTGTGTTTAGTAAACAATCTCTATGTTTTTATGGTTAGGATTTTATTCTGAGGCTAGAATTCACACAAAAACGTCCAGTATCGACAGAGAAGGAATCCAATCCATTTCATTGGAACAAAGAACAGCCTTAGAGATTTTTCAAGAAGTTTCAGGCCGAGTCACCCAGTCTCCCAGTCTACCGTATAACTGCTGGTTGAAGCTGGAGAGAAGACATTAGTGGCTCATGCACAAACTTTAAAGCTTAATTTATGTGAGAACATAAATTGATACAACCTCACTACTATGAGATTAAATAATATGTATCAATAGTCTAAACAATACACAGTAATTATGTTTCTAGGAATCTCTCCTGAGGAAATACAATTAAAGTGGGAAATTAGATAATAGGGATTAGTAGTCTACAATAGTCTAAACTATACAAAGTAATTACATTTCTAAGACTCCTGAGGAAACACAATTAAAGTATCCTTTTTTCATGCTTTTGGGACCAGCAATTGGAGAATCTGCCCAGCTCATTGAAAAGCCAGTTAAATAGGGAAATCTTAAACAATGGTGCAAATATACCATAAATACGTTGTTATAAGTTACAATATAAAAATATGAATTTTCTCACCAGTCTTGCAATAAAGGACCAAGGCTCTTCTCTGAGTATCACTCATGTTCTGATTGGAATTATGTGCCCTCTTTCTTGCACAAAACACGCCTATATAATTCATGCTCTTAATTTTGAGTTTTGGTTTCTTTAAAGTGGAACACAAACTTAAATATTTGGAGGACAATGTGACAGTAGACACTTTCTCCATTTTACCATTTTATTTTCTCAAATTGTTCAGTTTCCTGGCTCATAATCTAGTTTTATAGCAACTGTATTATTACTTCACTTTATTGCATCTCCCCAAAGCATTCTACTTAGTTTTTATAGTTTATATGGAAGCAACCACCCTCTTTCTTTTCTCACTCATATTTCACAGGTTAGTATTCCAACCAATGACATCACAACAACTGTCATAAACAGGTTTGAGAACAAACACGGTAATTAACTCTTGGTAAGCCCATATTCCAAATAGTGGGAGAAGGAAGACTGAGGCTTCCCGATGCAAGCGGCATATTTACCGAAGGCATAGAAGACGTCAGCGAATCCAGCAAAACAATGCAGGGAAACAGTGATTATGAGGGTTCCTTCTGTAGTCAAATATGTCATCAAAGGTTTATGTTTAAAGATGTTTGAACATCTGGAATAGTAACTGATGCTGGCAGAAATATAGAAACTATATAAGTTTACAATGAGAAAATAGCTAAGTAACATAAAACATATGATGAAATGGTATGTAGACATCAAAAACTGCATTTTAAAAACTATTTTATGATATAGAAGATGCCCATATTATGATCTAATGTATAATTCAATAAAGATTTACCAAGCAATAGAAAATTTTGTAAATTCTGAAAAAAAAGTCTATTTTCTATCTTTCTTATAAAAACCAAAGTGGGCCAGGACTTGGAAAACGGGACTGATGTCATGTTGAACTCCTCGCTTCCTTTGACCTTGATCTATTTGGAGTTTAGGCATTGTTTTTAAGAAGAAAACATGCCGCGCAGGTTCTCTAATAATAAAATGCACATAACCTCAAGAAAAGGTGGGGTCATTTTTCTTCTTATATGGCCAAGTAAGCTTCTCCTAGACCTTCCTGCAGATAACCACTATCAACTTTGGATAAAAATATAAAATAAGGCTTCTGTTCACTAGACTGTGAGTAAAAAGCAGGAAGACTCTAGCAGCAAGCTAGAGGAAAAAAAATGCCAAGAGGTGAAATTCCCATTTTTATAGCTTTTAGCCTGAGGGCATGTCAAAGTTGTCACCATGTAAGTGAGTGAATCTCTAAAAGAAAACGTTTTGTTTTTCTGGGCTGAAGACAACAGAGTTCAGAACAACTAGGGTCACTGGAGGATGAGGGAGTAATTCTGGAAAAGAGACAAGCACAGAAGAAGCACCCCAAATTTTCTAAGTGAAATCTGAACCTTATATGTGAGAGGTGGATTCAAAGCAGCTAAACTAAGTGTAAAAAACTGAACTAAAATTCAAACTGCTCCAGGGGAAAGAGTTTTCAGTTTGAGTCCAATCAAATTAATTATCTGCCCTTTGAAAAAATCAGTGTTCTTCCGAGAAATATAACAGAATCCAGATGGCATTCACAATGTCCAGGATACGATCCAAAATTACACAACAGAGGAGAGACAAGAAAATGACCTATCCACAAGGGAAAAATAATAGATGAAGACCAATTCTAAAATGACCCAAATGTAAAAATTATTAAACGAGAATTTAAAAGTAAGGACAGAAGTGAAAATATGTTCTCCATGCCTGTAAAGATGGAAAGCATCATCAGATAAATAGAAATTATAAAAAGGAATCAAATGAAAATTCTAGAGCATCAAAATACATGTATGATATTATAATGTTAGACACATGTCCTTGTACATTTGTCCAAATCCATATAATGTACAACACTGAGAATGAACCTTACTGTAAACTATGGACTTAGGTGATAGTGATGTATCAATGTAGGTTTATCAATTGTAATTAAAGTACCACTGTGGTGGGAGATGTTGATAACAGTGGAAGGTATACATGGGGGTGGAGGGTGGGCAGGGAGTATATGGAAAATCTCTCTATTTTGCTCTGAACGTAAAACTACTCTAAAAAGATAAGTATTTTCTTAAAATGCAACTTAAAAAATTCTTCATATGGACCCAATAGCAGAATGGATATGATAAAAGAGTCTGTGAACTTGAATATAGGCCAAGAGAACTTACTCAATCTGAAAAATGTAAAGAAAAAAGATTGGAAAAAATTAACAGAGCCTCACAAACCCCTGTGACAATACCAACAATCTACTATCAGTGTAAATGGTAGAATGGAGGGAAAAGTGAGAATAGGAAAAGAGGGAAACATTTTGAAAAAATAAGGACCAAAAAGTTTCCCAAATTTAATGAAAGACATAAATTTACAGATAAGAAAGTCAGAAAGCCTCGAGCAGAAAACTACAGAGAAAACCACACCCAATCACCCATAGTCAAACAGTTCCAAAGCAAAGAGAAAGAGAAAATCTTGAAAGCAACTGGAGAAAAACAAAACATAATGGACAGAAGAACACCACATCAAATGACCCAGTTTATCATTACAGAAGGCCAGAATATACTAGAACAATATATTTAAAGTTCTAAATGAAAAACTTTAAAAACCTATTAACCCAGAATCTGATACCAAATGAACATATCCTTCAAGGATTAAGACAAAATAAAAACAAGTTCATATAAGAGATAGCTGACAAATCACTGACAGCAGATCTCTACAGGAAGTTCTTTATTCTGAAGGGAAATCATATCACATGGAAATTCAGATCTTCTGCAGAAAAGGCAATCTACTGGAAATGGTGAATATATAAAATACCTGGGAAGTATAGAAAACTTTTCTTCTTGATTTGTTTAAAAATATGCACAACTGGCCAGGCTTGGTGGCTCACGCCTGTAATCCCAGCACTTTGGGAGGCCAAGGTAGGCAGATCACTTGAGCTCAGGAGTTTGAGACCAGCCTGGGTAACATGGTGAAACCTCGTCTCTACAAAAAATACAAAAATTTGCTGGGCATGGTGGCACAAACCTGTAGTCCCAGTTACTCGGGAGGCTGAGGCAGGAGGATCGCTTGAGCCCAGGAGGCAGAGGTTGCAGTGAGCCAAAATCACACCACTGCACTCCAGCCTGGGTGACAGAGTCAGACCCTGTCTCAAAAATAAAATAAAATAAAATAATATATATATAAAATTAAATAAAATAAAACAAAATTTTATATTATATAAATAATATAAAATTATATTTTATATTATATAAATAATATAAAATTATATTTTATATTATATAAATAATATAAAATTATATTTTATATTATATAAATAATATAAAATTATATTTTATATTATATAAATAATATAAAATTATATTTTATATTATATAAATAATATAAAATTATATTTTATATTATATAAATAATATAAAATTATATTTTATATTATATAAATAATATAAAATTATATTTTATATATAATAAAATAAAATATATATAAAATAGCTTATATATATAAAGCTATTTAAGTGAAAATTATAGCATTGTCGGGTTGGGTTTACACTGTAAATGTAATGTGTACAGTAACTACAGTATGAAGTAAATGGAGATAAATGAAGCAATGTAGCTGCAAAGTTTCCACATTTTACATGGTGAGCTACAATATTAACACTAAGTGGACTGTGATAAGTTAAGGAGGCATATTGTAATCTTTAGAGAAATCATTAAAAATACAGAAATAAATGGCTTAAAAGTCAATAGATAAATTAAGCTGAAATTATTTTTAAAAATCAAATAATTTAAAAAGAAGGCTGAAGAGAAGACTGGAGGAACAAAAAACTACATAGGACAAAAAAGAAACAAACAAAAATGGTAGACCTCAATCCAACCATATAAAAATACTTTAAATGAGTAAATAATTAGAAGGCAGAACTAGAATAGAAGGAAGAACTAGAATAGAAATAGAATTTTAAAAGGAAAAAATCCTGGACCCATCTATAAACCGTCTGTAAGAGAAGCACATTTTTAAATATAAAGATACAGATAGGTTGAAAGTAAATGAGTGGAAAAAATCTACATTATTATATGGAAGCATAAGAAGGCTGGAGTGAATATGTTAATATCAGATAAAATAGGCTTCAAGAATTGCGGCCGGATGTGGTGGCTTATGCCTTTAGTCCCAGCACTTTGGGAGGCTGAGGTGGATGGATCACCTGAGATCAAGAGTTCGAGACCAGCCTGGCCAATATGGTGAAACCCCGTCTCTACTAAAAATACAAAAATTAGCCAGGCATGGTGGTGGGTGCCTGCAATCCTAGTTACTTGGGAGGCTGAAGCAGGAGAACTGAGGAGGCGGAGGTTGCGGTGAGCTGAGATCATGCCACTGCCATCCAGCCTGGCTGACAAGAGCAAAGCTCCATCTCAAAAAATTAAAAAAAAAAAAAAAAGAATTGAATATTTTACAGACAATTACACCCCAAACCTGGAGAATATATTTCTTTTCAAATGTACATGGTATATTCATCAATACATAAAACATAAGACAAGTCTCACTAGAATCATATGAAGTATGTTCTCTGACTACAAACGAATTAGAAATCAAACAACAATAAAATATCTAGAAAATCCCAAATACTTAAAAACTAAACAACACACTTCTAAATAATGTATGGGTCAAAGAATAAGTCACAAGAGAAATGGGGAAATATTTGAACGGAATGATAATAAAAACACATAAAAATTTGTGGAATTGACCTAGATCTGTGCTTAGGAAGAAATTAATAGTTTTAAATGTTTATATTTGAAAAGAAGAGAGATCTAAAATCAAGAATCCAAGGTTCCAACTAAAGGCACTAGAAAAAGAGGAGCAAAGGAAACTCACAAAGTTAGTAGACAGAAGTAAATACTAAACATAACAGCAGGAATCAATGCAATTAGAAAACAAAAAGTACCAAAAAATGTAATCAAAAGCTTGTTTTTGAAAGATAAATATGAGTTGTATACCTCTAGTTATTCTGATCAATAAAATAGAAAGGGCACAAATTAACAATATTAAGAATGACATGGGAGACATCCCTGCAGGTGCCATGGATATTAAAGATATAGTAAAAGACTATGCTAACTTTAAATTAACACATTGGACAACTTAGATGAAATGGACAAATTCTTTAAAACAGAAAATCTCAATACTCATATATTTATCAAGAAATTAGCTTCTTTATCAAAAACATCTTCACAAAGAAAACTTCAGACCCAGATAGCTTTATTAGTTAATTCTATCAATACTTAAGGAAATAATAACACCAACCACATAAAATTCTTCCTAAAACTAGAGGAGGAAACCTTTCCTAACTTGTTTTATGAGGCCACAGAAACCCTAAAATCAAAGCCTAACAAAGATGTTACAAAATAAAAGAAAATTATAGGCCAATATCATTCACGAACATAGATGCAAAATGCTTAACAAAATATTAGTAAACAGAATACAATATGTAAAAAAGATAGTATATCATGATGAAGTGGGGACATATCCCAGAAATTTAAGGTTAAATTAACATTCAAAAATCAATCAGTGTAATTCATATTATTAACAGACGGAAAGAGACAAACCATATGATCATTTCAACAGATGCAGAATAAACATTTAACAAAACTCCACATTCATTTATGAGAAAAATTAGAAATAACGTTATACATAGGGCTATCATATTTAATGATGAAAGATTTCAACTTCTCCTGTTAAGATACGGAAAAAGGCAAGGATGCCCACTTCCACCATTCTTACTCAACATTGCACTGGAGGTTCTAGCCAGTACAATAAGATGACAAAAGTAAGTAAATAAACAAGTAAACAAAGTCATCCAGAGTAAAAAGGAAGAAGTAAACTGTATCTATTTTTAGATAACATAATTGTTTACATAGAAAAATCCAATAGAATCAACCAAACCACCACTAGAACTAATTCATGAATTTAGCAGTTTGGTAGAATCTATCCTTCTACCAAAGGATAGAAGGTAAACATGCAAAAATCAAATTTATTTAAAAAATAAATTTAAAAAATAATTCCACTTATAATACTATCAAAAAACTTAAGATACATAGGGACAAATTTAACAAAATATGTTCAAGACTAGTACTCTGAAAATTACAAAACATTTTGGAAGAAATTATAGAAGGTATAAATAAGTGGAGAGATATACCATAATAATGGGCCAGAAGACTAACATGTCAATTCTCTCCAAATTGATCTATAGATTCAATGTGATCCCAATTTTAACCTGCACCTGTTTTGTGGGAATTAATACGTTTATTCCAAAAATCTATATGGAAATGCAATGAACCTGCAGCTGCACCATACATTATGGTGGCCAATAACTACATGTGGCTACTTAGATTTCTACGTAGGTTAATGCAAATTAAATAAAATTAAAAATTAAGTTCCTCCACCACACTAACCACATTTCAAGGGCTAAATACTCACATGTGACTAGTGATTACTCTTCTTAAATGGTGTAGATGTGTAACATTTTTATCACTGCAGAAAGTTCTGTTGGACAGCACTGACCTCAAATAGCCAAAGCAACCTTGAAAAAAACCCCAAAAACAAAAAACTAGAGGACTTACATACACTACCTGACTTCAAAACATACTACAAATCTACAGTGGTCCAGACATTGTGGAATCACATAGACACAGGAGAAAATGTTCAGGACTTAAGAATAGGCAAAGGTTTATTTCACAAGTCACATGAAACAACCATAAAAGTAGAGGTAGACTTCATCAAAATTAGAATCTTCTGCTCATCAATAGACATTCTAAGGAAAATGAATAGGCAAGCCACAGTCTGAGAGAAAATATTTGTAAAACAAGCATCTGACATAGCACTAGTTCCCAGGAAACATAAGGAACCCCTCCAACCCAAAAATAAAAGCATAAATAACCCCTCTCCTCAAAAAACTGGAGTGAGCAAAGGTTTTAAAAAGAAATTTTCCAAAAGAAGATATGCAAATGTTCAATATACACAACAAACAGTTCTCAACATCATTAGAAATCAGGCATATGCAAATTAATCAGGCATATGCAAATTAAAACCACAATGATAATACCACTACACATCTATTCAAATAACTAAAATTAAAAACAATGAAAACACCAAGTGTTGGTAGGGTGCAGGGCAACTGGAACTCTCATACATTGTTGGTGAGAATGTAAAATGATACAGCCACTTTGGAAAAATACCTTGCAGTTTCCTAAAAAACTAATCACACACCTGTGACCCAGTAAGTCCACAACTAGATTTCTACTTAAAGAAAATAAAAACATACACTCATTCACAAAAAGACTTATGCAAAAGAAAATAGCAGATTTATTCATAATGGCCTGAAATTGTCCCTGTGTTCTTTAACAGAAAAACAGACGAACAATTTTTTTTATTATTATACTTTAAATTCTGGGGTACATGTTTAATATATTCATAAAACAGAAGAAGATTTAGCAACAAAAAAGACCAACTATTAATACATGGAACAAGATGGATAGATCTCAAAAATATGCTGAGTAAAAGAAGCAAGACCAAAAAAGGGGCATATACTGTATGGTTCCATTTATATGAAATTTTAGAAAAGGCAAAACTAAGCTATACGGTTAGTTAGCAGCGTCAGAAGAATTGTTGTCTCTGGGGATCTGAGGATGGGAACAACTTGGGAAGTAGCATGAGGAAAGTGTCTAAGTGATGGTAATGTTCTACATCTGGCTAGGCTTTGGATTGCAGAGTATGAACTTGTCAAAATTCAGTATATTCATTTACTACTGTTGCATAACAAATTACCACAAATGTAGAGACTTAAAACAGCACACATTTATTATCTCATAGTTTTTGTTAGTCAGAAGTCCAAACACAACTTCCTTGGGTCCTCTTCTCGGGATCTCACAAGCCTGCAATCAACATGATAACCAGGCTGTGTTCTCACTTGAAGGTTTGACTGGGGAAAAATCTTCCAAGTTCATTCAGGTTGTCAGAAGTCATTTCCTTGCAGCTACTAGGCTGAAGGCACTAGCTTTTAGCTGGGTATCATCTGGAGACCATACTTAGGTTCTAGAGCCCACAGTTCCTAGAAAGTGCCCTCCATCCTTTGCAATCCAGGTTTCTCCCAGAAGGCCACTTTTTTCACCAAACTCGCAAAAGTCTCTGGTCTTGTCTGCTAGCAAGATGGAGGTGCTGATGGACAGTGCCCTTAGACCTTCTAGAGGTCCTCTGGTTTGATTGAGAGGATCTGGGAGGCATGCCCTCTTAAAAGATACCTTTTTGTGACTAAATATGCTCACCTTTTGATCTTTCAGATTTTAGCAAAGGGTTGCAAAGTCACACCCTCTAATTTTTCTCTAGACCACACTGTCTTAATTTGAGAATCTATTGCCATCTGGAGAGGCTTAAAATTTTCAAAATCATCCAGTCCTAGTTCCTTTCTGTTTAAGAATTCTCTTGATTTATCTTTCTCTCCTCTCACATTTTACTGTAAACAGCCAGAAGAGACTGGGATGCCTTCAACACTTTTCTTGGAACTCTCCTTTGCTACATAACCAAGTTCATCACCTACAAGTTCAACTTTCTACATAACTGCAGACAACAATGTTGCTAAGCTTTCTGTCACTGTTTAACAAAGGTTCTCCCTTCTGTCAGTTTCCCATTACGCATTCCTCACTTCCTCCTGAGCCCTCTCCTGCAGTGTCCTTAAAGTCCAGGCTTCTATTACTATCAGTCTTTTCAGGAAGACTTAAGCTTTCTCTATTCTACTCCCCTGCCCACTGCTGAGTTTCAAAACCACCCAACGTTTTCAGATATTTATTAACAGCCACACCCCACTTCCAGGTATCAACACTTGTATTAGTTTTCTATTGCTGTGTGACAAATTCTCATAGATGCATTTATGATCTCATAGCTTCTTTAGAGCAGGAGTCCAGGTACGACTTAGCTGCTTCCCTGCTCAGAATTCCACAAGTCTTCACTCTCCTCTGAAGGCTCCACTGGGGGAGAATCCATGCTGGAGCCTACTCTTACAGTTGTTTTGAGAATTATTTCCTTGCAGCTGTATGACCCAGGACCCCAGCATTTTGCTGGCTGTTGGTTGGAGGCTAACCTCAGGTTCTGGGGGCAAGACACAGTTCCTTGCTACATGGGCTTTTCCAATATGGTCACTTACTTCATGAAGGCCACAAGGAGTCTCTAGCTCCAGCCTACCAGCAAAAGGGAGTCTTACAAAATGTTAACATAACCATAGGAGTGACATCCCAGCACCTCTGCCATATGCATCTGCTACTGGTTATGAGCAAGTTATAAGGGATTACCCAGGATGTGAGTATCATCAGGGGTCACCTTAATGTATGTCCACCGTACTCAGAGAATGCACACTTCAGATTTGGGCATTTTACATAAAAAGGAAAAGGTAGATTGGACTCTAGATATGCATGCTAAATTGTTTAGGGAGAAGTACACCGAAATGCATCAGTAAAAAAGATGAATTGATGGAAGGATAGAGGGACAGATAGATGAATAAATATATAATGACACAAGTGTAATAAAATGTCAATGGAAGAATCTAGGTGTGGGTATCTGAGTATTTGCTGAAAATTTAGTTCAATATTTCTGTATATTTAAAAATTTTATAACAAAATATTAGAAAAGTAAATGTATACTTATTAAAAAGAGCACAGACATAAATGAGTCATCTATTTCTTTATACTTTTCAGCATTTTCTCACTTTACTCCAATAATCATGAATTTTGTGTATAATCAAGAGTTGGGGGCCGGGCACGGTGGCTCACACCTATAATCCCAGCACTTTGGGAGGCCAAGGTGGGCGGATCACGAGGTCAGGAGATCGAGACCATCCTGGCTAACACGATGAAACCCTGTCTCTACTAAAAAAAAAAATACAAAAAATTAGCCGGGCATGGTGGCGGGCGCCTGTAGTGCCAGCTACTCGGGAGGCTGAGGCAGGAGAATGGGGCGAACCTGGGAGGCAGAGCTTGCAGTGAGCTGAGATTGCGCCAGTGCACTCCAGCCTGGGGGACAGAGCGAGACTCTCAAAAAAAAAAAAAAAAGAGTTGGGAAAATGCATTTAGTTTATAAAGCAGTCAATATATCAAGCCAGCGATCTCTCCAGTCCATTACTGAGTCTTTCCCTGCTTTCCCATGAATCAGTCACCAAGAGAACAGAAAGTTACCCCCACCTCCAAACATTCTTGAGGTTTTCTACTAGCCAGCTGTGGAGTGATTATTCCTCTGTTCACCTAAACCTCTGAAATTGCACATTTTTAGGATGCATTATCTCTTCGACATAACAGTTGCATAATAGTACCACAAGTTGCATACAATTGCTCTTCTATTTATATATTATAAAACTGCCTCCTTAATATTTTAGATTCTCCCCTCTGGTTCTAATATTTTTAAATTTGGTAAATAAATTGAAATTCACGCTAATCCTAGTGATTCAGATTCTACCATAAAAATCAATACTATGTAAAACTGGAGTGCTTAAGGCTAAATCAACAACATATGTAGTCATACCTATTAGTGTCCTGCGTTTGTAGGTAAATTAATTAGTATTACTTGGACCACATCATACCACAGCCAATAAAAATAACAGATGTTTGGAGAATGAAGTAACTGGTGTATACAGGCCTAGACATTGGCTTTTTTGTTTTTGCTTTTTACAAGAGAGAATGGTTCTGTCCAGTCAAGCACATTATTAAGGCATTCATATTTAATAAGTGGGTCCTAACATAGGAAGGAAAGTTCTAAGGCTACTTATTGGCATTAATATATTATCTATGCTCCCCTCAAAATTATTTAATCAATAAGTATCAGTCACCTCCTCTGTGTTAAGTCTATTCTAGAGAGGATATAGAAAAGGAGAGAGAGTAAATACACAAAGTCATTAGCAAAGAATACAATACAGTATCTAGCTATGTGCTAAAATCACTAACAGTTCAATACAGCATTTGTTAGGCTAGATACTAAGAAATTAGCAACAGAATACAATCTTCCTCCTGCCTTAAAGCACTCCTGGTTCTCTGCAGAACAGAGCTGAGATGTAGGACATCAGTAAATCAGACCTAGAAAAGTCAAGGGGTTTACAGAGATGGCAGGAATTCGTGGGAAAGAAAGCCAAGATCTTCAGGATGGGTTGGCTTTAGACGGCATCAGTAAAACCAAGGACCAGCCTTCAGTATCATCTTTAGTTGTGGGGTAAAACAACTGCAACCCCAATGTTACTGCCTGAGGACTTAACAGTTAACCTGGCTGCCACTGGGATGGGCAATAAGCTCAAACCACAGCATGGAGTTTTGGGGGGACCATGTCTCTCGGGACCTGGCCAATATGATGAGGATAAAGGATGAATAAGTAAACCCTCAATGATGATTCTCTCAATACTCTCAACCAGTGTTCTCAGTGAAGGTTGGGGGGCATCGTGGAAAGCTAGGGGGAAACGATTTTGCTGATCACATTATTTGAGAGGTGCTTTTTGAATTTTCAACTGTATTCACCTAAAATAAATACATGATAAACTGCATATATTTAAGTGTACTATATGCTTATTTAAGTGTTTTTTCCACACGCACACACAGACACACACACACAACAAACCTGCAAGACCATGGCTACACTGAAGATGATAAAAATATTCCTCACTCTCCTTCACAAAGGTCTCATGCCCACTTGTGATGCTTGCATGCCCCTCCCCTCTTCCATCATCCTCAGGCAAACATTGATCTGCTGTCCTTATAGATTACTTTGCATTTTCCAGAATGTCATCTAAGTGAACTCATATTGTATGTATTCTATTTGTCTGGCTTCTTTCCCTCTGCATAATTATTTCGAGATTCATCTATGTTGCAGCACGTGTTAATAGTCTATTTCTCTTTATTGGCGAGTAGTAGTATTCCACTGTCTGGATATACCACAGTTATTCTATTCATCTGTGAATAGGCATTTGAGTTGTTTCCAGATATTGGCAATTACAAATAAAGCTGCAATGAGCATTTGTGTCCAGGTCTTTGTATGGATGTATGTCCATACATAAATCATACACAAATCATTTCTCTTAGATGAAATGGAATGGCTCGCACTGTTTTCCAAAGTGTCTTACTCATCTCACAAGCCCACCTACAGAGTTTCAGATGAGCCACATCCTTGCCAACACTTGCTATGGTCAGTCTTTAATTTATCCATTTCAACTGGTTTAAGTGCTATCTCACTATGTTTTTAATTTACAGTTCCTTAATAACTAATGACACTGAGCATCTTTTCCTGCCCTTATTTGTCATCCATATATCTTCTCTGGTGAAGTGTCTATTCAAATTGTTTGCCTAATTCTTTTTTTTTTTTTTACTTTAAGTTCCAGGATACATGTGCAGAACATGCAGGTTTGTTACATAGATAGACATGTGCCATGTGGTTTGCTGCACCCATTGACCCATCATCTGGGTTCCCTCCCCTCACTCCCCATCCCCCAACAGGCCCCGGTGTGTGATGTTCCCCTCCCTGTGTCCATGTGTTCATATTGTTCAACTACCTCTTATGAGTGAGAACATGCTGTTTGGTTTTCTGTTCCTGTGTTAGTTTGCTGAGGATGATGGCTTCCAACTTCATCCATGTCCCTGCAAAGAACATAATCTCATTCCTTTTTATGGCTGCATAGTATTCCATGGTGTATATGTACCACATTTTCTTTATCCAGTCTATCATTGATTGGGCATTTGGGTTGGTTCCATGTCTTTGCTATTGTAAATAGTGCTGCAATAAACATAAATGTGCATGTGTCTTTTTTTTTTTTAAGTTGGAGTCTCGCTCTGTCACCCAGGCTGGAGTGCAGTGGCACGATCTTGGCTCACTGCACGCTCTGCCTCCTGGGTTCATGCCATTCTCCTGCCTCAGCCTCCCGTGTAGCTAGGACTACAGGCGCCTGCCATCACACCCGGCTAATTTTTTGTATTTTTAGTAGAGACGGGGTTTCATTGTGTTAGCCAGGATGGTCTCGATCTCCTAACCTCGTGATCTGCCTGCCTCGGCCTCCCAAAATGCTGGGATTACAGGCGTGAGCCACTGCACCCAGCCCACATGTGTCTTTATTGTAGAATGATTTATACCCCTTTGGGTTTATACCCAGTAATGGGATTCCTGGGTCAAATGGTATTTCTGGTTATAGATCCTTGAGGAATAGCCACACTGTCTTCCATGATGGTTGAACTAATTTATATTCCCACCAACCGTTTTAAAAGCGTTCCTATTTCTCC